>NW_009646201.1:0-330164 GCF_000001405.40 Homo sapiens
ACAAGTCTTCTTTAGTTTCAGTATGGAGTCTCACACATCTTCTTTGGTGTTAACATGGAATTCACAAGTTGCAGCTTTGTACCAGCTAAATGATTCTTTATGTTCTTTTTGACCTGGTTGGAATGAGACCATTCAACTCTCAATGGATGGCTGCATACAAAACATTTAAGACTTGAGAGGATACAGTGTATCAGGGTGACGATTATTATGACTATCAAGAGGATACTATCAAAATGCCAAGGCGTACTCCTTAATGAGAGTTCTTATGAAATGAACCGAACCAAATTAGCCAAGTGAAGGTTCAGACAATATAGGCAGTTCAACAGTGTTAGGGTCCAATTGGTCATTATCCTCGTTTAGAGTATGATAGCGATTAAGGACCATGGTTTGCTGTAAAGTGGCCTGACTTAAACAGTTACTCATTTTCATTGTTACATTGGTAATACAAGTCATAATAACTTGGAAACCTACTAGAAGAATTATAAGGATTAGAAGCCCTTGGAAAACCCAAGCTTGCCATCCACCCTTAGGATGCCTGCAAACCGTTAGTTGCCTATTGTAAACATGTCATGGGCTCCTTTCTCTTGAGAGATGTCTTTAATGTATTTGGTGGCAGTGTCTAAGGAAACAGCAGTATCAGCACCTTTTAAATTAAGCTTCCTGTAATAACAAAATCAGGTAAGAGATAAGTAGTACAACATTCAGTTTTGTTTAACACCAAACCTAGGCTTCCAGCTTGAGCAAAAAGATCTGAGGTTGCACGATGTTCCAGTAAGTGTTTTTGCTGAATTCACGTGTTGTCATCTATCTTTTTTTTTTTTGAGATGGAGTCTCACTCTGTTGCCCAGGCTGGAGTGCAATGGCATTATCTTGGCTCACTGCAACCACCGCCTCCTGGGTTCAAGCGATTCTACTGCCTCAGCCTCCCAAGTAGCTGGGATTACAGGCATGAGCCACCATGCCTGGCTAATTTTTGTATTTTTAGTAGAGATGGGGTTTCACCATGTTGGCCAGGCTGGTCTCAAACTTCTGACCTCAAGAGATCTGCCCGCCTTGGCCTCCCAAATGCCGGGATTACAGGCGTGAGCCACCATGCCCAGCCCTGTCATCTATCTTTCTGAGAGCAGCTTCTACCCATCTGAAACCCTGGGAGGTCTGATTGATTACAAAATCCAAGATTTTTCCCAATTTACAAATTAGCTTTAAATTCCATACAACTGCTATCTCACTACCACCAAGAGTGCACCCCCAGGAATCCCACTGGAATCTTTCCTCAGTAGAAACGAGCTTATCCTCAAATATTTCAAGGCTAGTGCTAATTTCAGTTATTGATCATTTTGGCCTCCAATCATAAGGGCCATCATGAGAATTTTCAGGGGAAGCTATTTGAAAGGCAGGAGCAAGCCAGGCCACATAACAAGAACCCAACCAATGAGGAGGCAGAACAGGATACGCAGACTCTTCACAGACCCAGTATAGACCCTTGGGGATTGGAAAAGAGGGCCACCTAGTTGCATTTGAGCAGAGATCAGTCAGGTTTGTTCGACCACAAATCTGCATACCTCCTGAACAACGTCCAGTGGGAAATTTACTTTTCTGTGGCCCCTTTATAGCATGTTGTAAGGGTATATAACCATATCTAGTAAAAAAGAGACCCTACTGGATTTAATCCAGTTACATTATACAAGCAATCACTTGTATCAACATAAGTAATTCCCAAATCTTGAGTGCGTGATGTCTGGAAGCACAATGTATCTTTTGCTGGCATCACTTGGATTTTTTTTTTTGAGACGAAGTTTCGCTCTTGTTGCCCAGGCTGGAGTGGAGTGTAATGGCACGATCTTGGCTCACTGCAACCTCTGCCTCCCAGGTTCAAGTGATTCTCCTACCTCAGCCTCCCCAGTAGCTGGGATTATAGGCGCCTACCACCATGCCTGGCTAATTTTTGTATTTTTAGTAGAGATGGGGTTTTACCATGTTGGCCAGGCTGGTCTCAAACTCCTGACCTCAGTTGATCCACCTGCCTCAGCCTCCCAAAGTGCTGGGATTACAGACATGAGCCACTGCACCCAGCCTTGGATTGTTTTTTTATATTTGGTAATGATCGACTTATCAATTGAAAAAGTTAGAGTGTTGTTTTTAGTGAGTGTAGGAAGCAAGTAGCAGTGATGTTTAGCATATCAAGAATAACTTTCTGTTCTTCCCTTAGTTTCAGGTAGCTCTCGCTGGGAACGCGGAGGGGCACTGGCACCAGTGGAATCATTTCCTGATTTTTTTTTGGCATTAGCCCACAAACCCAACAATTACTCTGGTTTTGTGCTAGAGCATAAACTTGAGCTAAAGCCATCCACTGATTATGGTGCCATGGGTTTGCCTGTAGGGAAAAGGACAAGATTAGGGCAGAAGATGAGGAAAACAGAAAAACACATAAGGCTTTCCTGATGATAGAGAAGTCTTGGTCCATGATCTTGGGAAAGCTGTCCAAAACTAGGATGCTGTCTGCTTCTGAAGAGAGATTTCCTTGGTCAGCTTTACTTTAAAGTCTCCAACAGGTGTACAGTTCCAGGACTCTGAAGGGGCCCCTTTTTGTTTTTTTGAGACGGAGTCTTGCTCTGTTGCCCAGGCTGGAGTGCAGTGGCGCGATCTCGGCTCACTGCAAGCTCTGCCTCCCGGGTTCACACCATTCTCCTGCCTCAGTCTCCCGAGTAGCTGGTACTACAGGTGCCTGCCACCACGCCCGGCTAATTTTTTTGTATTTTTTAGTAGAGAGGGGGTTTCACCATGTTAGCCAAGATGGTCTCGATCTCCTGACCTTGTGATCCACCCACCTCGGCCTCCCGAAGGGCTGGGATTACAGACGTGAGCCACCACGCCCGGCCAAAAACATGCAAACTATTACAAGAACATACTGATACCCCATTGCGCGTCACAACTAAATTAAGTCCATCTGTAAATGCTCAAATTGTTCATCAGGTGGTGGAAATATATGACCTGAAGTTTTGATTGTTTTTCCAGGATTATGAGTTTGACAAGTCAAACATTGATTATAAACCATTTTAGCAATTTTGGAACAGTCACCCGACCAGTATTTTTTCATAATTTGGATCATTTTGTCTGTTCCATGATGAGCGGTGGAGTGCAGCGTTTTCAACAATGGAAGCTTCAAAGACTCAGGAAGGACCAGGCGGCCGTCTGGGCCCTCCGTGAGTCTGTGCATCACATTAAATTTACATCCTTTTAGATACCAATTTTGCTTTTCCAAATCAGGTGCACTGCACTGTTTACTAAGCAGGTCATCATAAGGAAGTGGGCTCGGCTTAATCCAATGGAGTTCATTCAGATTGCATTTCTTAACAGTTTCAGCACTAGCTGATTTAGCATAAAAATTTGCTAAAGCATTTCCCTGATATTTGGGTTCAGTTCTACAAGTATGAGCTTCAATCTTAGTAACAACAGTCTACAATGGTAACAGGATAGCAGAAAGGGGCTCATTTACTTGGGGTCTATTTTTGATGGAGGTCCCACTAGAGGTGAGAAACCCTCATAGTTTCCATATCACGCCAAAATCATGTACTACTCCGAAAGCATATCTACTAGCTGTATAAATATTTACTGACTTGTCCTCAGCTATATGACAAACTTGGGTAAGGACAAAAAGCTCTGCAGTTCGGGCTGACTTAAATTGAGGAAGCGTTTCCTTCTCTATTCACTCATTTTGGATGGTAACAGCATATTCTGCCTGGTATTTTCCTTCTGAGATTTTAGGATAGGACCTATCAACAAAAAGTATAAATCCAGGATTATCCACTGGAGTATCTTGTAAATCAACATGAGGGGCCACTATTTCTGGCACTACATTTACACAGTTGTGTTCTTCACCATCGTCAGGCAAAGGTAACAGAGTAGCAGGGTTAAGTAGATTACAGCATTTTAAATGAAGATTAGGAGATAGCAGTAATTCATAAAATGTTAGTTTACTTACTGAAAAATGCTGGGTTTGGTTGGAATTTAACAGACTTTCCACAGCATGTGAGGTTTGCAAATTAAGTTCGCTTCCTAAAACCAGATCTGATGAAGCTTCTACCAGCTTGGCAGCTGCTGCTACTGCTTTTAAACAGTTAGAATATGCCTTAGAGTCTGGGCCTAATTGCAGGCTATCGTATGCAATGGACCTATGTTTAGCACCACGTTCTTGTGTAAGGACTCCTAATGCCTGATTGTCACACTCATGAACAAACAAGGTGAAAGGCTTAGGGTAATTTGGAAGTCCTAAAGCTGGGGGCTGTTGTAAGGCCAACTTCATTTGGCTAAAAGCCTGCTCATGACTATCTTCCCAAGGTAAAGGCTCTGGTACAGCATTTTTAGTGAGTTCATACAATGGCGAACCTATTAAGGAAAAATTTGGAACCCAGGATCTGCAATATCCTGTAAGTCCAAGAAATCCTCTTAATTGTCTTTTGGTTTCAGGTCAAGGAAAACTTTGAACAGTTTTTATCCTCCCAGGTGAGAGGAAATCCCTTTGGCAGTCAAGTCATGTCCCAAATAGTGGAATTTTTCTTTTGAAAACTGAAGTTTTTCCATTTAAGCCTTGTGATCTTTATATGCAAGTTGTTGTAAAAGGTAAACTGAGTCAATTTCAGAGCACTCCTTAGTGGGAGAACAATAAGTCATCTACATACTGAATGAGAGTACAATTTTGAGGAAATTGTAGTGTTATTAAGTCCTGATGCAATGCCTGGGAAAAATATGAAGTGGCTTTGGTAAACCCTAGTGGCTTTACAGCCCAGGTGTATTGCCTATTTTTCCAAGTAAAGGCAAACAAGTATTGACTTTTTTTTTTCTTTGGAGACAGAGTTTCGCTGCTGTCGCCCAGGCTGGAATGCAATGGCATGGTCTTGGCTCATTGCAACCTCTGCCTCCTGGGTTCAAGCGATTCTCCTGTCTCAGCCTCCTGAGTAGCTGGGATTACTTACAGGTGCCCGCCACCATGCCTGACTACTTTTTGTATTTTTAGTAGAGATGGGGGTTTCACCATGTTGGTCAGGCTGTCTTGAGCTCCTGGCCTCAGGTGATTCACCTGCCTCGGCCTTCCAAAGTGCTGGGATTACAGGCGTGAGCCACCAAACTTTCTTTATGAACTGGAATGCTAAAGAAGGCTAAGCAGAGATCTATTACTGTGGACCACTTGGAACTAATTGGTACATTAGATAATAAAGTATCAGGATTTGGAACTACAGGAATCTTGGTATTACAATTTTATTAAATGCCCGTAAATCTTAAACAAATCTCCAGCCTTGTCCATTTGGTTTTTTAACTGGTAGTACTGGACTGTTACAAGGGCTGGTGCACGGGATTATGAGTCCTTGTTTAATGAAATCCTCTACAATTGGTGACAGCCCTTGAATTGCTTCAGGTTTTAGAGGATATTGGGGTAATTTAGGCAAAGGTTTAGAACGATCTCTTTGTACTTTTATAGGTTCCAAACTTTTAATTCTTACCATATCAGTTGGGGAAGAGGCCCAAAAACATTTAGATATTTTTGAAAGATCAGGGGTATTACAGGCCTGAGTTTCAATCTTATAGATTTCTGTCTGTAGACAGCATAACAATTCTAGTCCAGGAGAATCAGGAAACTCTAAGGTTATTTCTCCTGAGAAAAATTTTATGTGCCCTTTTAGCTTTGAAAGCAAATCTCGCCCTAACAAGTTTACTGGAGCAGTATAACATAGTAAAAAAGTGTTTTTCTGAAAAGGGGCCCAAAGCTAATTGGATTGGTTCAGATACGGGAACCTCTTAAACTTGATTTGAAACCCCCACCACAGAAATGACCTTTTTACTCCAAGGGATTTGTTGGCTTATTAAAGTGGGGTTTATGGTAGATAGAGTAGCCCCCATATCCCCGAGGACTGTACACAACTCCCCATTTATTTTAACCTGTTTCTCCACGTTGATTTAAAGGCACGGAGAGCAATCTACTGGAGAATCCCTTGGAACCTCATCAAGGTTGATTATTATCAGGAGGCCTAAGGTCTCTTGGGCTCCCTCTAGTGGTGAAACAGTTTGGCCGAAAGGGAGGCTCATTGGTGGACTGATAGAAAAGCGGACAATCCCTTTTCCAGTGCCCTGGTTGTTTGCAATACAGGCAGACATCTTGGGGCAAAGAACTTCTTGTTCTAGGACCTCCTGATTGTGATTTAAAATGAGAAGGAGGCAGAGCGCAGTGGCTCACGCCTGTAATCCCAGCAATTTGGGAGGCCAAGGCGGGCGGATCTTTTGAGGTCAGGAGTTCGAGACCAGCCTGGCCAACATGGTGAAAAGCTGTCTCTACTAAAAATGCAAAAATTAGCCGGGCACGGTGGCACGCACCTGTAATCCCAGCTACCTGGGAGGCTGAGGCATGAGAATCGCTTGAACGTGGGAGGTGGAGGTTGCAGTGAGCCGAGATCTCACCACTGCACTCCAGCCTGGGTGACAGAGTGAAACTCCGTCTCTAAATAAATACATAAAATGATTAATCCCTTGGGTCCCGGTCCCTGTAACTGTTATAGCTGAAGGGCCATAAGCTTGTTAGCCTTTTGAGTTTTTTCTTGCTCTAGAGTCCTCTCAAAATGTCCAGCTAAGGCCAACAATTTAGTCATATCTGTAACTTCCTATCCCAACTCATGTATTTTAATTAAATTGCTGAGTTCGGGATGGAGTCCATTTACAAATAGAGCACTTAATGCCGTTTCAGTCCTTGCAGGAAATACTTCTTGTTGTACTTGGATCCCAGAATGTTTCACAAACAGCATTTCTAAGTGAGTTCTGTAATCTGAAACTGAAATCTTTTTTTTTGTTATGTTTACAAGATTGTATGATGGACCAGTCCATTTTTTGCGGAAAAATTTTAGGAATTGAATTTAAAAGGTTTTCAGCAATTTTTCCAGCGACTTTTGGTCCTTCTTGTGAGGAGCTTTTGGAGGGGTCTTTAACATCCTCCTCAGGTTTGCCCCATTCTGCTGCTGCCGTCCATTTCCGAGCTTTACCAGGCCCCAATATCACGGGAATACATTAGTGAAGGTCAGGAAGTCCTGGATCATAAGCTCCTATGAGGATTCTAAATTCCTCAGTAAATTTTTGAGGATTTTCTCTTGGATCAGGCAAGTCCCTCACAATGGCTCTAAGCTCAGTTTTAGACCATGGAGTGAAAGTAGTTACAGCAGGCAGGCATGACTGATCAGAAAGTCTCACTTTGTAAGGTGCCTGTCTAACTTATTATTATTTTTTTAATCGTCTTCAGGGTGAAAGGGTAATATATACATATTTTTTATTTTTTATTTTTTTGAGACAGGGTCTCACTCTGTCACCCAAGCTGGAGTGCAGTGGTATGATCTCGGCTCACTGCAACCTCTGCCTCCTGGGTTCAAGCAATTCTCCTGCCTCAGCCTCCCGAGTGGCTGGGATTACAGGCACGCAGCACCACGCCCAGCTAATTTTGTATTTTTAGTAGAGACGAGGTTTCACCATATTGGCCAGGCTGGTCTCAAACTCCTGATCTCAGGTGATCCACCCACCTCGGCCTCCCAAAGTGCTGGGATTATAGGCATGAGCCACCAAGCCTGGCCTGAAAGGGTAATTTAGCAAAAAGGTTAGTGGACTCAGAGTATGTAGGTAGAGAAGGATAAAGAGAAGGAACAGTCAGGATGAGGTCAGTCACAGTACAGTCCTCTTTCATCATGTCGTTAGTTTGTTGCTTAAGCTTTTCGTTTGCTTTTTGCAAAGAATCTTTTAAGGAGTCAATTTTTGATTCATTTACTCTTTTAGGGGCTTCTGCATACCAATAAAAGAATACACATCCCACTGTTTTATGGGGTTTTTCATTCCCCCTTTTCTAATATGCCTCATAAATAAACAATTTTATCCAAATTAAAACTTCCCCATTGCAGCCATCTTAATTCTAAGTTTTCTTTAGTTAGGTTAACCCATTTTTCTAAAAATGCACAAGTTCTGGGCCCATAATTTTTATGCATAAAATTAGCTGGAGTCCCAGAATGTGGAGTCCCAGACTCCTTGGATTGAGAGGGTTGCATCTGAGCTGGTTCCAGCCTTGGAGTAGGGGCTGCTGCTGGTCCCAGGCTCCATGCTGGGGGCCTGGTGGCCAGATGGAAGGTTCAGCTTTGCAGCGGTCACACCTGCTGGGTGAATGGGTGTTCTAAGGGTGCTCGTTGGCACAGGTGGCTGTGACTCATATCTGGGAAAGTGTGAGGGAAGCGCACAGAGGGCAGCCGTCCCTTTGGTGTCAGGGCTCCGTCCCCATGGGCAGTGCTCCTTGGAAAAAGTCAGCTACTCCTTTGGATCCTGGGGAGCAAAAGGCACCTAAGGCAGTGAGTAGTCCACAGAGGCCAGGTCAGCCTGGTGACCAGGAGGTGTCCTGCCCAGCAGCAGGACAGGTTCTGTGTGAAACTGGAATCTGGAGGTGGCCTGGGCTGACAGGTGGGTGGAGGGTGTCTGGATGGCTTTGTCCACTCCCGTCTGTAAGTGCTTAGCCACTCTGCAGGTGAGACCCTAGGAAGGGAAGCCCTGGTTGGTGCCAGGGGTTGATTAGAAGATGCCCTTGCAGGCATGGTGGCTCATGCTTGTAATCCCAGCACTGTGGGAGGCTGAGGCAGAAGGACTGCTTGAGCTCAGGAGTTCAAGACCAGCTTGGGCAAGATGGTGAAACCCTGTCTCTATAAAAAATTTAAAAAATTAGCATGTGCTTGTGGTCCCAGCTACTTGAGAGGCTGAGGTGGCAGGATAGCTTGAGTCCATGAGATCAAGGCTGCAGTGAGCCAAGATGGCACCACTGTACTCCAGCCTGGGTCACAGAGTGAGACCCTGTCGTAAAGCAAACAAACAAACAAACAAACAAAAAACCCCCCCAACCCCATAAAGTTAGCAGATGGAAGGAAATAATAAAGATTAGAGCAGAGATAAATGGGATAGAGGAGAGAGGAGCACTAGAGGAAATCAGTGAAAACATGTTCCTTCCATGAAAGGTTAACAAAATTGAGAAACCTTTAGCTAGTTGACTAAGAAAAAAAGAGATAAGACTCAAATTACTAAAATCAGAAATGACAGGGTGACATCACCAATGACCCCACGGAAATAAAAAGGATTTATAAAGAGAATGCTAGGAACAATTGTAGGCCAACTAGTTGGTTAACGTAAATGAAATGGACACATTCCTAGAAACATACAAACTACCACACCTGAGTCAAGAAATGGAAAATCTAAACAGACCTGTCAGAGTGAGGAGATTGAGTCAGTGATCAGAAACTTTCCCACAAAGAAAAGCCCAGAACCAGGTGACTTCACTGGCGTATCCTCCCAGACATTTAACATGTAACACCAATCCTTCTCAGACTTCTCAAAATCTTCAATATGATACACCGTCTCCCTAGAATGAAGGGAAAAACCCATCATCCCAATTCACGCAGAAAAAGCATTTGACAAAATCCAACACTGTCATGATAAGAGCACTCAATAAAAGAGAAATAGAAGGGAACTTCCTCAACAGGATTAAGAGTACTTACGAAAAACTCACACCTACTGTGACTCGGTGGTGAAAGGCTGAGAGCTCTCTGCCTCAGATGAAGAACGAGACAAGGATGCCTGCTTTCACCACTTCACTCCAACATCGTGATGGAAGTTTGACCAGAGCAATTAGGCAAGACAAAGAAATAAAGGCACTGAAATTGGAAAGAAAGAAGTAAAAGTATCTCTGTTTTTTGTTTTGTTTTGTTTTGTTTTTTGAGATGGAGTCTCGCCCTGTCGCCCAGGCTGGAGTGCAGTGGCGCAATCTCGGCTCACTGCAACCTCTGCCTCCCAGGTTCAAGTGACTCTCCTGCCTCAGTCTCCCGAGTAGCTGGGATTACAGATGCGCACCACCACGCCCAGCTAATTTTTGTATTGTTAGTAGAGACGGGGTTTCACCATGTTGGCCAGGCTGGTCTTGAACTCCTGACCTTGTGGTCCACCCGCCTCGGCCTCCCAAAGTGTTGGGATTACAGGCATGAGCCACTGCGCCTGGCCAAGTATCTCTGTTTATTGATGACATGAACTTATGTGTAGAAAATTCTATGGAATAAAAATAATCTTAGAGTTAATGAACAATTTCAGCAAAGTTGCAGCAGAGATGAGGAATACACATACAGATCAGTGGAATACAGTTGAGAATCAGGAGATAAATCCATACATGTATGTCAATTGATTTTCAACATGGCTATCAGGATCATTCAGTGAGGCAGAAACAGTCTCTTCCACAAATGGTGCCAGCAGAACTGGATATCCTCAGGCAAAAGAGGGAAGTTGGAGCCTTACCTAATACCATATAAAATATTGACTTAAAAGGAATTAAAGACCTAAATTTGAGAAATGAAACTTTAACACTCGGCCGGGTGTGGTGGCTCATGCCTGTAATCTTAGCACTTTGGGAGGCTGAGGCGTGTGGAACGCCTGTGGCCAGGAGTTCGAGACCAGCCTGGCCAACATGGCAAAATCTGTCTCTATTAAAAATACAAAAAAAAAAAAAAAAACCAGACATGGTGGCACATGCCTGTAATCCCAGCTACTCGGGTGGCTGAGGCACGAGAATTGTTTGAACACCGGAGGCGGAGGCTGCAGTGAGCCGAGGTCACGCCACTGCACTCACTCCAGCCTAGGCAGGGGGAAGAAAAATGACACTCTTAGAGAAAAGAGCAAATCTCTATGCCCTTTGATTTGGAAATGGTTTCTTAAATATACAAAAAGCACAAACAACAGAAGAAAAAAAACAGGTAAATTGGACTTCATTGAAATTAAAACCCCTTAAGTACACCCTGAAAAGAATGAAAAGCAAACCCACAGGATGGTAGAAAATATTTGCAAATTATAAATCTGACAACGGTTTTATATCCAGAATATATACAGACTTTTTACTGCTCGACATCAAAACACAAATAACCTAATTAAAAATGGGTAAAAGACTTGCAGAGACATTTCTTCAAAGCAGATGTACAAGTAAGTGGCCAGTAGCACAGGAAAAGATGATTCGCATCCCGAGGTGTTGGAGAAATGTAAACCAAAACCACAGTGAGATCCCACTCCACACCCACTAGGTGGCCACATTTTACAAAATGAGAGTAACGACGGCTGGAGAGGATGTTGAGGAAACCGAAGCCTCATATTTTGCTGGAGTAAGTGTAAAATGGTGTAGTGGCTGGAAAGCAGTTTGGCAGTTCCCCAGAAAATTCAGCATAGTGCTACCATTTGACTCCGTGATTTCTTTTTTTTTTTTTTTTTTTTTTTTTTGAGACGGAGTCTCGCTCTGTCGCCCAGGCTGGAGTGCAGTGGCGGGATCTCGGCTCACTGCAAGCTCCGCCTCCCGGGTTCACGCCATTCTCCTGCCTCAGCCTCCCGAGTAGCTGGGACTACAGGCGCCCGCCACTACGCCCGGCTAATTTTTTGTATTTTTAGTAGAGACGGGGTTTCACCGTTTTAGCCGGGATGGTCTCGATCTCCTGACCTCGTGATCCGCCCGCCTCGGCCTCCCAAAGTGCTGGGATTACAGGCGTGAGCCACCGCGCCCGGCCCCGTGATTTCTTTCCTAGGTATATACCCAAAAGAATTGAATACAAGCTGGGTGTGGTGGCTCATGCCTATAATGCCAGCACTTTGGGAGGATGAGGTAGGAGGATCACCTGAGGCCAGGAGTAGCTCAAGATCAGTCTAGGCAACACAGTAAGACCTCATCTCTCCAAAAAAAAAAAAAAAAAAAAAAAAAAAAAAAAAATTTAGTCGGGTGTGATGACGTGTGCCTGTAATCCCAACTACTCAGGAGCCTGAGGTGAGAGGATTGCTTGAACCTGGGTTGTCGAGGCTGCAGTGAGCCATGATTGTGCCATTGCACTCCAGCCTGGGCAGGCAACAGAGTGAGACCCTGTCTCAAAAAAAAAGTATGGTCTGTCCATACAGTGGAATATTATCCAGCCATAAGGAGGGATGAGGTATTGATATATGCTACAAAGCTGATGAACCTTGAAAACATCTAAGTGCAAGAAACCCTTCAGCGAAGGCCACACGTGATATGATTTCACTTGTATGAAAAATCCAGAGAAGGTAGACGAATAGACGGGTGGCAGATTCGCGGCTGACAGCAGGGGGAGCTCTAATGGGAGCTCAGGGGCCAGCTCTGGTGCTAGAGGCGCCGAGTGGGAGATGGGGCGTGACTACTTACCAGGGGCAGGGTTTCCGTTTGGGGTGATGGAAGTGTTTAGAACTGAGAGTGGTGATGGTGCCCAGGATGGTGAATGTAGTGAATACCACTCAGTTGTACAATTGGGTACGTTTTAAAAGGTAAACTTTAGGCCGGGCGCGGTGGCTCATGCCTGTAATCCCAGCACTTTGGGGGCCGAGGCGGGCGGATCACGAGGTCAGGAGTTCAAGACCAGCCTGGCCAACATGGTGAACCCCCCTGTCTCTACTAAAAATACAAAAATTAGCTGGGCATGGTGGCAGGCACCTGTAATCCCAGCTACGCGAGAGCTGAGGCGGGAGAATTGCTTGAACTCCGGAGGCGGAGGTTGCAGTGAGCTGAGATCATGCCATTGCACTCCAGCCTGACGACAGAGAAATACTCCGTGTCAAAAAAAAAAAAGTAACCTTTATTTTATATGAATTTTATAACATAAAATACAGGTAACTATAAAGTATATGAATAAAAGAAAACCAGGCAGGAAAAAAAGAATGCCTTGACAGGTGAGGGCCATGAAGGTTCTGGTCCTGGGGCTGGCACTGGCTGTATCTTGGGAGCTGGGACTGGAGCTGGTGCCAGAGCTGATTCTAGCTGTGGTTCTGGGCCAGCGACTGGCTCTCCCTCTGGAGGTGATGGCAGAGTCGGGTTTGACGTGCAGCCGGCACTAGCCTTAGCTGTGAGGTGGATGCTGGAGTGGCTCTAGGTCAGGAGGTGATACTACAGGAGGTTCTGGACCTGTATCCGAAATGAAAACTCTCACTGGCTGTCTCCTTGAATTGGTGCTGGGGCAGGTCATAGCTCTAGAGATGGCACCAGAGTTGGCGTTAGAGCTGCCTCTATCCCTGGAGTTGCTGGGAGTGGTGGTGCTTGAGCGATTTCTGGATTGGTGTTGGAGCTAGAGCTCTTGTTGCAGCTGGGGTTAGCTCTAGAGATGGTATCCGAGTTGAGAGAGCTGCCTCTATCTCTGGAGTTGCTTTGGTGTTGGAGCTAGAGCTCTTGTTTAGGCTCTGGAGGCAGCACAGGCTCTAGCTTGGAGCTAGTGCTAGAGTTGGCTCTGGACCTGACTTCCTCTGAATCTGGTGCTGGCCATAGTATGAGCCTGGCATTGACTCTAATTCTGTAATCATTTTGGAGCCGGTTCAAGCTCTAGAGCTGGTGCTAGAACTACCATTGCAGCTAGTGCAGCAATTTGTGATAAAGGTGCCCAAACTCCGGATTTGATGTTCAAGTTCGTACTGGAGCTAGATCTACCTCCGCTGATGGTGCTAGAGCTGTTTCTGGAGCTGCTTGTAGCTCTGAAGCTAGTGCTGGGGCCATCTGTAGCTCTGCAGCTGGTGCGGGAGCTGCTGCTGGCCCGGGCTCTACCTCTGGAGCTGATGCGAGAGCCAGTGCTGCCACTGGCTCTTCCTCTGAACTTGGCACTGGGTCTAGCTCCATGTCTGGTGCTGGCTCCAATTCTGAATTGGTTGGGGAGCTCGTTCTGGCTCTAGATGAGGACTGTGGGGACCATCAGCCTCCGCTCAGGCTGGGCATGCTGCCTGGATGGCCCAGAACTGGTCACTTGTCAAAACAGTCCTGCAGGAGAGGTCCGTCTGTACCCAGAGAGGCCTGAGTGAGGGGACCAGGGACTGCCCACCTGCCTGGCACCCCAGGACGCTCTTGTACCTGTTGTCTTGTCCTTGTCCGGGCCGATGTGGATGACGTGGCGTCGCCTACCTGCAGGTTGTAGAGCAGCGTGAGGAGCTGTGGCTGCAGAGCCCTGAGACTGAGAATTTGAAGGTGGGTTTAGCAGCCGTGGTGTGCTGGAGGCTGAAGAGGAGGAGGTGCTGCTGGAGTCGGAGTTGGTGCCGGAGGTCCCTGCGGATGACAGCAAGGTCGATTCCCAGAACTGAGGGGAATAGCAAGATCAGCAGAAGCCTGGACCCTGCAGGGCTTCTGAGGCCAGCGTCCCCCTCTGGGGCTTGTTAGCAGCTCCATTCAGCAGTCAGGGGTTTGTTGCTTCTTTTTTGGGTGCAGAGTGGGGAACGCAGGCACCGGCTGGGAGGGGACATAGAATGAAAGAGCTGTCAGGGAGAAGGGCAAGCAGTCGCCTTCTTTCCCTGCCATTAGGGGGCTCCAGGACAAAGCTGACATTGATCTCCTTCACTTTGCAGCTGGAGGAGCCGGCTGAGTGCACGCTGAGTGCATTGGCAATGTCCCGGCTGCTGAGGGAGGAGCTCACCTGAGCTGGTCTCAGGGCTTGAGTGGAAGCTGCCTCTGGTCCTGAGCTCCCTGCTGGGGGCCTGGCGGCTGGAAGGGCAGCTTCACCATTGTCAGATCTGCTGGCTGAGTGGGTGCTCTAGGATGCCCCGGGCATGGATGGCAGTGACCTGTACTAGAAGGGTGTCAGGGACATGCTGGTGGGGGGGGGGGCAGCACGTGGGGCCAACAGGGCTCGGAGCATGGTGGCAGCACCTGCTGGAAAGGGTTAGCTGGTCCTCTGGTTCCCAGGGCACAGAAGGCAATTATGGCGGTCCACTGAGGCCAGGTCAGCCTGGTGACCAGCAGGTGTTTTATCCAACAGAAGGACAGAGCCCCTGGAGTCTGGGGTGGCCTGGGCTTGCAGGTGGCTGGAAGGTGCCTGACTGGCCTGGTCCCCTCCAGTCTGTAAGTGCCTAGCCAGCAGCCAGACCCTGGGGAGGGCGGCCCTGTGGTGAGTCAGCACAGGAGATGGCTGAGAGGATGCCCTTGGGAATCTCCAGTCCCTTCTGCTTCATGCAAGGAGGGCCGAGCTGCCTCCACACCTGACCTGTGTCCCCTTGCTAAGCGTTGCTTCTTTTGGACAAAGTCATAGTCAGCGGTAGAGTTCACGGTTGAAAACGTGTTGGCGTTGTCAGGGGTCTTCAGCTTGGTGGGGAAGGGCAGAAGGATGGTCAGCTGTGCTCAAGAGGGGGCCACAGGCCAGACAGAGAACTCCACAGGGACAGAAAGCAGATGAGTGGTTGTCAGGGGTGAGGGGTGGAGAGTGACTGCTTAATGGGTACAGGGTGTCTGTTAGTGGTGATGAAAAAATTCTAGAACTAGAGAGTGGTGATGGTTATACCACATAGTAAATGCATTTAATATCCATGAATTGTATAGTTTACAATGATTAAAGTTTAAATTTCATTTCATTGTGTATAATTTGTTTTAGTTTTTTGAGACAGAGTATTGCTCTGTCACCCAGGCTGGAGTGCAGTGACGAGATCTCGGCTCACTGCAACCTCAACCTCCCAGGCTCGAGGGAAACCCCCACCTCAGCCTCCCGAGGAGCTGGGACTACCACTTGGCTAATTTTTTTTTTTTTTTTTTTTGTAGAAACAGGGTTTCACTATGTTTCCCAGGCTAGTCTCAAACTCCTGAGCTCCAGCGATCCACCTGCCTCAGCCTCCCAAAGAGCTGGAATTATAGGCATGAGCCACTGCACCTGATCTGTATATAAAATTTAAATCACAAAATATAATAAACCATAAAGAATATGAAATAGAAACATACTATAAAAATGAAATGTTGCCAGCCCAGGGAGGGGCCTTAAAGCTCTGGCACAGGAGCTGGTGCTGAAGGTGGTGCCTGCCTGAGGCTCCCGCACTGGAGCTGGAGTGGTGGCCGATGCTCGAGCTGCCGCGTTCTGGCTGTGGAACTGGCTCAGTAGCGGGGGCCTGAGCCAGGGCTGGAGCTGCCTCTATCCCAGGCAGTGGTGCTGGAGCTAGATCTAGAACTGGCTCTTATTCTGGAGCTGATTCTAACTCTAGCCTGGTGCCAGAAGGGGGGCAAGAACCGACACTGAAGATGGCTTTAGCTCTGGAGCTGGCCCGAGTGTTGGAGCTGGAGGTGGCTCTAGCTCTGTGGCTGGCACAAGACCTTATGCTAGAGCAGGCTCTAGCTTTGTAGCCTCCACTGCTGGCTGTGGGTGAGATGCTGTCCCCTCTGTTGGGCTGTGAGCTCTCAGGACAGGGATGGTGTATAGGTTCACTGTCATATTCCAGAGGTCTGGGGTTCACCATCATATTCCAGGTGTCTGGCGTTCACTTTCATATTCCAGTTGTCTGGGGTTCATCGTTGTATTCCAGGTGTCTAGGGTTTACCATTGTATTCCAGGTTTACGGGGTTCACTGTCATATTCCAGGGGCCTGGGGTTCACCACCATATTCCAGGTGTCTGGGGTTCACTGTCGTATTCCAGGTGTCTGGGGTTCATCGTTGTATTCCAGGTGTCTGGAGTTCACCATTGTATTCCAGGTGTCTGGGGCTCACTGTCGTATTCCAGGTGTCTGGGGTTCACTGTCATATTCCAGGGGCCTGGGGTTCACCACCATATTCCAGAGGTCTGGAGTTCACCATCATATTCCAGGTGTCTGGCGTTCACTGTCGTATTCCAGGTGTCTGGGGTTCACCATTGTATTCCAGGTGTCTGGGGCTCACTGTCGTATTCCAGGTGTCTGGGGTTCACTGTTGTATTCCAGGTGTCTGGGGTTCACTGTCATATTCCAGGGGCCTGGGGTTCACCATCATATTCCAGGTGTCTGGCGTTCACTGTCGTATTCCAGGTGTTGGGTTCACTGTTGTATTCCAGGTGTCTGGGGCTCACTGTCGTATTCCAGGTGTCTGGGGTTCACTGTCATATTCTAGGGGCCTGGGGTTCACCACCATATTCCAGGTGTCTGGGGTTCACTGTCGTATTCCAGGTGTCTGGGGTTCACCGTCATATTCCAGGTGCTTGGGTTCACTGTTATATTCCAGGTGTCTGGGATTCACTGTCATATTCCAGGTGTCTGGGGTTCACTGTCATATTCCAGGGGCCTGGGGTTCACCACCATATTCCAGGTGTCTGGGGTTCACTGTTGTATTCCAGGTGTCTGGGGTTCACTGTCATATTCCAGGGGCCTGGGGTTCACCATCATATTCCAGGTGTCTGGCGTTCACTGTCGTATTCCAGGTGTCTGGGGTTCACCATTGTATTCCAGGTGTCTGGGGCTCACTGTTGTATTCCAGGTGTCTGGGGTTCACTGTTGTATTCCAGGTGTCTGGGGTTCACTGTCATATTCCAGGGGCCTGGGGTTCACCATCATATTCCAGGTGTCTGGCGTTCACTGTCGTATTCCAGGTGTCGGGTTCACCGTTGTATTCCAGGTGTCTGGGGCTCACTGTCGTATTCCAGGTGTCTGGGGTTCACCGTCATATTCCAGGTGCCTGGGTTCACTGTTATATTCCAGGTGTCTGGGATTCACTGTCATATTCCAGGTGTCTGGGGTTCACTGCTGTATTCCAGGTGTCTGGGATTCACTCTCATATTCCAGGTGTCTGGGGTTCACTGCTGTATTCCAGGTGTCTGGGCTCACCATCGTATTCCAGGGGCCTGGGGTTCACCATCGTATTCCAGGGGCCTGGGGTTTATCATCGTATTCCAGGGGTCTGGCATTCACCATCATATTCCAGGGGCCTGGGGTTCACTGTTATATTCCAGGTGTTTGAGGCTCACTGTCATATTCCAGGTGTCTGCATACAACAGGGAGCAGCACACAGGTGCTGAATGCATGAATGACTGAATGAATGAACCCAAGACTTCTTTGTGTCGCAGGATTCTTTAGAGCACCCCCTCGAAGGGCTGTTGGGAGGATTACACTGATTCATTCATCTATTTATTCAGTAAACATTAAGCACCTCCTGTGTCAGGCTCTGTTCTAGAGGCTTGAGAGAATTGCTGTGAACAAGTACGGTCCCCACTGGTGTGAGGCTGCCCGAGCAGGGTTTAAATGAGGGGAGGCGGGTCTCAAGCACGTGGTCCAAGCTCAGTGGGAGCAGCTGCCGGGATCAGTAGGTCAGGCACAAGTTCCTGTCCCGCAGCTCAGGGCCAGCCTGGGTGGGGCCTGTGGTGGAGGGGATGTGGGATCCTTGCTCCAAACGGCCATGCCATGCTATCCATGATTCCCAATGGCTTTCCCCTCACTGGGCCTCAGTTTTCCCATCTGTAAAATGGGCATGTGAGGATATCCATTTCCTGGTTCCATAATGAAGTTGACCTTGATTCTTTAAGGCAAGCAAAGAAGAGCTCTCTGCAGTTTGTCTGTCTTCACGTGACCTGGAGGCCCAGGGTTAGAGTTCACTGCAGGACCTGGGCTATGTGTCCCCACAGGAGGACTGGCCAATATCTCTCTTCTGGTCAGTGGTTGAGCTGGGCCAGGAGCTCCGGCCTGGCCCATAGTGACCATGATGACCCAGGTGTTGGGGACATGCTGGTAAAGCAATCTCCTAAGGTGCTGGTAAAATCCAGCTGGGTGCCTCAGGCACAGAGCAGTAAGTGCTAGCCCTGGTAGCAACTGGGTTTAGCCAGAGATCTTTCCAGAGTGATACATAAAAGGCTCCCTCCTTTCACTTTTTCTTATTTTCTTTCCCAACTACATTGTATTTTGTCATGTGGATGGTCATCATTTATTTAACCGGACCCTTGCTGGAGGAAATTGGGTTGTTTCTAATCTTTGGCTCTTGAGAGGAAAGCTGCAATCAATAACTGTGAACACATGTCAAGTGTAGAAGTGTTAAGTGGGATGAATTCCCTGTACTGGGACTGATAAATGAAAGGGTAAATACATTTGTAATTTTGTGGGGTTTTTGTTGTTGTTGTTATTGTTTTGAGACAGAGCCTCTCTCTGTTGCCCAGGCTGGAGTGCAGTGGTGCGATCTCGGCTCACTGCAACCTCCACCTCCTGGGTTCAAGTGCCTCAGCCTCCCAAGTAGCTGGGATTACAGGAGCACCATCATGCCCAGCTAATTTTTGTATCTTTTTGTAGAGAAGGGGTTTCACCATGTTGGCCAGGCTGGTCTCGAACTCCTGACCTCAAGTGATCCACCTGCTTTGGCCTCCCAAAGTGCTAGTATTACAAGTGTGAGCCACTGCACCTGGCCAATTTGTAACTTTGATAGATATCGTCAAACTGCATCCATTGGCAGGCAACTTATATTTCTGTTGGCAATGAATAAAAGTTCCTATTTCTACACAGCTTCAGAGTATATTTTCAAACCTTTGGATTAGACAATTTTGTATATTATCATTGAGAATGAACATACGTTCATATGCTTAAAACCTTTTGTATTTCTTTCTGTAAAGGGTCTCATACTCTCTTTTGCTGATCTTTTTCTTATCAATTTCTAGGAGCTCTTTACATATTGGGGATGGGAGTCATTTTCCTGAGATGAGTTGCAGGTATTTGTTCCCAGCGTATTCCTTCTTTTTCACATTGTGGGGCTCCCCCTACCATGTATTACTGAATTGAGTTCTCCCCAAATTGATCTATAGATGCAATACATTCTTTATGAAATACAACAGCAGATATTGCTATGTGGAATCTGAGGAACCAATTTAAAAATTTATGTAGAAATACAAAGGACTAAAATAGAACCAGAAGAATCTTGAATAAGAACAAATTTGGAGGACTTATGCTATGAGATGTTCAGACTTATGACGCTACAGGAGTCAAGGCAGTGAGGTTGTAGTGCACAAAACAGACCCACAGAGCAACAAAAACAAATGGAGGCCCGCAGGGTGGGGTGGCTCACACTTGTAATCTCAGCACTTTGGGAGGTTGAGGCAGGCGGATCTCTTGAGGCCAGGAGTTCTAGACCAGCCTGGCCAACATAGTGAAACCCAGTCTCTACTAAAAATACAAAAGTTAGCCAGGCATGGTGGCGCATGCCTATATTCCCAGCTGCTTGGGAGGCTAAGGCAGGAGAATCACTTGAACCTGGGAGGCGGAGGTTGCAGTAAGCCAAGATCATGCTACTGCACTCCAGCCTGGGGAACAGAGTGAGACTCTGTCTCAAAAAAAAAAAAAAAAAAAGAAAGAATGAAAGAAAAAGAAAGAAAGAAAGGGAAAAAAGAGAGAAAGAGAGAGAATGGAGGCAACCCAGACCGAAACATAGACATTTATGAATCCCATGAGCTGAATTCAGGAAGCCAGACACATGAGAGTATATTCTGAGGATGAAGCAACATATGAACCACGCAGACACATTAGCAGAACGAAAGACAAACCCCATGGTAATGCCAACTGATGCAGAAACAGCATGTGGCCAAGATTCAACATCCTTTCACAGTAAAAAAAAAAAAAAAACACTCCACACATAGGAAGAGGACGGAACTGCCTCAACACAATGAAGGTCGCTTATGAAAAGCTCACTTCTAACATCATACTCAATGGTGACAGGCTGAACGCTTTTCCTCCGAGAGTGGGAACAAGCAAGGGTGCTGGCTCTTGTCTTTTCTGTTCAAGTGAGTATTGAAACTCATAACCAGATGAGTTAGGCGAGGAAAAGAAAGCAAAGGCACCAAATTGGAAAGAAAGAAGTAAAATCATCCCTGTATGCGGGTGACATGATCTTATACTTAGCAAACCTCAAAGTTACCAAAAAAGTTAGAAATGTAAACGAATTCAGCCAAGTTGCTGATACAAAATCAGCGTTCAAAAGTCAGTTGCCTTTCCATACACCAACAATCAACAATCCAAAAGGAATTAAGAAAATAATTTCAATACAGTGGCATCAAAAAGAATAAAATACTAGTGGATAAACCTACCCTACAAGCTCAAAGACTTGTACACTGAAAACTATAAAATCTTGCTGAAAGAAATTAGAGAAGACACAAATAAATGGAAAGATATCTTGTGTTCTTCAATTCAAAGACTTTAATATTGTCAAATTTCCCTACCACTTGAAGTGATTCACTGCAATTTCTATCAAAATCCAAATGGTATTTGTTTCATAAATATAAAAATTCACCCCAAAATTCACATGGAATCTCAAAGGACCCCAAATAGCCAAGACAATTTGGAAAAAGAACAAAGTGGAGGACTCATACTTCCTGAATTCAAAACATATTACTAAACTACAGTAATCAAAACAGTGTGGTACTGGCCAAAGGCAAAGATATAGACCAATGGAATAAAACAGAGAACCCTTGTGTACATATGTTCAAGCAATCCTCAACAATGGTGCTGAGACCTGTCACTGGGGAAAGGACAGTTTCTCCAACAAATGGTGCTGGGAAAAATGATATTCATGTGCAGAAGCATAAAGGAAGACCCTTGCCTTACACCACATCCAAAAATTAACTAGAAATGAAATAAGGACCTAATGGTAATACCTGTAACTGCACAACCTCTAGAAGAAAATACAGGAAAATTTGAAATTGCATATCTGACTTTTCAGATATGACACCAAAAACACAGGCAAACCAAAGCAAAAACAGACAGACAGAAGTACATCAATCATAAATACTTTCAGGCATCAAAAAATGCTAACAGCAAAGTGAAAAGGTAACCTACAAGCTGAGAGAAAATATTTGCAAATCATATCTCTGATACAGATTTTTATCTAGAATAAATAAACCCTACAACTCAACAAGAAAACAATTAAATACTCCCACTTAAAAAAATGAGTAAAAAAGGTGCTGAAGAAAAAAAAAAGAAAAAAATGGTAAAGGACTTGAGTAGACATTTTTCTAAAGGTGGTTTTCTTTTCTTTCTTTCTTTCTTTTCTTTTTTTTTTTTTTTTTTGAGATGGAGTTTTACTCTTGTCGTTCAGGGTGGAATGCAATGGCGCGATCTCGGCTCACTGCAACCCCCGCCTCCCGGGTTCAAGTGATTCTCCTGCCTCAGCCTTCCAAGTAGCTGAGATTACAGGGGTCTGCCACCACACCTGGCTAATTTTTGTATTTTTAGTAGAGACAGGGTTTCACCATGTTGGCCAGGCTGGTCTTGAACTCCTGACCTCAGGCGATCCGCCTGCCTTGGCTCCCCAAAGTGCTGGGATTACAGGCGTGAGCCACCACACCCGGCCTTAAAGATGGTTTTCAAATGACCAACAAGCACACACAAACATGCTTCACATCGCTAATTATCAGAGAATGCAAACCAAGTCCACAATGAGATAATATCCTCACATCCATTAGGACAGCGACTATCAATAACAAGTGTTGGCAAGGATGTGAAGTTGGAACACTTGTGCTCCATTGGTGGGAATGTAAATGGTGCAGCCTATGTGGAAAAAAGTGTGGAGGTTCCTCACATCATTAAAAATACGAGTACCATATCATCCAGCAATCCCACTCCTGCATGTATTGCCAAAACAATTGAAAACTGGGTCTGGAAAAGATACTTCCACATCCATACTCACAGCAGTACTATTCACTGTAGCCAAGAGGTGGAAGCATCCTAAATGTCCATCAAAAGATGAACAGATAAGCAAATATGGTATGTGGTATGTATGTATAAGAAAATATTGGCCAGGCACAGTGGCTCACGCCTGTAATCCCAGCACTTTGGGAGGCTGAGGTGGGTGGATCATGAGGTCAGAAGATCGAGACCATCCTGGCTAACATGGTGAAACCCCGTCTCTACTAAAAATACAAAAAATTAGCCAGGCGTGGTGGCAGGCACCTGTAGTCCTAGCTACTCGGGAGGCTGAGGCCGGAGAATGGCGTGAACCTGGGAGGCCGGGCTTGCAGTGAGCCGAGATGGCGCCACTGCACTCCAGCCTGGGCGACAGAGCAAGACTCCATCTCAAAAACAAAAACAAAACAAAAATACAAAAACAAAACTTGTACAAAAACAAATGTGTGTAGCAGCTCCATTCATCATTGCTAGAAACTGGAAACAACTCAAACACCTTCACCATCAATAGGGCAAACTGTTGTACATCCACGCAATGAAACTTCTCAGCAATTAAAAGGAGCAAGCTGTTGATATGCTTAACAGCATGGATTAATATCAAAGGCAGTATGCGGAATGAGTGAAGCCAGTCTAAAAAGGCTGCATACTATGCAGTTCCATTTATGTGATATTCTAGAGAAGACACAACTACAGAGATGCAAGAAAGATTGAGGTCCCCAGAGGTGAGGGGCTGGGGGAGGATTTGACTGTGGAGGGTAAGCAGGGGGGGTTGCTGGGGTGGCAGATCTGCTCTGCCTGTTGACGACAGTGATGGTTACACAAATCTACACATGTGGCTGTGTGCGGTGGCTCACGCCTGTAATCTGAGCACTTTGGGAGGCCGAGGAGGGCAAATCACCTGAGGTCAGGTGTTTGAGACCAGCTTGGCCAATATGGTGAAACCCTGTCTCTAGTAAAAATACAAAAATTAGCCAGGCATGGTGGCAGGCACCTGCAATCCCAGCTACTTGGGAGGCTGAGGCAGGAGAATCGCTTGAACCCTCAAGGCGGAGGTTGCAGTGAACAGAGATCGCGCCACTGCACTCCAGCTTGGGCGACAGGACGAGACTCTGTTTAAAAAAAAAAAAATCTCTGCACATGCTAAAATCCACAGAACTGTCCATGAAAAAAACCACTTTTTTTCTGTGTGAATTTCAAAATAAAATAATTAAAAAAATCAGAAAGAGACTCACGTTAAAAAACAAAGAATGAAAAGGAAAATATATTTTCCAAAAGAAGTTGCTGTGAAATATGAGGAGAAACATCAAATGTGAACACACAAAGATGCTTGGTGCTGATAACAGGAATGATCATCCTTAGGGAAAAGAAAATCACCACCATTGAGCTGGCCACACCAAAACAATTGTAAATTCTAAATATATGGAGCAAAAACTAATTGAATTTAAGGAGAACATGAGAAATCAACAACTGAAGCGGGATTATTTAACGGAGATATTCAGAAACAAATGGATGAAGTAGAGAAAAATATTTGAGAGTGTAAGATGTAAGTAACATGATCAGTTAAGTTCATCTAATAGGTGTTTGTGGAAATATGCAACTACCAAAACCCACAAATTAAGTTCAAGCACATGAGAAATGTTTGCAAAAACTTTTCAGCCATGTATCAGAAAGGAACTATCAACAGATTCCCATAGACAGTGTATACTCTTAGGATTACAAAGGAACTTATGAACTACTGAGAAATGAATAACAGTGACAGCAATCTCTATCAACATTTGTTGGATGCAGCTAAAGGTGTCCTTTGTTGCACTCAGAAAATTACAGACATAAGCATTAGAAACATAAAACATGGAAATATGGCCGAGCGCGGTGGCTCACGCCTGTAATCTCAGCACTTTGGGAGGTCGAGGCAGGTGGATCACTTCAGGCCAGGAGTTCAAGACCAGCCTGGCTAACATGGTGAAATCCTGCCTCTACTAAAAAAAAAAAAATACAAAAATTAGCCGGGCATGGTGGTGGGCACCTGTAATCCCAGCTACTCAGGAGGCTGACGCAGGAGAATCTCTTGAACCCAGGAAGCAGAGGTTGCCGTGAGCCAAGATCATGTCACTGCACTCCAGCCTGGGGCGACAGAGCAAGACCCTGTCTCAAAAAAAAAAAAAAAAAAAAAAAAAAAAAAGAAACATATAACATACAAATAAATGAACCAAGTGTTCAAATCAATATTAAAAATAATAACAGAGCAGGGCAGGAGCAGTGGCTCATGCCTGTAATCCCAGCACTTTGGGAGGCTGAGGCGGGTGGATCACTTGAGGTCAGGAGTTCAAGACCAGCCTGGCCAACATGGTGAAACTCCGTCTCTACTAAAAATACAAAAATTAGGCCTGGTGCAGTGGCTCACGCCTGTAATCCCAAGCACTTTGGGAGGCCGAGGCAGGCGGATCACAAGGTCAGGAGTTCCAGACCAGCCTGGTCAACATGGTGAAACCCCATCTCTACTTAAAATACAAAATAAATAAATAAATAAATAAATAAATAAGCCGGGCGTGGTGGTACTTAAAATACAAAATAAATAAATAAATAAATAAGCCGGGCGTGGTGGCGGGCACCTGTAATTCCGGTTACTCAGGAGGCTGAGGCAGGAGAATCGCTTGAACCTGGGAGGCGGAGGTTGCAGTGAGCGAGATGGCCCCACTGTATTCCAGCCCGGGCGACAGTGTGAGACTCTGTCTCAAAAAAAAAAACCCACGAAAACAAAAATTAGCCAAGCGTGGTGGCCCTCTCCTGTAGTCCCAGCTACTTGGGAGGCTGAGGGAGGAGAATCACTTGAACCCGGGAGGCGGAGGTTGCAGTGAGCTGAGATGGCGCACCGCACTCCAGCCTGGGGGACAGAGTGAGACTCCGTCTCAATAAACAAACGAACAAATAACAGAGCAAAACCAAAATGCCAAGGGAACGTGAGACAGGAGTGCGAGCTGGGAGTCGGCACACGGAGAGGCAGAGACACTCCTCGGAGGCAGAAGCTGGTTCCTTATAGAGATGGAAAGAAAGAAATGGACTCTGGGGAGACTGGAGAAGAACAGAAACACAGGAGGCAGAAATAAATACTGCGGATGGAAGCAGAGACAAAACAAAATGTAAGCTGCTCCAAATCGGCGGCGGAGCGAGTTCTGGAAGAGCGGCGGTGTGGGAACCTCCGGTGCCTTCCTCTCCCAGCTGCAGCTGCGTTCCCAGGCAGGCCTCCCGGGAGCCAGGGACGGAGGCCCAGGACTCCGCCAGGGGTGGGTCCGTTCCCCTTCTTGGAGGGAGTGTGACCCACAGGCCCCACGGAAAGGCAGTGCCACTCCCGTGACATTCCACAAGGCCCCGCTGGCCGGCCCCTGGCCTGCCCCCAGAGAACTGCTCGCAGGCAATGATGCCCTGCAGCCTGAGACCTGGGCACCCCGGCCTTTGCCCCAAGGAGGCTGGGGATAGAAGGGCTTCCTCCAGGATTCTCTGCAGGAGATGAGCAAAACGTCCGCAGAGCCAGTGACTGCGGGACCCACGACAATCTCAGGTCACGCCTGCCGGGAGAAGCAGCACCTGGACCTGAGCCCGGGGACGGGCAAAGGAACGCAGCTCGTGAGTGGCCCAGAGAGCGGGAACCAGAGCGCCCCGACGGCAGCGGAAGCCACCGCGGGCGCCAAACCAGTAACGCGCCCCTTGAGGACAGGAGGCCACGGCGCAAAAGCAGACTGGGCTCGGAAACACGTGCTTTACAAATGGGGAAATGAGTGAGACGATGCAGGAGAGACCGCAACCAGACGTAAAAGGTGAAGACCACCGCGAAGAGGAAGCTCTCAGCCAGAGCTGAGTGAGAGCCCGCGGGCGGGAGGGGGCCGGGCGCGCGGGAGCCTTCCCTGCAAACCCCGGGCGTTCCAGGAGCAGGGAGGCACACGGATGGAGGACAGGAGACCAAGAATGGCATAAAATTTCTCCGAGCAGAAGGAACGCCGCAGAGTGTGAGCGTGAGATTGCTAGCGCTCACAAATTCAGGCAAGGCAGGTGAGGAGAGACACAGGCCTGCGCATCCTGGAAAGCTCTTGGACTTAAAAGATGAAAATAAATGATCCTGGAAAGATCTCGAAAGATCAAGAATATAAAGCGCTTTTGTTTGTTTGTTTTTAATAAAACGAACCCCTAAACGCACACAGAAAGGAAGAACAAGCATCCATGGATTGTTCGGAGAAAAAGGTTGATATCCAAGAATGCGGTACCAGGCCAGGAACGGAAGAAAGTGAAGTGACCTGGGGGGAGGCGAGCGCTGATCCGAGGAGAGGAGCCAATGAGAGGCACTCACCAGGCAAGCGGGTGGGCGGGGGCCTGGCGCTGAGCACAGACAAGTCCAAGGGAAGATGCATAGGAGCTGATCGTGCAGAGATGGCAGCAAGTGGCAACGGAATCCCCCTGCATTGACAATAAACCTCCAGGAATCCCCCTGCATTGAGAGAATAAACCTCCCGGCTCTGGTTCTGTTCCGTGTCTGTTAGCGGGGTTTAGGGGTGAGTTAGGGAGAGGGCACTGCCACCAGCCCTCGGATATATTTCTCCTGCTGTTCACTATGTGTAATAGACAAACACCAACAAGAAGAGAAGAGGCCAGGCACAGTCGGTGGCTCATGACTGGAATTCAGGCACTTTGGGAGGCCAAGGTAGGAGGATCATCTGAGCCTAGGAGTTTGAGACCAGCCTGAGCAACGTTGGGAGTTTCTGTCTCTAAGAAAAAAAAAAATTACCTGGGCATAGTGGTGCACACCTGTAGTGGCAGCTACTCAGGAGGCTGAGCTACTCAGGATTGCCTGAGCCTGAGATATCAAGGCTACAGTGAGCTGTGATTGTACTACTGCACTCCAGCCTAGGCAACAGAGAAGGACAGTGTCTCATAAAAGAAAAAAAAAGAGGAGAAAAGCTTCCCAGACCTGCCCACACCATGGTGTCCAACAGGTGGCTGGGACCCCATGTCCTCCGGTCAGCTCTCACCAGGGCCTCATGGGACCTTCCTGCTGGGGGCTGATCTGAAATGCCCTGCTTCTTCAGACGGCTGAGGGTTTCTGCCCACCCAACCTTTGGCAATGCCAGGCGAGACAGGCACCTGCAGCCCCACCGTCACTGGCATCCTCTGGGCAGGTGCTCAGCGTTCCTTAGGGCCCAGGAGCAAGCCAGACGCCGCCTTTACTTTTGCAGGCAAAATAGAACTTTTTAAACTTCTGCCCATCTCTCTTTTGCACATACAGTATGATAGTCTTGCTAACCTACTGCCAGATGAGTGAATCTGCCTATCACCAAGCAACAGGTGCACTGTCCCATGAGAGGGATGGGGGTGGACGTACAGAACTCCAGGGTTCTCTGGGCACCCTCTGGTGCTTCCAGGCCTGTGAATTGGCACAGCAGGACCACAGACCTCCAAGGTGCCCACCTGGGGGCTCAGAACCCTGGCGGGGAAGGTCAGTGCTATCCCACCGGAGAAGAGACCTAGTCTAGCTGAGCCCCTGGCCAGCGGCAAGGAGGAAAGGATGAACATCAGCCACGCCTGGCACTGACTGCCACAGCCAGAGCCTCGCCCAGCCCAAGAATGTTTCTGTTCTAAGACTTTTTTCTTTTTTGTATTTTAGAAATTATCACAGGCAAATGTCACCTTGAAGACCCGGTGGCAGCAAAGTGTGAGCTCAGTGTGGGGCATGAGTGTTCTGAAGCTGCCAGGGGTGGACTGCAGTGGGTGCCATGGGGGCTGTCATAGCCCTTGGTTCTTGCTATTGCAGGCCACGCTGGCCACGTTTCCACCGCAGTGTCCTCAGCTCCTCTCTGGAGGGGTCGTCTTTCCACCTAAGCCGCCCTGCCCTGCAGCAGCGGGAAGTGCCAGGAATAAGTGCCCCATGGAAGCATCCCCATCCCGTGACCGGCTGGAGCTGGTCTAAAACATGGCAGCGCCAGGGACTGAGCCCCAGTTGGTCGCAAGTGGTCACCTTGATGCTGGACCCTTCACCAGTGGCCTTCCCTGCTAACGTCACCTCCCCAACCCTACTTAGGAGGGTCTCCTGGGACCACCTCCTAAGTAAACCACTTGAGCTTGCATCTGCCTCATCTGCTTCTGGGGGACTCACACTAGAAAAACAAAATTAATATTTTTTTGTTATATGGAGTGGTGTGATTTGAAATCCTTCTATGGATAATGAATGCTTGCTTATGTCTTTAAAAAAAATTTTTTTTTTTGAGACAGAGTTTTGCTATGTTGCCCAGGCTGGTCTCAAACTCCTAGGCTCAAGTGATCCTCCCATGTCAGCATCCTGAGGAGCTGGGACTACAGGTGCGCGCCACCACGCCCGACTCCAGCATCTTTGTTCTCTTAATATTGAGTCCAGACATGGAGTTAGGCAACCGCAGGCATGCAGATTACACTCCCCAGCAAGAAGGCTCATCATTGACACACATGCAGACTTAGGCTGTACCAGGCATGTATACCAGGGGGGTGCATTGTGAGTAGGTAGGTGTGTGTGCGGGTGGGAGACTGTGTGTATGTGTGAGAGAGAGCATGTGGCAGTGTGTGTGTAGGTGTGTGTGCATGTGTGAGAGCATGTATAGGTGTGTGTAGGGGTGTGTGTGTGCGCACATATGTGTGTTCATGTGTGAGATTGTGTGTAGATGTGTGCCCGTTCCTCACAGCAACCCTGCTGGTGAGTGCTCCTGTGGTCCTCTCTTTACGAACAAAGAAACAGGTTAAGCACTTTCCGGAAGGCTGGTGACCCACGAGCCCTGTGTCACACTTCTCAGTCTGCCTGGGGCCCTAGCTCTCAGCCTGGACACTTGGCCCCTGGTGAACAAGTCATGTCGGAGAGAACCCGTCTGGTGCGCCATCTCCAGGATACTTGTGTCCCTTTGTACATATATTTAAAAATTCATTTTGAAAGAACAAAAAAATCTCCACTGCCCTCCTTCACATCTGCGATTTCTTGATTTTCAAACACTGAAAGGCTCGTTTTGCTCCTGGAGAGATTCTGCTCGGTGCCTCTGCCATGCTTGGGTTGGGAGTGAAAGTTTTCCTGACTTATTTGGGATACTGTCCTCAAATATTTCAGATGTTGGGTGTCTGCGAGGGTCCCATGGTTATGAGCCATGGGAAGAGGCTTCGTGTGACTCAGTGATTGGAGAGTTTGTGGGTGGAATTGGGGGGTGCTGAGCTTGGAAGGGGAAGCTGCATGGGGCCAGGGCTCTCGGGAGCAGAAATGGATGATGGTTGGGGCCCACGTCCGCCAGGACAGAGCCTCCCACCTCGAGGGCTGCATTCCCAGGGCTACAGGTCCCTGGTCCACCCATCATGAGGTGGCCAGGACATTGGATGGATAGGGCAGATGAATGGACAAACAGCCCAGGCAAGGATGCAGGGAGACCCACAGCCGCCCATGCCAGGCCCTCCAAGTGGGCAGGAACAGGTTTCCCAGCTTCTTATGTGCCCACCTCCTGTTCCTGCCAGCATCTCCCTGCACCCACGCTCAGCGCTCTGCAGTCCAATCTCTGTCTTTCCCAAGGAGACCCTCCCCACTGCTTAGATGTGTCAAAAATCCTTTTCCACCAGGTTAATATTTTTACTATTTACTTATTTTTTCTTCTTTTTACAAACAGAGATGAGGTATCACTGTGTTTCCCAGGCTGTTCTCGAACACCTGGCCTCAAGTGTCCTTTCTCCTCGGCCTCCCAAAATGCTTACAGATGTGAGCCACTGCACCTGGCCAATTTCATATATATGTATTTTTTTTAACTTTTTAGGTTTTCTATCCAATAGCAAATAACCAACCAATCTTGAATTTTTACACATATCCTAACCTTTCTGGAATCTGCATGGTAGCACAGGGTGAGGGAGATGGCTTACTGCTCACCCATCTTTGTAGGGTGAGGTCTGCCCTGCCCTCCACATGTGGCCCGTGGACACCCAGGTTGGTTCCGCCTCGGCTCGCCTGGGCCCTGCTGGCCTGGCTCACTTCAGGACCACCCTGTAGCCTCACCCAAGAATCATGTCCAGGTGGGAGAGGAGGAGATGAGGATGCTGGTCTGGCGGGAGGTGGGCAGTGGTTACTTGGTGTGGCCGGGGGGAGAGGCGGTCGCTTTGAAGGCTCAGCCCCCAGGAGGCCTGTCCAGCTTGGGTTTGTGGTTCCTGGGGCATGTTTATCACTGCGGTGCAGTGGCCTCTCGTCCCTCACTGTGGTCGGCCTCCTCATGTCCCAGCAGCCCCAGTGTCTGCACAGACCATGGCCCCTGGACAAGCCATGGGAAGGCCAGGGTGGGGCCAAGGATCTCGGAGACCAGGGTCGGCTCTGCCTTGCTCTGGGGGTGATGATGGAGGCGCCAGTGTCCCTCTCTCCAGCGCTCCTCTCTCCAGTGCTGCCACTGAGCCCAGGCTGCTAAAATGGGGGAGCTTGGAGGATCCCTCTGAGACCCCTGAGGCGGGAGCCCTGCGGTGGCCCCACTGCTGCAGCCCTGACGCCGTGTCCCCGCTCCTGTCCTCCCCAGTGGCTTTCCAAACGCTCCTGCCCAGGGCCCTGCCTGTCCTAAGCTGAACCTGAGACCTGAGGGCGGCTCTGCAGGAGGCCCCTCCAGGACATCACGCAGCCCCTCAGGCCTGTTGGACATCGTGCCTCTTGTGGTTTGGCCCTTGCTAGGTCCAACATCTCCCCAGCTTCCCTTGTGGCTCCCCCTCCCAGCAGACCTCCCAGGGAGCGGGTGCAAGCCCCTCTGTCCCCACAGATAGGCCTGCCCAGAGCTGGGGGAGAAGGACTTTATTTGGAGTCAGGTGGGTGGGAGCAGGGAAGGGTCATGGCTGGAGGGTAGGTCCAGGTGGTCCAGGCTCTGTGTCTGGTGGTAGGGTGGGCTCTGGAGGTGCAGACCCGGGGGCTGCTGTGCTGGGAAGAGGAGCAGAGGTCAGGGAGGCTGCAGGGTAGGGCAGAGGCCAGGGCCAGAGCTCCCTCCCCAGGCTCTGCAGCCCCCACATCGGCCACTGCTGGGCAACCTCGGGGCTCCAGAGCGACCTCAGCTCCTCCAATGACTGGGCAGGCCTCTGAGCATCCTTGGTGGGTGGATGGTGGGGAGTGGACCGCGTGGGGACAGGTGCAGGGGGCGATGGGCTGAGCTGACACCTGAGGGAGCCGGAGGGAGGCCTCGCTGTGGAAAGGCCGAGGAGGACCCTCACTCGGGCTGGCAGGTGCAGGAATGATAAAACAAAGGACTTCCCGAATGTCCCAGGAACTGTGGGTGGGCAGACTCTGAGGTGCCAACCTCGTGCCTGACCCTGGGGGGGTCTCCCTGGCTGTGTGGGATGGGAGGGGCCAGAGCAGATGTACCCTCGAACCCCGGGAACCCAGGACTCTGGGCTTGTCCAGTGCCCTCCTAAAGGCTCACTCACCCTAGTGTTCGGGAACGCAGCTTCCTGCAGAGACCAAGAAAAACCCAGGGATTAGAAGGCGCCCTAGACCAGGGCCCAGACCCCATCGCAGCCCAGAGCTCAGAGCCCCAGAGCCCATCGCAGCCCAGAGCGCGGAGCCCCAGACCCCATCGCAGCCCAGAGCGCGGAGCCCCAGACCCCATCGCAGCCCAGAGCGCGGAGCCCCAGACCCCATCGCAGCCCAGAGCACAGAGCCTCCAATGAGGAGGACGCTAAACAGGGCCCGGGAGCCCCTGCGAGGAGACTCGGGGCACACGGGGAATGCGGGGGACATGGGAGGACATGGGGGTCATGGGACACTGGAGATAGCAGACAGACACAGCAGAGGGACACAGGGGACTGGGCACAGCCATCCTCACCCGTCTGCAGGGGCGTGAAAATGTCCTCCTCCGAGAGTCCCTTGCGCTGCACCAATTTCTTAAATTCTTCCAGGGCCTCCCGGTTGGTATCAGAATTCCTACCTGCAGGTGAGGTGGCCAGGTGAGCCGACGTGGGGACAGCGGCACGGCCCTGCAGGGAGCAGATGCCGAAAGGAGACGACCACGGCCCAGCACCAGGACAGGGGGAGAGGCCTGAGAGTGGATCAGAGCTCGGGGGTGGGGCTGGGGACAGAGGAGATGGCCACTGCCCAGCACCAGGACAAGGGGAGAGACCCAAGAGTGGACCAGAGCTCTGGGGTGGGGCCGGGGACAGAAGAGATGGCCATAGCCCAGCACCGGACAAGCAGGAGAGGAGACTTGAGAATGGATGAGAGCTCAGGGGTGGGACTGGGGACAGAGGAGACAGTCACTGCCCAGATGAGAGGTCCCCAGGAAGGGGGACAGTGGCGGGGACTCTCCAAGCCACTCGGCAACCCCAGGGGACCTGGGCAGCTCCCAATGCCACCCTGCAGGGTCACAGCCCTCACCTGGAGGGACCTTGTCTCCCAGAGGCACCGGCCACCCTCCTGCCCTGGAGGGTCCCTGCCCCATGAAGAGCTCTCTTAGGACGCTTAAGGTGACCCTCCCCCTTAAGGTGACCCTCCTACACCCGAGACCCCAGAAGTGGCCCTTGGCAGGTTCATGTCACCGAGGGCCATGTCTGTCCCTGCCTGGCCCATCCCATTCCCACTTCAGGTACTTGGACCGGCTGCCCAGCGGTGCCCGGCACATGAAAGCCGGCACAGGGGGCTTCCTTTTCCCCCATGCCAGGGCATGGTGGTGCTGGTTCCACCGGCTTCCAGAGGCAGAGACCGTGGGGCAGGACACGCAGACCCCAGCAAGCCCCTCACCCACAAGCTTTCCCATGTGGAGCAGGCCCCCATGGTGCTGGTCTTTGCAGTAAAAGATGTAGTGGTCCCTCCTGGGCAGCTCCTGCAGGTACATGAGCTTCCTGCCCCCATCTGTAGATGACAGAGAAAATGGGTCATTCCCAGAGAGAACACTCGGGGCCACATGAAGAAACACTCGGGAATGTTTCAGCGGTCACCCAGGTGCCCTGGACAGCCTGAGCCAGGCCTGGCTGCTCCGCACAGTGTGGACCCGGACACGGAGGCAGGAGCCTCCTCTCAGGAAGGTCCCAATGCAAGTAATGGAGCCACAAGGCCAGAGCACGTCCAGGACTAGAGTCCGGCCTTCCCAGCTCCAGCAGCTGCTCCTGCCCCACTTCCCTGTCCCTAACCCTCATCTTCCCCCTCAGCCTCCCCATCTCTAATCCTCAGCTTCCGCAGCACTAACCCTCGGCCTCCCCATCCCTAACCCTCGGCCTCCTCATCCCTAACCCTCAGCTTCCCGATCCCTAACCCTTGGCCCCCGTCCCTAACCCTCAGCCTCCCCATCCTTAACCCTCAGCTTCCCCATCCTTAACCCTCAGCTTCCCCATCCCTAACCCTCAGCCTCCCCGTACCTAATCCTTGGCCTCCTTGTCCCAATCCTCAGCTTCCTCAATGTGTCAATGGCTAGGGCCTCCCAGAGGGCAGGCGTGATCTGGTCCATCTCGACTGCGGACAAGCCTGTCACACCCGGTGTCTGATGTCAGGGCCACCAGCCCCCCAGGAAGGAGAGGCCAGCCCCTCCTTGGAGGTGGGCAGAGCTGGGGCCCTGGCAAAAGGGCAGCCTGGGCACTCTCTACCTGTGGAGGCTGGTGCACTGGGGTTGGCGGTGGGGGAGGGTGGGGGTGGGAGTGGGGGAGGGGCTCACAGGCGCTGTATTTGCCAGGCTCCTCCGTCTTCCGCATCAGGATTTTCTTCTGGATGCACCTATCCTCCCTCCTGGAAAACAGGAGACACGCGGGCAGCGGCTCCCAGGACACCCATGGCCCATCCTCAGCTCACCTGGTGCATGGCCCTGACCCGGCAACCTGAAAATTCCACTGCCCCCCACCCCACCGAGCTTCAGGATGCCCAGGCTGTTTCCCTCCAAGGCAGGGGGTGACTCTTCCCAACACCCGAAACGTGGATGGGGCAATGGGCACCAGGTGGATCTGGGGAGGGGAGCGAAAGTGGCCTGAGGGGCCCTGCAGTGGGCAACACTCACATGAAGGTGAACGTGGCTTCCAACTTCCCACCGCCCAGGGCTGTCACCTTCACTGGGGACACCTTCCTGGGCCTCCTGTCCTCCGGAAAGTCCTTATCGACCACCATGGCCTTCACGTACCAGGTCCCTGTGATCTGGAGCAGGCCAAGGCCGTGAGCCCACCATGGGTGGCCCAGATTCTACTCTGACCCTGGCACTCAGGCCTGCAGCTATAACCAGACACCCATGGTGCCCGGCTGCTGCCCTTAAAGGCAGGCTGTGTTCCTGCACCTTAGTTAGAGCTCAGCTGGAGTGAGTTAGAGCCAGCCCCCTGCTCAGGGCTCCCAGCCCCCAGTGGAAGGAGGGCATGTCTGCACCCCATGGACCCCCGGGCCCCAGCACCAGGTGAGCCCTCCCTCCACAGGGCCCAACCCTGCGAGACCTTCGGGCTTCAGGCGTCAGTGCAGCAGGAACCCCTGAGACGAGCCTGCTCCGGCCCTGGGCCTCGGGGGGCCGTGTCTGCTGGAGGAACAATAGGACCCCTCCACCACCACCCCAGGCTGGGAGCACGGGGTCAGAAGCCAGCCTTCAGTGACACCTCCTAAAGCAGGGCCCCTGGCACTGCCCCCTGCCCAGGAGTCCGCCTGGCTCCTCCATCCGCCCACGCCAACCCAGCTCACATCCTCCTCCTCCAGGGTGAAGGACAGGGCAGCGGCCAGGCCGAGCGTGACACCCAGGAACAGGGTCTTCATCTCCAGAGCTCTGTGCTGCCGACCTCGGCAGGTCACTGGGCGTCTGAACAAGGCTGTGCTGGCTCCTCTCGAGATGTTCTTTATAGCCCCCTGGCCAGTGTCCTGGGAGCACGTGGCACGGTGCACCCCTCCCCATGGTGGCAACCAGTCCTGCATCCGGGAGGGGGAGTGTCCTCATTGCTGGCATCTGGTGAACAGCAAGTCAGTGCCAGCCAGAGAAGAAAAGACACACGATGCCATCCAGAGTTTGCACCACCCGAACGCGCCCACTCAGATGAGCCCAGAGGACTCGAGAGGACAGGGCAGGGTGGTGTCCATCTGCACCCCAAGCCACAGAGGCAGGGCCCACAGCCTCGGGATACTCCCTCACCAACCCCTGCACCCTCCCAGGGCCACGGCTGGGACCCTGGGCAAGTCCTCTGGGGAACTGGCCATCTCCCTGCTGAGCAGAAATGGACTGGGCTTTAGAACCAGAGAGACGTGGGGCTGCTGCCAGCTGAGTCCCGCACGCCCTAGAGCCCAAGCTTCCGCCCACTCTGGGACCCACTCTGCATTGATTTTCCCCACCTGGACCCTGCACTCGAGCTTCCTAGGGGCAGAGGAGGGCACTATTGTGTGGCTCAGGGTCAGTTTATATACGGCCTCCTCGGGCCATATGAGGGACCCCGCCGCCTCCCCGACCCCGCTTCACTCCGTACCGGAGCCTGGCTGTGCTGTCCTCAGAACACGCGATCTCTCTGGATTGTCCTGTCCATTTCTTCCTGCACGTATTCATCGACCATCTCCCTGTTAGAATATACATTCCCCTCTCTCGTCAGCTTTGACGGCCCCCAGCCCCCAGGACAGGCCTTGAATCTCATCCCTTTAGATAAACAAGTCGCATGAGGCACCAAGAGTCACCTGCCAGCCTGTGCTCAGAGTTCGTGGCTGAGGTCCCTTGGGCACCTGGCTCTGCTGGCCTCATCCCCAGCCAACCTGAGCCAGAACTTTGCCTTCTCCCTCCCGGACCCTGCATTTCCCAGGTGTGTGTCATCTTCCCTGGGACCCAAGGCTGACCCACGCTCTGCAGGCAGGTGCTGGACCCACACAATGGCATCTTTGTGCCTCTCTGGCCCAAGATCAGACACTCTCAAGTACTTACTCAATAATACTAATGCACACTCTAATAAACCCTGGGGCTGTAACGAACGGGCTGGTGTGACCCAGTCCCTCACCCCTCCCACGGCAAGTGCTGCCGAGCAGAAACCCCCCACCCTCATCCCCCCGGGCAGGAAAGAATGGGGCCTGGGCTCTTCAGGACCAGAGATGAGCAAACAGGCTGGAGTCTCTACATCAACGGGAAGGTTTCTCTGTTCTCTGTGTTTGTTGACTGTACCCCAGGCACCTCGTATTTCATTGGTTGTTTGTGAATCATTGATCTAAGCACCTTACAACACTGGTGCTGCTGGCTCAATCCTTGAAGAAAATGCTGGAACGACATGCACAGATGCTTCAGAGAACAGGGCTCTCCCATGAGGTCCACGCTCAGTGCGACGGGTGCTCTCCAGGAGTCTCCCATCATCCACCCATCTTGCCCTGTGTCCCAGTCTCATTCGCCAACTGTGTCCTTTTAGATACTGGTTGGGTTCAACTGGTGCAGACACCGTCAGGAGATGGTAGGGCTGGAGGTTGGGGGTCAACCCATGGCAGACATGAGGGGTGAGATCTCTGGCCCCCAGTGCTTTGTGGCCTGGGGCACTTCTCTGGATGGCTGTGTTCCTTCTGATGGTGGCTCCTGTTGGGCTGCCGCTACCACACAACTTTCTCTCTCACCACTTCCCTCACGACCCTTTTCTTTGAATCTCACAGTGATCACAGCTTTTCAGGGCTGCTAATTCCTAGGTGCTTCACTGAAGTGGACAGTGTCTGGGCTTTACTCGACACCTGGGCATAAGAAGGTTTAGATGGCACCACCAAACAAGCACCTAGACCAGAGCATGTGCTGGCTGGGACTGAGGCACGCCAAGAAGGAGCAGAGTGGGAGCTTACGATGAATCTCAGTTAAGGCTGCAAGACCAACTGCACAGTAGGGACCATCGCCTGTGCCACCAACCACCTATTTTAATTATTTCAGAGACGGTGGCTGGCCACCATGCTGAAGCATCAGTTACAAAATGGACTTGATTTGCTGTGTGAGTGGGTCAGTGCAGTGCAAGGGGTGGCTGAAGGCACTGGTGACCCACGCTCTCGGCCCACCTGCCACAGTTGTAGATCGTTCCTGGTGCACGGACGTATTCACAGCTTCCCACCTTAAGTGCCTGCACCTTTTCTTCTGTGCTTCCCCTGACACCGATGAAACCCAGATGTGCAAGTGAATCAGCATCCTCAGTCTGTAGGGATAGTAACTGATGGGATAAATGGTCTGGACTCTTCCTTCTAAGTGGAACAATCAAATATGGTTCCACCCTATTTCTCAGATGGTCCTCAGAAGGACTGAGTCCCAGTTGCCCACAATGGTAACATCATTAACATATTTTGTTGGTTTTTCTACCTTCCAAATCTCACTTGATCTCAGACTTCTGGCCACCAGAATGTGAGAAAATAAATTTTTGTTCTAAGCCACCCAGTTGGTAGTATTTTGTTATAGCAACCCTATAAAAATAATACAAACTCTAGCATGTTAATAATTATATTAAATGTAAATGGTTTAAATATTAAATGACAGTGATTGGCAAAGTGAATTAAAAGCCATTATACAACTATATGCCGTCTACAAGAAACTTACTTCAAATGTAACAATAGAGACAGGTTGAAAGTAAAAACATGAAAAAAGATATATAAACATTAATCAAAAGAAAGCAGAAGCATTATTTCAATAACAGGTAAAATAGACTTTAGAACAAAGACTAATTAACAGAGAGGGAAATTATACAATAATAAGTGGGCCATTCTGCAAAGAAGACATAGTAATCCTAAACGTGTGTGCACCAAACATTAGCTGCACAATATGTGAAGCAAAACAGAACTGAAAGGAGAAATTTAAAAAGCCACAATTATAGTTGGAGACTTCAATACCCTTCTCTCAGAGCAACTAGACAGAAAACCAGCAGGGACATCAAAGAACTCGGCCACCCATCAATTAACATAATCGAATTGACATTTGTAGAACACACCACCTGGCAACAGCACTACACACATTCTTTTCAAGTGCACCAGAATATATACCAAGATAGACCATATCCTGGATGAGAAAATGAGCCTCAAGAAATTTTTAAAAATTTAAATGATATAGAGGGTAGTCTCTGACCACATGGAATCTAACTATAAATCAATGCCAGAAAGATAATGGAAAATCTTTCTTCAGAGGCTTGGAAACAACACACCTGTGAATAATCCACAGGTCAAAGAGGAAGCCTGAAGGTAAATTTAAAAATATACTAGGCTGGATGAAAATGAAAATACAACATATCAGCTGGGCGTGGTGGCTTGTGCCTATAATTCCAGCACTTTGGGAGGCCCAGGCGGGTGGATCACTTGCGATCAGGAATTCGAGACCAGCCTGGCCAACATGGCGAAAACCCATCTCTACCAAAAATGCAAAAACTAGCTGAGTGTGGTGGTGCACGCCTGTAATCCCAGCTAATCGGGAGGCTGAGGCAGGAGAATCACTTGAACCCGGGAGGCGGAGGTTGCAGTGGGCTATCATGCCACTGCACTCCAGCCTGGGTGACAGAGCAAGACTCCATCTCAAAAAAAACAAAAACAGGCTGGGCACAGTGGCTTATGCCTATAATCTCAGTGCTTTGGAGCCCCACGTGGGCAGATCACTTGAGGTCAGGAGTTCGAGACCAGCCTGGACAGCATGACAAAACCTCATCTCTACTAAAAATACAAAAATAAATAAATAAATAAATTGCTGGGCATGGTGGCGTATACCTGTAATCCCAGCTACTTAGGGGGCTGAAGCAGGAGAATTACTTCAACCCAGGAGGTGGAGGTTGCAGTGAGCCAAGATAGTGCCACTGCACTCCAGCCTGGGATACAGAGCGAGACTCTACCTCAAAAACAAACAAACAAAAACATATCAAAATTTGTGAGACACAGCTAAATCAGTGCTGAGAGGCATTAAATGCATATATTAGAAAAGAGAAGTCCAAAATCAACTATCTAAGCTCCCACTTCAAGAACCTAGAAAAAGAAGAGCAAAATAAACCCAAAGCAAGAAGAAAAGAAATAACAAAGATAAGAGCAGCAATTAATAAATCAAAAGCAGAAAGCAGAAAAAATCGAAAGCAGAAAAACAACAGAGAAAAACAATGAAACAAGGGCTAGTTCTCTGGAAAAATTAATAAAATTGAGGCAGTTCTAGAAAGACTGACAAACAAAAAAAGAAAGAAAGACACAAATAACCAACATCTGGAACAAAACAGAGACTATCACTACAGACCCTGCAGACATCAAAGGATAATAAGGGAATACTACGAAGAGACCTTCCCACATATATTTGACAACATAGGTGAAATGAACCAATTTCTCAAAAAACACAATGCCAATATAAGATAGATAACTTTAATAGCTCTATGACAATTAAAGTTAACATTTTAATTTTAAAAGCTTCCAAAAATAATTCTTCATGTCCATATGGTTTCATTAGAAAATTCTACCAACCATTTAAAAAATAAATAACACCAACTCTGCATAATCTCAGAAGATGAGAGAATATCTCCCAACCAAAACCTGACAACACAAAAAGGAAAGCTGCAGAACAATATACCTCATGAATATAGATACAGAAATCCTTTACAAAATATTAGCAAATAATAATATATAAAATTAATTCTACACCATGACCAAAAGCAGTTTATTCCAGGGATGGAAACCTGGTACAATACTCAAAAATCAACCATATTAATATGTTAAGAAGAAAAATTACATGATCATATCGATCAATGCAGAAAAAGTATTTGACTAAATTCATCACGCATTCAGGAAAACAACTCTCAGAAAAGTAGGAATAGAAGAGAACCTCCTTAACTTGACAAAGAGCATCTACAAAAAACCTATGGCTAACATCATTTCTCATGGTGAAAGACTGATGTGTAACTGGCTCAAGTCCAGCTGCTCGCTGCTCAGAAGTCAAGGCATGAGAAGTGAAGTGTGGTGAAAGGAAAGCAGCATTATTCAAATGCTAGCAGTAGAGGAATGGCCAGGCCCATGCCTTTAAAAGACCATTCAAACTTTCTGGACTGAGCGAAGGGGTTTAAGGAGGAAAAGGTGTGGGAAATATGTGGGAATGGTGCAGGAGGATGTTGGTCTGCATCTTGTTCCAATGGTTATCATGAGTCATTAATCGTCTGTCCAGAGGTCTGGTTTGAGTCATCCTGATTTCAGCCGGGAAGTGGTAGGCTACCTGTAACTCCCCCTAAGAGGGAGGATTCTGCAGCTGGGTCTCTCTGCCTGGTTTGTTTCAAAATTGGCCCCTGGAATTTCTAAGTAAGCACATAATTAGATAAGCGAGCACTGCTCACAGAAGTGCCTGGTGGGAAAGGGAGAAATAAAGAGTTTCGAAGTATGTTTCAAGGCTGAAAGCAAGAAAGGAAAAAAGTTTTTAAGCACATTTTGAGGCTGGGATACTCAGTTACAAACGCTTTCTCCTTAACATCAGGGACAAGGCAAGGATGTCCACTTTCACCACTTGTATTTAACATAGTACAGAAAGTTCTAGTCAGAGCAATAAAGGTTTTTTAAAAAGGAAATTAAAGACATACAAATTGGAAAGGAAGGAAGAAAACTGTCTGCATCTGCAGATGACATGATTGTCTCTGTAGAAAATCCCAAGAAACTGAAAAACAAAACAAAAGAAAACAATACACCTCCTAGAACTATTAAGCGAGTTCAGCAAGGTTGCAGGATACAAGATAAATATACAAAGATCAATTGTGTGTCTACATACTAGTAACGGACCCTAAACTTAAAAACACAATACTACTTATAGTGGCTAAAAAAAAGAGATACCTAGGCATAAGTTTAACAACCCATATGCTGGATTTGTATGCTGAAAATAATGCAATGATTATAAAATAAATCAAAGAAGATCTAAACAAATGGAGAGATGTGCTATATCCATGGATTAGGAGACTCAACATAATAAAAGCGTCATTTCTCTCAAATAATATAAAGATTTAACACAATTTCTATCAAAATTCCAGAAGGAATTTTTGTAGACATAGACAAGATTATTCTAACATTTATATGGAAAGGCAGAGGAACTAGAATAACTAAAACTTTTTTTTTTAAGAATAAAGTGGGAGGAATCAGGCTACCCTTTCTTTCCTTTTCTTCTTCTTTCTTTTTTTTAGAGACAGAGTCTTGCTCTGTCACCCAGGCTGGAGTGCAGTAGCACAATCTCGACTCATTGCAACCTCCACCTCCCAGATTCAAGTGATTCTCCTGCCTCCGCCTCCCAAGTAGCTGGGATTACAGATGCACACCACCATACCCAGCTACAGGCTACCCTTTCAAGACTCATTGTATAGCTAGCAGATGGACAGATGCATAGATCAATGGGACAGACAATAAAGAATCCTCAAACAGACCTGCACGCATATACCCAGTTAAGTTTTTACAAAGATGCAAAAGCAATTCAATGGAAGATAGCTTTTGTAGCAAATGGGCTGGATTAACTGGACATCCACAGACAAAACCACCAAACAAAAAGAAGAACCACAACCTTGGTCTCACACCCTGCAAGAAAATTAACTCAAAATGGATCATAGACTTAAACATAAAACTTAAAACTATAAAAGCTTTAGAAAACAGAAAGAAAATCTTTGGGATATGGAGCTGGGTCAGGAGATTTTAGATGTGTCACCAAAAATATGATCCATAAAAGGAAAAATTGTTAAAATAGACTTCATCAAAATAAAAACCTTTTGCTCTGTAAGAGACCCTGTTAACAGAATAAAAAGACAAGCCAAAGACTGAAAGAAAATATTGACAAACTACATATTCAACAAAGAATTAGTTTCTATACTTTATAAAGAATTTTTCAAAACTCAACAGTTTCAAAAATAGAACGTAAACAAAAGACATGAAGGGACACTTGACTAGAGAGGATATACAGATGGCAAATAAACACATGAAAAGATGCTCAACACCATTAGTCATCAGTGAAATGCAAATAAAAGCCATGATATATCAGTACATACCTATTAAGGTGGCTGAGATAAGATCATAGTGATCACACTGAAGCCTGGTGAGGATGCATGGAAACTGGACAGTTTCTGGAAAATGGCTTGACAGGTTTAAAAAAAAAAAACCCTGCAACAAGCATAGAACCCCGCAATAGAACCCCTGGGCCTTTGTCCCAGAAAAATGAAAACTGATGTCCATGCAAAAACCTGTACATGTGTCATAGCCCAAATCTATAAACACAGACATCCTCCAACAGGTGAATAGTTAAACAGACTGTGGTACATCCATACCATAGAGCACTACTCAGAAGTAAAATGGAATAAACTATTGATAAATGCAACAATGGGATGAATCTCCAGAGAATGATGCTGCACAGGAAAAAAAAAAGCCAATCCCACAATTTTATGATTGCAATAGACGACATTCTTGCAATGAGCAGATTTCAGGAGTGGAGAACAGGTCTGTCATTGCTGGGGTTGGGGCTGGAGCAAGCCAGGTGAAGATACACATGATAGCTCTGTGTGGCTTTTTACAACTGCATGGGAATCTACAATGTCTCAGGGTTAAATGTTTAATTTAAAAACCACAATAAGCATAAATGCTTAAAAAAAAAAAACCTAGAGCCAAAGACTCAGCAACTCCACTCAGAAGCATCATTTCAACAGATACACTCCCACACATGAACCAGCAGAAGGGTTCAATTGTTACTTACAAATCTTGGAAATGCCTCAAATTTCCATCAAAATAACAATGACTGAATAAAGGTTCATTTTTATGTTTGATTTTTGCAGACTTTCTAGATGCCTCTCATTCTTTGGGGCACAAGGAATACATCGATCAATGAAACAAATGTCCTGTGCTCGGGGGGCTTATATTCTAGGTGCAGGGGACTTAAAATGAACACAATAAATAAGTGAATTGCAGTGCCAGCTATCAATGTCTTGCCTCCAGCTCCACACGTACCCTTCATGGCCGGTTCCGAGGCAATGGAGCTGGAGCCAGCAGGCGCTTCTCTTGTGCACCTGGTGCAATGCTAAGCTTTGTTGGTTGAGGCGTAGGGAGAAGCGCCTCCTAGCATGGGTCCAGGATGACTGGTTCCAGATGCTTCCATTTCTTCCTTTTTCTTTCTCTTCCTATGCAAATGGCAGTGGCACAAGTCGGGGACGTCTGGCGGCACACACCACATTGAATTCAGGGGACCGCCCCCAGATGGCTTCCTATTGAGATTCAGTGGCATCTGCACCTGTGGGTTCCCAGTGACTCTTGCAGGCTTCCCAGCCCCAGCCCACCTGCCTTGGGTGGGGAGAGAGGCTTCCTGCTTGCCAGACCCAGCCTACATTTCCCTGCCTGCTGGCCTCTGCCCTGACCGTGGGCCAGCTGTGGCTGGGACAACCCAGCAAACTTCTCCAGCTTCCCTTGGGAGAACCACACCTTCTCCCGTGAGGTCTGAACCCAGACTTGTGGAAAGGATCCCCACCCCTGTTTATTTCTTCCTTAACTGCCCTCGTGCAATCCTGAGCCATTCTTTGTGGTTCTCTTTAAACCTCTAGAGCTGATTGTTCATTGTGCAAGCAATCCCTGTTCAATCTATTGTCTCTGGATCCTGATGGGTCACTGGTTCATACGTTATTTTAAATGGTGATCAGTGCTATGGAAAAAGCAAAGTGGACAAGTTGGACAGGAGTGTCAGGACAAGGGGTTATTTGTCCTTTAAATGAATTGATGAGGAACAGCCCCGCCAAGGTGGCATTCAAACACCGAATTTAAGACATGAAGGAAGCAAGCCATGAGCTCGTCAGCTGGAAGAGGAGTCCAGGTGGCAGGAGCATCCAGTGCCAGCCTGGAGGTGGGAGAACGCTGGCAGTTTCCGGGAACACACAGCAGAGCAGCCACAGCAAATGATCCAGGGAGACCGGCCACACATGAGGCTGGGGAGTGGGTGGAACTGCCATGTAGGGATTAAGGACCACCACGAGGACTTCAGCTTCTGCTCTGAGTGAAAGACCCTGGAGAGCTCTGACAAAGGCAAGCTGTGACTTACGTATTTAAGGGGTCACTCCAGTTGCTGCATTGAGCACAGATTTGGAGGCCGAATATAGAAGCAGAGAAAGCAGTTAGAAAAGACGCGGCAATAACCCAGGATGGTGCACTGATTTCTACCTGGGCATCCAGGAGAACAGGGGATGGACCTAACTGTCCCACCACAAACAGAGGGAAACTGGCCCCCAGGTGCAAAACGCTTGTGTTTAGAAACTGGACACAGACAGCGCAGGCTGTGATCCCTGAGAATGGGAGCTAACGAGCTCAGCTGGATCATGGCAGCTTTATGCCTGGAGGGAATTTCAATCCACCACAGAGAGAGGAACCCAACAGAGCAAGGAGTCAGACGGCGTGGACGGGACACAGATTGGACTCTAGGCATCGCAGACGACTAGAATGTGGGAGACAAGGAAAGAGATAGGAGAGCCCTCTGCAGAGGAAGAGCTCCAGAAACATGCAGAGTGGTCCTCAAGACCATAGCTAAATACCAGTCCATGCAGACAGAGGGTGGAACTCCACAGGGCCAGAGAAAATGATGTTTGGGTAAAGAAGGATTCCAAGGAACTGAAGAAAATCAACACCCCACAAACACAGGTGCAAGAATTAGTTGAGATGCCAAGATAAGAACTGTCTTCAACAAATGGCTCTGGGACAACTGGATGTCCACATGCAAAAGACTGAGGTGGGACCTCACGCCACACACAAGCTTTCAACCAGAATGGATCAAAGACCTCAACGTAAGAGCTAAAACTGTACAACTCTAAGAAGATGTGTAAATCTCTGTGACTTTGGCTTTGACAATGAATTCTTCTCTATACACCCAAATAGCATGCAACCAAAGGAACAGACAAATTGGACTTCATCAAAATTAAAAACTTTTGTACGTCAGTGGACACTGTCAAGGAAATGAAAAGACAAGATACAGAACGTGAGAAAATACTTGCAAATCACATATCTGACAAGAGTCGAGTCTAGTATCAACAATATATAAAATACACTTATAACTCAACATAAAAACACAACTAGCCCAATTTTAAAAAGGGAAATGAATAGACTTTCTTCAGAGAAGATATAAAAATGACCAATAAACACCTGAAAATATGCTCAATGTCATTAGTCATTAGGGAAATGCAAATCAAAACTACAGCGAAATACCACTTCACACTCATTAGGATGGCTAGAATCACAAAGCCAGATAATAACAAGGGTTGGCAAGGATGTGGAGCAATTAGAACCCTCATGCACCACTGGTGGGAATGTAAAATGGCACAGCTGCTCAGAAAAACATAGTTTGGCAGTTTATCCAACAGTTACACATAGAATTATTTAATACCATATGACCCAGCAGTTCCACTCCCAGGTATACACCCAGGAGAAATGAAAACATATGTTCCCATGAAAACATTTATGCACAAATGTCCCTAGCAACATTACAAAACCCAAGAAGTAGAAACAACTCAAATGTCTACCAATGGATGAATGGATAAAAAAGGTGGTATTATCCACACAATGAAATATTATTCTGTCATAAAAAGAAAATACCGACCCATGCTACCACATGAGCAAACGTTGAAACATTATGCTAAGGGAAAGAAACCAGGCATAAGAAACACATATATATGATTCCATTTCTATGAAGTGTCCAGAACAGGCAAGTTCATGCAGACGGGAAGTCGATGAGAGGTTCTGGGGCGTGGAGGGAAGAATGGGGGTGAGAGCAGACGGGCATAGGGACCTTTGTAAGATGATGAAGATCTCCTGGAATTAGATAGTGGTGATGGTTTCACAGCCTTGTGAATTTACTGAAACCCACTGAATTGGGCACTTTTAAAGAGTGAGTATGATGGCATGTGGAATATATATCAAATAAAAATTTTAAAAACCACCTCCCCAGAGAAGCCTCTCCAGGCTACACAATGGAAGATGCAGCCCCTCCTCTCTCTGTCACTTCCCTGAGCTGCGCTCCATTAGGACACATCACTCCCCGGAGACACCCTGTTCATTTACTTGCAGTCCTATTGATTGCCAGTTCCCCCCATGGGCAGACTGAATAATGGTCCCCTGAAGATGTCCGCATCCTCATCCCTGGCCCTGTGGATGTGTGTATGTGGTAGACTGAATAATGGTCCCCTGAAGATGTCCACATCCTCATCCCTGGCCCTGTGGATGTGTGTATGTGGTAGACTGAATAATGGTCCCCTAAAGATGTCCACATCCTCATCCCTGGCCCTGTGTCCCCCATGTGTAGACGGAATAATGGTCCCCTAAAGATGTCCACATCCTCATCCCTGGCCCTGTGGATGTGTGCATGGTAAAACGGACTTCACAGATATAATTCAGTGAAGGATCTGAGATGAACAATTACCCCAGATTATCTGGGTGGGCCCACTGTTATCACAGGGGCCCTTATAGGAGAGAGGCTGGGGAGCGAGGGAGGGAGAGAGAGGAGGGTGAGGAGAGAGAATATTTATGAACAGAAGTAGAAGAGGCTGTGCTGCTGGCTTTGAAGGTGGAGGAGGGGCCACAAGCCAAGGCATGTGGAGGCCTCTGGAAGCTGGAAATGGCAGGGACAGACTCCTGCCCAAGAGCCTCCAGAAGGAACCAGCCCTGCCAACCTTCGTTTTAGCCCCGTGAAACATACTGAAAAGAAGAGCTGGAATGAAGCATCTGAAGTTGTCTCAGCAAAACCTGCATGCTCGGTTGTGGTTGTGGGTTTTTTGACCAACAAATGAAAGCGTTCTAAGACCCCATGCACCATCGGCTGAAGGGGAGCATGAATATCTATTCCCAGTCCCAGCCTCACAACCAGAGGATGCGTTTCCTCACGGTTTTCTCCTGCAGCTCAAGGAGGGAAAGCATTTGGAATTATTTGACTTCTCCCCCTCACTCAGTGGAACTTTGGAGTCGTTCTTCCCACCCTTGTCAACCACAGGGCTTTCTCAGGTCTACAGGCGCGTGTGCAGATTGCTTGGGTGTGCACAGATGCAGGGAGGGCATCTCGTCGATAGAAAATGGGATACTCTTGGGCACGGCATGAAGTGACACCACAATTCCCTAAATTGTTTGCTGTGGTTGCTCATTGGGACGTGGCACCCACTGGAACCAAGACTTTGGGAAGCCAACTGGCTGCTGTGCTTGGCCACAGACGTGGTAATGACTTCAGGGAGAATGGGGCGGGGACTGCCTGACTGATCTAGGGCTTTCAGAAAGGAAATGCCAAGGTCTGAGCTTCAGTAACAGGCAAGACAATGGAGATGTTCCATCCTGGCCTTAGAATAATATTTCATTCTTGCAGCCACAGAGCAGAAATGGCTGAAAATCAGACTCCATATTTAATAGTGTGGATTGCATGGTGAGTTGGATTCAAAAGTCGCCAAGTGTTTTATGTGAAAGTTGGGTCACTGCTTAAGGAGTGGGACCATGACACACAGAACTGGGACATTTATGTGATCTCAGATGGAAGTGAGAATCTTGATCCCCTCCCCAATCTCCCTGAACCTGCCGGGGCAGAATCACCCCCTCCTCCCCTACCCAATCCCCCTGAACCTGCCTGGGCAGAATCATCCCCTCCTCCTTTGCGTGAGGAGATGAGACTTCCCTTTCTCAGACATCTTACCCCGAGGCAGTTGTGTAGGGGTGGATTCTAGGGGCTTTACACCAGGAGAACCGCGCTCCAATGTGGACCCAAGCTGAGTGTGTCAGTGCGTATGTGCTGAGTGTGTCAGTGCGTATGTACTGAGCACGGCAGAGCTCTCAGCATGGATCGGCTCCGCCCAAGCCCCTGCACCAGGAGACAGGAGATCGCCAAGCTCTCATGGCATCCAACAGCAGGAGGCGCATCCCTGGGGTGGCCCCAGCGCCCTAAATGCTTGCCTGAGAGCTCGGCACTGCAGGTGAATTTGCTGTGTGTCCTGGCCAGCACCCAGCTGCCCCTTCTTAGAGCTTTTGCTAAAAAGGGCTTACACCTGTGACTCCTTCCTCTGCCACTTTGAGAAGTCTGTGTTTCTCCTACAATGCAGAAGTGTCTTTCTCAGGCTGGCTGCAGTGGCTCACATCCGTAATCCCAGCACTTTGGGAGGCATAGGTGGGTGGATCAATTGAGGTCAGGAGTTCAAGATCAGCCTGGCCAACATGGTGAAACCCTGTCTTTACTAAAAGTACAAAAATTAGCCGGGCGTGGAGGCACGTGCCTGTAATCCCAGCTACTCGGGAGGCTGAGGCAGGAGAATTGCTTGAACCCGGGAAGCAGAAGAGGTTGCAGTAAGCCGAGATCGTGCCACTGCGCTCCAGCCTGTGTGACAGAGCAAGACTCCAAAACAAAAAAAAAGTGTCATTCTCAGGGACCTGAGAGCCATTCCTTAGAAATGTGACCTTCAGGAAGAATGGGCCTCCTTCTTCCAGACTCTGTTGGGGGACAGAGTCCTCCTTCCATAACTGCCACACAGCTGGTCCCACTGCACTGACCCTGACCAGCACTCTGTAACTCTTCACCGGAGCCCCCACTCCCTCCCGCACCCCCAACCACTCTCCCTTCAGAACACCCCTTCTCCCCTGCACAAAGTGGCATGGAACCAGTCTGTTCCTGGCTCTGAGAAGTTGCTGAATAAAACCTGTCCTCACCGCTTTAACTAGCATTCAGCTTGGCTCACTGGTGACGACGTATCCAAAATGCCGTATTTAACACATTGGCTTGAGCGGTAGAGCAGCTCTCAGATGGCTTCCAGGACTGGCTGAGCTGGTGTTGAGGCCTCATTCACAGGGGCTGGGACGCCAGGATGGCCCCACATAACATGGAGAAAGGACTCTGTGCTGCAGGTGATTGAAGGGTTCCCAGGGTTTGCTTTAGGCTGGTGGGGGAAGACACAGCCATAGGAATGACTGTGGGACGGAGGCTTATTACACTTAGGCCCCTAGAAACAGGAGGGGCGGGGCCTCACGGAAGCACCAGGGCCTGTCTGGAGGCACCGGGCGGAGCCTGCACTGCGGTTCCCACGTTTCCCACGGGAAGGAACGGAGGAAGCAGGGTAAACAGGCTCAGGGCGGGCTGGTTTCAATAATGTCCCGGGCCCTGGGGTGTGGGGGCTGGCTGTCCCTAGCTGTCTGGTCCCTGCCCTGGGGAGGGTGTGGGCTCTGGACTGGTTGGTTTGCATATGGAAGGCACACTTACAGATGGTCCCTGCCCTGGGGAGGGTGTAGGCTCTGGACTGGTTACCGGTTTGCATATGGAAGGCACACTTACAGACAAGTCATCTGCTATTTCTAGAAATTAGCCAACTCCTGGAGAAGCACTTTCTCCAGGGTTAGCAAGGCCCCAGATGTCAAAGTGTCCAAATTCAGAAAGTAAAGGCCATGGTTCACACAGAGAGGGTGTCGGAGACAGGTCGCGCAGTCATTTGAAGAGCAAATTACTGTAAAGAATCCCCAGCTGGTAACAGGAGAGGGGCTACCAACGGGTAAAGAGGACTCTCAAACCACAGAAATAACAGAAATGGGAGCCAGCTCTACCCCAGGGCTGAGGCTGCACACCGGGGTAGGAACAACCTGGAAGGTGCTCAGGCCTCTGTGGAGAGGGTCTTGCTCTGTCCCCCAGGCTGGAGTGCAGTGACATGATCATAGCTCATTGCAGCCTCGACCTCCTGGGCTCAAGCAATCCTCCCACTTCAGCCTCCCAAGTATCTGGGATTACAGGTGTGCACCAGCAAGCCTGGCTAATTTTTGGGTTTTTTTTGGTAGAGCTGGGGTCTCGCTATGTTGCCCAGGCTGGTCTCCAACTCATAGCTTCAAGTGATTCTCTCACCTCAGCCTCCCAAAGTGCTGGGAACACAGGCATAAGCCACCATGCCTGGCCAGAATTGAGTTTTTTTTAATATATATATACACATATATATACACACACACACACATACACACATATATACACACATATATGTATATATATACACATACACATATATATATACATATATACACATATATATATTTTTATTATACTTTAAGTTCTAGGGTACATGTGCACAACATGCAGGTTTGTTACATATGTATACATGTGCAATGTTGGTGTGCTGTACCCATTAGCTCGTCATTTACATGAGGTATTTATCCTAATGCTATCCCTCCCCCTACCCCCCACTCCACGACAGGCCCCGGTGTGTGATGTTCCCCTTCCTGTGTCCAAGTGTTCTCATTGTTCAATTCCCACCTATGAGTGAGAACATGCGGTGTTTGGTTTTTTGTCCTTGTGATAGTTTGCTGAGAATGATGGTTTCCAGCTTCATCCATGTCCCTACAAAGGACATGAACTCATCATTTTTTATGGCTGCAGAGTATTCCATGGTGTATCTGTGCCACATTTTCTTAATCCAGTCTATCATTGTTGGACATTTGGGTTGGTTCCAAGTCTTTGCTATTGTGAGTAGTGCCGCAATAAACATACCCCAGGGCTTCTTGAAGCGCCACTGAGCCCCAGGGCTGGATTTTCTCAAATGTCCTCTAAAGTTGTTCGCTCACCCTAATCGCTCCCTGGAGAGCAGGTTTCTGCAGCAAAAGGAAGCACAGGCGAGTCAGGAGACCCCAGGAATGCAGTCAGGACCGGGGCCCCTCATCAGCCACCAACTCCACCACCCCAGGAAGGACAAAGCCAGAATTAGACACAGTACAGTTACGCGCCCGTGCAATGCAGCTCTGCTGACGTCCCCATGCGGGGACATGGGGGGCTCTGCAGGGCCATGCCTCCTACCGCTCTGCCTGGGGATGAGGATGCTCTCCGTGCTGAGTCCACGGGCTCCTGCAGCTTTCTCAAAGTCCTCCAAGGCTTCCAGGTTGTTCTCGGGGTCTCTGCCTGTGGGTGCCAGGACGAGATGCGGGTGCTCAAGGCAGCACTGGGCAGACGGCACCCCGTCCCAGCCTGGAGGCCTGAGCTAGCCTGGGGAGAGGGACCTTGCCCACGGTGGGGGGACTTGAACCCAGAGGTCCTCAGGCTGGCAAAGTGGGACCAGGGTGCCGTGCACGGCTGAGAAGGCTCCCGCAGCAGCAGAACCGGGAGAACGGGAAGGGCTCTCCGTCCATCCCCAAGCATCTCCCGGAGTGAGAATGGACTGCGGGACAGGCCCGCCCTGGAGGAAGCGCCTCTCCCCTCGGGGGCACCAGGGCACCGCCTGTCCCATTCCTCTGTCATTCACACACCCCTGGCTCCAGGGAGAACTCAGGAGCCTTCACGGGCCTCGTCCTCCGACAGGGACGGCACTGATGCGCCACCGTCTGTGGGAGCCACCGCGTCTGGAATTCAACCCCGGGAGCTGGAACGTTCTTTCCACGCAGACTCCTGCTCACATCCCCATTCCTCTCCCCTGCTGGACACCCCACAGGAACGCGCTCAAGGATGACACTGCAGGGAGCTGCCCCGGGGGAAGGCCTGGGCCACTCTGGGACACGTGTGACCTTTGAGCCCCTGTGCCGACAGCTGTGGCTCCTTCCTGCCTCTGTTGCAGAGACCGAGGCCGGGGCATCCCAAATCCTGAACTCCAGGGTGGGAATTGGGGCCTTTATCAGGAAAACTCATCCTAAGGAAACTGCAGTGTGTTCCTGGGTCCCAGTGGCTTCTCCCATGGGGAAGAGGGTGCAGGAAGCCGAGGGAGGAGGGAGGGTGGGTGGAGGCATGGGTTGCAGGGTGGGGGTACGGGACCCACCCACGAGCTTCGCCCCTCGGATCGGCTTCCCGTGCAGCTCACCCTCACAGTAAAAGATGTAGTGGTCCTTCATGTGCGACCTGATGATGTATGCCACGTGCTTGCCCCTGTCTGCAGAAGGACAGCAGCATAGTCCTGAATTAGCCACCGGGGCCTTCAGAGAGGATCCCGGGACAGTGTGCGTTGCCAGGCCCTGCAAGCCCCGCAGCTCCTGCACCCTTCCAGCCTCCCAGAGCTCCCTGACCCAGGTTCCCCACTGGGCCTGAGCCCTAGGCCATGGGACCCCCACTTCCCAGGAACCTGATGCACCCGAGAGGTGGCCACATCTCAAACCAGTGAGTCACGGGGGGTTCCTCCGGGTGTGAGGTCTGCGGAGGTGGGAGTTGGGGTACAGCCCCCCGCAGCCAAATATGACTCTGCTCCTGGCCCTGCCAGAGCCGCAGCTAGGGCTACAGGGAAAGCCCAGAGGGTCCACCCAGGGACAAACCCGTCACACCTGGTGTTTGGGGTCAGGTGTTCACATTTCTAAAGCAAATTGACCAGTGGGAGAGGAAAGTGGGCTTTTAGTGGAGTCAGGGGCAGCAGGCCAAAAGGCCACCCCAAAAAGGCACTGGCTACCCCCCCACATCCAGCGTGTGTTTGAGTTTAGGCTCTGGCTTAGGCTCCGGGACTCACTGGCCGTGTATTTTCCCGGCTCGTCAGTTTTCTCCAGGATGACCTTCACCTCCTGGCACTGGCCACTTATCCTGGAAAACAGAAGCCCCCTGGCAAAGCGGCCCTGACCTGTGCCTCCCCCGGCCCTGGAGCAGCCACGCTACAATGCCCTGCAAAGGTGGCCCTGAGTCTGCCACAGGCCCATGGAGGAGGATGCTTCTCTGCATCTCAGACCCAGGCACCAGCAGCCCCTCCGGGTCACACATGGCAGTTCCCGGGGTCTCCTGAGGTGGCCAGGAGCTCTGCATCGCTCCTCCTGGTGGCTGCCTTCCCAACCCCCCCGCCCCCAACACATTTCCTGCCAGATGCACCCGGGCTGCCTGGTTTGTAGGCAGTGTCTGTGGCGTGGGCCTGAGCCTCATCCCACCAGCTGCATTCTTCCTTTTAGAGACATTCAGGGACAGGCCCCATACCCATCATCATCTGGCCCAGAGAGGGAAAGGTTCAGTGAGGGGCTTTTGGGGAAAAAAAAAAATCAGGGTCATTGCCAGGGTCAGTGACTTCCTAAGGGTCAGCCCCCAGGACCGGAGCACAGGCACTGCATGCCACTCAGGTGGGAGCCACGCGGGTGAAATCACACAGGTGGGAAGTCACAGATGTGAGCCACGCGGATGGAAGCAGCACAGGTGAGAGCCGCACAGGTGAGCGCTACACAGGGACTTCAAGGGGGTCTTCTCCATGGTGTCCTATGCCCCCTCTTGGTCATTCTGCAAGCCCCATCCCTGCGCTTCTCCAAAGCAGAAATTTACTGCCAAGACTACAAGTCTAGAGTCTGTAAGCCCTGCCTGCTGGCTCTGACTCTGATCGGGGGTAAACACCTTTTCCCAAAGGGGCCTGCACGGCACCACACATTCCCTAGTCGGAGGAGGTGGTGGGTGGTACCCAGCACTGCCCCTGATAGCCCACAGGGGCCTCTACTCCCTCAGGTCCCCTCTAGCTGAGGCACCTCACTGGTACAGTTTGCCCTCAAGCATTGCCTGAGCAGGCAGGGCTGAGAGAGGCCTCCCAGCAGGTCTGCCCACCTCCCCAGCACCAGAGCTCTCCTGGGTGGGGAAAGGGAAGGCCCTAGACCAGGTTGCAGGCTGCCCGGCCGGCTGGCAGACACTCACAGCATGGTGGCCTTAGCTTCCAGGTTGCCCCCTTCCAGGATTGTGAGGGTCATGGGTGTCACCGATTCCAGATTCATCTCAGGGAGCTCCCTGTCCACCGTCATGGCCTTCAGATACCACGTCCCTGACACCTGGAGAAAGTTCCTCTCTATCAGGCTCAGGCTGACCGCTCCAGAGCCTCCCCCTTCCCTGGCCTGCAGCCCCCAGACTCTACCGCACCCCAAGGGCTGGAGATGGGGAACATTCCCCAATCTAATCCACCCAGAAAACACCCAGCACCCTCGCCAGGTCCACCCGAAGGCTCCAGCCCCCGCAAGTTGGCCAGGACCACAGGAGCCCTCACCCCCAGGAGAGAAGTGAAGTCAGCCAGACCCCCACCCTCCTAGCCCTGCCCTTCTGCACCCCGGCCCCCTCCCAGCCCAGACTCCTGCTGTCCCATCTCACCATCTTTCAGGGCAGGGCTTTAATGCCCAACCTGAAAATGAGGGTCTCCTTGGATGGGGGAGGGATGTGGTCTCCATCCAGCAGTCTCAGCCTCGCCCCTTGCCCCCTCCAGCCCAGCCTTCCCATCCGGGCCTCACATCCTGAATCTCCTCGTCTGAGGCCAGGAGGTGGTGGGCCTGCAGGGCAGCAATGAGGCTGAGGCTGATGGCCAGGAGCAGGGGCTTCATCTCTGGTGTCTGAGTTCACGGCCGCCTGACAGTTCACTTGCTGGGGCTGGGAGAGGGTGTGCCACTCCCACAGCCGCCCTTTTTACAGCTGGGCTCAGGATCCCCTGGGGACCTAGCACAGGTGACTGACCAATCCCTTCCTGGATGTAAACCACGGCCAGTTCTGCAACGGAGCAGATAACGTGCCATTGTTGCTGGAGGCTGGTGAATAACAGCTTGTTAATTCCAGAGGATCATCCGGACAGGACCAGGTCCAGAGGAGCGGGTTTGCAGATTTCACCTGGGAGGAAACTGAAGGGAGTGAAGGGCGTGCAGGCCTCCTGGGGACATGTGCGGCAGTAACAGGCGCCCCCCAGCCATCCCACATGCGCTGATGTGCACACCGTCAAGGGGGTTTGGGGTTGGAGTCCGAGGGCCGTGGGCCTGGGGCTCGGCTGAGCTTCCTGCATCTCTGGGCAGGTTACTTGGCCTCAGATTCATCATGGAAAAAAAGGGACCCTCCTGTGTGAACACGATACCGTGTGCATTTAAGGACGGTGTCCACTGTCCTGAGCAAGGTGTGCAGTAACGACCCTCTCTGCTCCACACACAGAGCAGCAATAGGTCAGACAGACAGAAGACCAAGACAGGTGTGTGTGTGTGTATGCAGGTGTGTACATATATACATGCACACACATGCACAAACACACACACACTCACATAAAACCAGGAATGGAGGAGAAGCACAGGCTGGTGATGGGGCAGAGGCAGGGGCCTGTCAGTTCCAAGTCCCAAGGCAGGCAGAGAGGGCCTAGATCCAGCTCCTGGGAGTGATGGGAGGGGCTTCCCTGACTCCAGAAAGGAGGCTGAGAAACTCTCCTTGACACATCCCAGGGCTGTAACTTCTTATAACTTAGTGGAGCACTGTGGGCATAGGAAGGCAAGAGGACATCGACACAGCCTCAAGGGCAGAAGCTGAGACAAGCCGTCCTCAGAAAGGGTGACTTTATCTGTGACATCCTCCACATCACTGCAGAGCAGAAGCCTGGGACCCGGGGCAGAGGCTACGAAACACTGCTAGACAGAGGACAGTGACAACAAGATGTCGGAGAAAGGCAGAAATGCAGAGACTCAATATCCTTGCCTTGAAATAAGCTAGAAAGGCCAGGTTCCAAATTACCCAAGGCAACACCACACCAAGAAAGGCAGGCTAAAAATGAGCAATTGGTACAGGAACTTACACCAGCTAAGGAAAGTCTGACACACACTTTAAAACTGCAGGAGTATGATCAAGATGCCTAGCATTTTAAAAATATATAAAGTATAAAATTAGAACTGGCCAGAATATAAGAAACAAGGAGAGATGAAATAGAAATAATTACAAATCTTGAAGATGAATAACAAAGTGAATAAAAAAACTCAATAGACAGGTTAAATTCCAGACTTGACATAGTAGAAAAGAGACTTAGTGTCATGGAAGATAGTACCAACAAAATCAATGAAGACAGAAAAATTAGAAAGAGAAATTGAGGTGTTACAGATAGATTCAGTCTCCATTCTGGAGCTAGTAATAAAATGAGTGGAGGAAACCATCCAGAGTGCAGCAGCTCTGAAAACACAACACACACAGATATACACACACACATGCACACACACATGCACACACACGCACATGTGCACACATACAAATGCACACCCCCCATACACATGCACACATACATGCACACACGCAGACATACACACGTACACACACACCATGCATGCATGCATACATACATGCACATACATGCACACATACGTACACACATGCACATTCACACACATACACACATGCACAAAGTTAACACACGTGGAGAATAGATCAGGAGGCTCCAATATAAACAGAATAGGAGTTCCGAAAGAAAAACATTTTCTAAAATGGCAACAAAGCAACGGAATAGCTCAGAATTTTTCAGAATTGAAAAGACATGAGATCCCAGATCTAAATTACCAAGGAATGATAAAAATTGAGAAATCCACTCCTAGAATATTACAGTGAAGTGCAGATCACCCAGGAAAGGAGAAAAAAAGTCAAAACGACCAGAAAGAAGAGCCACACTACATACCATAAAAGCGGATGTGGACTGATGGCAGACTTCTCAATAGCAACGCTGCCTTCCGGAAGACAGTGGAGTGACATCTTTAACTGACCCGGGAGAAATCACATTTACCTGTGAATGTTATTCTCAGTGCAACTTTCATAAAATATTGAAGGCAAAATAAAGACATCTCGGACATTAAAAAACAACTGAGGCCCAGCGTGGTGGCTCACACCTGTAATACCAGCACTTTGGGAAGCCAAGACGAGGTCAAAAGTTCGAGACCAGCCTGACCAACATGGTGAAACCCCATCTTGACTAAAAATACAAAAATTAGCCAGGCATGGTGGCGTGCACCTGTAATCCCAGCTACTCAGGAGGCAAAGGCAGGAGAATTGCTTGAACCTGGGAGGCAGAGGTTGCAATGAGCTGAGATCATGCCACTGCACTCCAGCCTGGGCAACAGAGCAAGACTCCATCTCGAAAAAATAAAAATAAAAATTGAACAACAACAACAACTGAGAGTGTCTACCACTCACTGGTCTCCATCAAAGGGAGTTTGAAAGGGAGAATTTTAGCAAGTCTATAGGAGACCGAGGTCGGGGGTATAAATGATGTCAGCAAGGCAAACTACCTGCTGGCTGTACAAACATGAATGGTGCAGACTTTGATGGTGGGGGAAAGGTTCTGTTTTAGTGCATATTTAAAGAGTGCTAAATGCACACAAAACACACTTGTGCCCACACGCATGGGTTCATACGAACAAGAATGCACACAAAACACACTTGTGCCCACACGCATGGGTTCATACGAACAAGAATGCACACAAAACACACTTGTGCCCACACGCATGGGTTCATACGAACAAGAATGCACACAAAACACACTTGTGCCCACATGCATGGGTTCATATGAACAAAAGATGCACGTTAAGCACGGGAGAATAGTGATCCATGGAGAGGGAAGTGGAAAGGGGTGGGCAGGGATAATAAATTTTCAAAATACATAAAGAAGCCTGTTAGACAAAAGCATGATTTACTTTTCATCAGTATAGATGAAAAGGCAGCCAACATGAAAACAATTAAAAGCACAATCACAAGAAGACGAATGTTCATGAATGTGAAGGCATACTGCATCGAAATACAAGAAGCCAAAACAGACTGAAGAACAAAGGGGTCAAATACACAGTTGGAAGGGGAGATGTCAGAACTTCTGCATTAGAAACAGAGGGCGAGGGTGTTAAAAGTTCACACCCATGTCGAAATTTGGAACCAACATTGTAAAGTATACAAAGACACTGCCTCAAAAGGTAAACAATTATATTGTTATAATTGTTACAATGAACAATTCTTAATTGCTAATTCTTATTAAATACACATGGAATAGTTTTAAAATAGGCCACATACCAGGCAATATGGGGAACTTCACAGAACTAACGCAGCAGAGCCTGCCCTTTGTAGCTACAATGCAATAAACTAGAATCAACAATGAACAGAGTGTTACATAAAGAGAAATATAAACTTGAAGTCTGCAGCCTTAAACGCAACTATTATACAATAAAGACGTCAGGACAGAAGTCCTAGCTGTGAAAAGTTCTCGGTCATGAACACGCACGAATGCCCGGCCAGCTCTGCGCTCCTTCGTCAGGACAGAAGTCCTCTCTGTGTGAAAAGTTCTCGGTCATGAACACGCACGAATGCCCGGCCAGCTCTGCAGTCCTTTGGTGGTCACCTCGCAAAGGAGAATTGATCGGAGCTGCTGCTTACGGGGTGACACCCGTGGCAGCATCACTACACGCACATCGTGACGGCAACCGCGTGTGTCATGCAGCCCCCAACCGATGATGAGAAACCAACCTGAACCTCACGTCAGAGGGAAGGCTGTTATCTTTCCATTCTCTTTAAGAAAAATTATTTTAACACGAAGCAATAATCAAGGGGTAGCAGCCAAGAGATATAGAAAAAATAAGTTTGACAGAGGTATCCCAGGGAGTAACTAATCAAATCTTGTTTTTTTCTTCCATTTGATGATGTTTAGTGCACCTATCAGCTTTTTCATGTGCGAGCCTTGTGATTGTTTTATCACTTCAAATAAATATTTATTTTCATATCTAATTTGGATTCATATTGCTATTATTATTTAAAGTAACCCCTAAAGTTTACATATATTTTAAGCCCCACAAAATCCATCTACTCCTGCCTATATCTGTGAGTTTAATTTCCTTTTAAAATAATCTGAATATATACCAATGAGATTTTCTTTTTTTTAATTTTTATATATATATTTTTTTATTATACTTTAAGTTCTAGGGTACATGTGCACAACGTGCAGGTTTGTTACATATGTATACATGTGCCATGTTGGTGTGCTGCACCCATTAACTCGTCATTTACATTAGGTATATCTCCTAATGCTATCCCTCCCCCCTCCCCCCACCCGATGACAGGCCCCGGTGTGTGATGTTCCCCTTCCTGTGTCCAAGTGTTCTCCTTGTTCAGTTCCCACCTACGAGTGAGAACATGCGGTGTTTGGTTTTTTTGTCCTTGGGATAGTTTGCTGAACTAGAAATACCATTTGATCCAGCAATCCCATTACTGGGTATATACCCAAAGGATTATAAATCATGCTTCCATAGAGACACATGCTCACGTATGTTTATTGCAGCACTATTCACAATAGCAAAGACTTGAAACCAACCCAAATGTCCATCAATGATAGACTGGATTAAGAAAATGTGGCACATATACACCATGGAATACTACGCAGCCATAGAAAACGATGAGTTCATGTCCTTTGTAGGGACACGGATGAAGCTGGAAACCATCATTCTCACCAACAATGAGATTTTCTAATGCCGGGCATGGATGATAGGTGTTTTTGTTCTTGGCTTGCTCCCTGGGTGCTGAAATAGTCAGGATTAGGACAGCGGACCATGGAGAAAGTGCCCAGATGTGCTGGTACCTGCAGCTCAGGACAAAGGGAGGCAGCGTGAATGACACGTTCTTTTATTTGGGTTCTTGCTGCTCCCACGTTACTGTCACAATATTTTCTGTGGAGTTGAAAAGCAAATGCCCCAAGGCAAGCACAGAGGGTGCAGGGGTTGGGGTGTCCCGAGGGTGGGGCTGTGGGTGGGCCTGGACCCCCTGCACTGCGGCTCCTCCTCTGTCCCTGGGGTTCCGTCCTCCTTGGTGGCCTGCAGGGCCTCTGTCCACTGCCGGGCCACCAACTAGGCTACAGAGACACGGTGACGGTCAGGTTTCTCAGGTCCCCCGGGCTAAGGAACACGTGAGCCTTTCAGCCACCACGTTGACCACACATGCGACAAAGGCAGAGGGGCCGCCTGGTCACGGAGGACGAGCAGCCCTTTGCCCCGTCTCCTGGAGGCTGGCGCTCAAATGAGTAAACCCAGGGAGTCCTGAGATTCTTCCTGCTCAGACACAATGCCCTAGTGAGGTCGCTTCCTGACACGAGTTTAAAGGATGCACACGTGTTATAAATCTTAGAAAGCTGGAAGAGGGGAGAAAATCACTTCCAATCCCACCTCCCCAGTGACTCACTCGCGAGTTGGAACAGTTTCCTTCCTGTCTTTTTTCTAACAGAGCATCTTACGTGGATGCAGTGACAAAGATGCGTCATCCGCCTGCGACCGAAGGAAGCTGCGGGAAGAACACCCAAGGGCCTTGTGGCATCTCTCCTGCGCCCTGCACTTCCCTGGGGCCAATGCCAAGGGCAAGGCCAGCCGTGGCGGGCAGCAGCCCCTCTGCTGGACACGGCGCCTGCCCCAAGGCCAAGGCTCCAAACTCGGCCCCCTACTGAGCATCTGATTTCCTGAGTCCCCCTCCGAGGGCTCCAGGATTTGACCTCACATTTCCCGCCCGCCTAAGTCTGTGTGCTTTTAGGCCTGTGTGGCCTTCCCTGTCTGTGCCCTCAGTCTACCTGGACGCTGCCATCCTTCAAAACCCAGCCCAGTCCCACCTCCTGAAGGATGAAGGGGCCCTGCCCGCCTGGCCTCCAGGGCGTCTTGGGCCAGGGCAGCCGCAGTGGTCCCTGCATGTCCCCGTCACAGAGGGTGCCTGTCCTGAAGGAGTGCAGTCATCCCAACAGGCCTCGGCCCTCTCTGGCCACCGAGGCTCCCTCGCCCTTCCGGGTTGGGCTCAGCAGAGGCTCTTGGGGCTCAACTGGAGTGAACCGAGTCGCGGATGGTGGAAGTGAGGGGTACTTGGCCATGGAGGCCCAGGGCTTGGCAGGGGGGCCCAGGGCGCATTCCTGGAGGGGCCGCTTCCCGGGAAAGGTCGCGCTGTGTTTGTGTTCCGGCTCTTTCCTCCGCCTGAGTTCCTCCGAGGCCCTGGCTTATCTGAACACAGGACCCTGTGTGCCACGGCATGCACCATGTCACGGTGAATGTCACACAAACAGGAACGTGCCTGGAGGCCGCCTGGACCTGTCCTCCCGCCCATCAGCTGCCAAGGTGATGCTGTGGACATGGCCGTCCCCACTTGCTTCCCCACTTATGGAGCTCCTCATGGGCTCAACACCCCCTTCCAGAAGGCTGGCCCCAGGAGGGGAGTCGCCGGCATCTGGAAGCCTGGCAGGCCTCCGCAGCGTGGCCAGCATGGGGTCCATGAGTCAGGGGGTGGAAGAGGCCCCGTGACATGGGGAACACACTAAGCTCCTAGCCCAGCTCTTCTCCTGGAGGACCGGATGCCCTCGCTCTGCCGCTGGGGAAGGAGTGCGCAGGGGGCTTGAGGCCAGCAAAGGAACTGCCCCCCAAATCTTACTCCGGGATCGGCACTTTCCTGGAAGACCCCAGGAGTAAGGAGAAGGAAGAGCAGCGGGGAGGGAGGGAGTCCCAAGCCAGGTGCCACAGAGATGGGGCAGCGTGACCCTGTCCAGGTCACCTCCTGGGAAACTGAGGCCCAGCCAGGCAGAACTGGGTCTCCTGGTTCCAGCCACCACCCACCACTCAGGCAGCTGCCACCTGGGAGGCAGGAGATGTCTGAGGTGGGGTCTTCATACCACGAGCCACATGGAGGGAGGCCACGATCTCCGTCCTCCCACCTGCACACACACCCTCCCCCAGGTGAGCACTAGGAAGCCCTCTCTGGGGTGGGGGTGGATGCTAATGTTCTGTGCAGCTCTTTGGTTCAGTGAGTCCTTTTTGGTGAAAGGGCTCAGAGATGCGGCTAAAGCCTGTGCCAGCCTTGCACTCCCATGAGGTTGCTGTTACCCTCATGCCACTTTCTTGGGAGAGGAAGGTGAGGCTGGAAATGGTAAGGGGCTGAGCTCACTCAGAGGCTAGCACGACCCCAGGCTCACACCTGCCAGCAATGTTAAGAGGCACTGGGAGCTGAGAAGGGCTGAGGGTGCCACGCTGGGGTTGGCCAGGTCCAACCTGCCCCCTCCTTTGAGGCCCTCTCCTTCCTTCCTGTGCTGGCCTTTGGAGCCCACGGTTTCAGCATCCATCACGGACCCCACCGCACACCCAAGCGCTGCTGAGGACTTTAACTCCTGCTTTGGAATTTTCAGTGCTTCTGATTATTCGTAGACTCAAAATCAGAAGAGGCTACTTGCCCTAAACAGAACATGGTATATTTGCATTGCAGATCATTTTACATTTTTAAGAAAAAATGCAGTTTCTCTACAAAGTCATCCCCCTCCAAAAACAAAACAAAACAAAAAACCTCCCTAGGGATTTTGACAGGGCTGCCATCAGGCGTGTGACTGATTTGGGGATAATTCCCCCATCCCTTTGCTTTCCATTACCCTGTGGCCCCCGCGTCCTTCAGGGCAGGTGGCCTTGCCTTGTGAGCATCCTGCCCGTTTGGGGGCATTTCCTGGGCACCTGGTAGAGCCGTAGGTGAGAATGGCCCCAGTGGTACTGGGCAGATGTGAGCACAGGGACAATGTTAGTGCAGGAAGTCAGGGGCCCGTCAGGGCTGTTGGTGGCTGACGCGGCATCCATTCCCCTCCCCGCATCCCCCCAACACACCGGCACCCTCATGGATGGTGACTGCACTCCCCACTCCAGGGCTTGTCTGATTGATCTAATGGGGCGCCGTCCCTCTGGTCTGTGATTGCTCTGGAATGAGCCACGGAGCCCAGAGAAGGAACATGCAGAGGGCATCTGAGAACTGCAGCAGGGGACCCAGTTGGGATGAGGCAGCCCTGGGGACCTTGAGGAGAGAGGCAGGAAGTGCCCAGTCCTTGACACCATCCCCGAAGCCTGCCCCACGCCTGGACTCCAGCCAAGGCATGTAAGGCCAGGTGGACTCAGCAGTGTGAGGCAAAGCACGGTGCCCGGCTTGGATGCCACATGTGTTGAGCCAGCTGTGCTGTGGACAGGGCGCTGTGGACAGGGCACAGCAGACAGGCGGGGGGTGTAGGCATCGGGAGGGGGAGTCATGGCTGGTGAGAGCACCCCTGGAGCGGGAAGTGCTGGGCAGCGAGAGGTCAGGGAGGCATGGGGGCTTGGGACGGCCACCAGCCACATCAGAGCAGCACCGCTGCTGATTCCCAGCAACATGGAATGAGGCCTCTTGGCAAAGTAACAGAACGTATCTTTGAAATGGCAGCAGCTGATCTTTAAAACAGAGGCAAGCCGTTCCTGTCTCAAAACGTTTAAATCCTCACCCCAAACCATTATGCGGCTCACTGCACCCGTGGAAAGCCAACATCAATACCTGCGTGCATGCTGGCCTCCCTGGCGTGGGCATTCTTTGAGGTTGCTGGCTCAAAGCCCCCAGCACTGCCAGACGGGGAAACCGGCAAACCCAGGAACTCCAAGGCTCAGCTCAACAGCCACACCCTTCCGTAGGCCAAAGGAAGCAAGAGCTTTTTCTTTCTCACTGTTCTCAGGGATTCATTGTTTTTGTTTCTGTTTTTTGTTTTGTTTTGTGTTTTGGGAAGGGGACCACGTCACAGGTTACTATAGAAACAACGCCTGAACTAGATGGATGACGAAGCTGTTATTCCTCGGGGAGGCTCTTCAACTTGAACCAATTGTGGGGCCATTCTTTAGAAAACGGCTGTTTTTGCTCTGGGAACATTTTTAAATTATTTCTTCTTCCTTTGCCTCAGATGGGAGGAGCATCGCGCTACTGGATCACCTCTAATCATTTTTTCCTTTTTTTCTTTTTTTTATCCAAAGCCCAGCTGGCCCATCACAGGGTCATGTGTGAAAAGAGGGCTCCATGCAGGTGTTCAGAAGAATGTTTTCAGTTTGTACTCATCTCAGAAAATGCTTCTGAAATGATGTTAATAAAGAAAACAAGATGCCAATGTGCACATTCAGCCTGGGCCTCACGCAGCCTGGGGAAAATGTGCCAAAATGTCAGCATGGAAAGGATTCACAGTGATCTCTAATTTCTTTCTCAGACCTTTATCAAGTTCTTACTATTTATGTGTTTGTTTATGGAGATGGGGTCTCACTTTGTTACCCAGGCTGGTCTTGAACTCCTGGGCTCAAGCGATCCTCCCGCCTCCACCTCCTAAAGCGTTGGGATTAAAGGTGTGAGCCTCCATGCGGGGCATTACTTTTTAAGAGCATATATAACTTAGCCACGAGAAAAACAGCAGCATTTTTCAGCAACAACAAAAGGGAGAGAGATGAGAGAAAGGCCCCCAGAGCTGGGCAGGGTTGGGGGAAGAACCGTGGGCAGTGGGAGCAGCGACCCCAAATTCAGCCCCGGGCCCCGCCTCCAGGCCAGCTCCTGGCAGGGTGGCCCCACCAGGGTGAAGGGCGGCTGTCCGCGGCCTCCAGGTCACCAGCAGGGCCTGGCTTATGATCTATGAACCCCCGCCCGATCTAGAGGTTAGGGCTCTAGATGGGGCGGGGATTCGGTTAGAGAGGGCAGGGTGGAGGGGAGGATAGACAGGAACCAGGGAGGTCCAGGCCCAGTGGGGGCTGAGCTGAGCGGGGGAGGCGGGGCCGAGAAGGGCGGGGCAGAGGAGTGGGATGAGCGTGGTTGGGGCAGGGCCAGTGGGGCAGGGTCAAGGCTGTGTTGAGGGGTAGAGTGGGCGTGGTCGGAGCGGAGCCGGTGGGCGGGACCCGGCGGTGTGGAGCTGCACCCGGAGTTTGTAAGGATCAGGAAAGCTGCCTGGAGCTGGGCAGACAGGCTGACCCAGGGACCCTGACCACCTACCTGAGCTTCCACCCAGCTTCAAGGCTGTGGGGATCGTTTCTTAGCCAAGGTGAAAGGCCCTGAGCCCTCCAGTGGGCTCTGAGGGTTTGAATGTTTATTCTAAATGGGCTCCAACACGGAGTGCGCGTGCGCTCAAGGACCAGCTGGCTAGGAGCGCCTTCTCTCCCCCTGAGGGGATCTGGAATGTTCATCCGCGGTCTTCCCAGTGGTCCTCTCCTGAGCACCCTGGGCATGGGGTTGGGAAGTGGGCACACTTCTTCAGTGCGTGGTACTTTCTGTCCCTCCCAATGACATTGGTCTCTTCCAAATTCCCCAGGCATAGGAACAGCCACAAGAGCCAACTCACATTTCCCAAAGCCCTCTGGGGGCACGGCAGCGCCCTGGGCAGAGGAGAGACCTGCCCAGCTCAGCGGGGAGAAATCCCAGTGGTGCTTTCCGTTCCCCCCAGGCTCGATGACTGCCATACTTACCAGCTGGGGGCGCTGGTGAGCACTGCCAGTCTCCAGCGCCCGCCCTTACCCCGGGGCAGTGCTGCTTACAGCACGGCGACTCCTAAAGGCAAGGAGTTAAAGGCACACGGATCCTAGCACTTTGGGGAGGCTGAGGTGGGCGGATCACTTGAGGTCAGGAGTTCGAGATCACCCTGACCAACATGGTGAAACCTCGTCTCTACTAAAAACACAAAAAAGTAGCTGGGTGTGGTGGCGGGCGCCTGTAATCCCAGCTACATTGGAGGCTGAGGCAGGAGAAGCGCTTGAACCCGGGAGGTGGAGGTTGCAGTGAGCCGAGATAGCACCACTGCACTCCAGCCTGGCAACAGGGCGAGACTCCCTCAAAACAACAACAACAAAAACAAAACAAAACCAGGCACACAGAGCAAGCGGCGGGAAAGCCAGATGGAAGCGAAATGGGACTTTGCCCTTCCGAGCCTCCTGTGGATAAAATGTCAAAGCTGGGCACTCCCCCTTGACTCAACGGGGCTGCCGCCCCGAGCCCCTTTCGTCATCCTCCCCACAGCCCTGAAAGTTCTGTAACTCCACTTTAGGGATCAGGGATTCCCCACTCAGGCCCTGAGCTGTTTCTGGAGCTTTCACTCTGGGCGGTGTGGGGGAGGGGGCCCCTGCGGCCTTCAGGTCTGGGCACTGTCCAGGACACCAGGGCTAGCCCTGAGTCCGGCCACCTGAGATTCTGAGGCTGCCCTCTCTTGAGCCCACGGTGCTGACTGGGGGTCCCTCGTCTGGCAAACTCAGCTATGGGCACAAAGTCGGGACAACAAAATGGTGTGCACAGAATGACTCATTTCATGTTTTTAAAAACCTTTTGGCCGGGCGCGGTGGCTCATGCCTGTAATCCCAGCACTTTGGGAGGCCGAGGCAGGTGGATCATGAGATCAGGAGACTGAAACCATCCTGGCTAACACGGTGAAATCCCGTCTCTACTAAACACACACAGACACACAGACACACACACACACACACACAATTAGCCCCGCGTGGTGGTGGGTGTCTGTAGTTCCAGCTACTCGGGAGGCTAAGGCAGGAGAATGGCGTGAACCCGGGAGGCGGAGCTTGCAGTGAGCCGAGATCGCGCCACTGCACTGGGCGACAGAGCGAGACTCTGTCAAAAAATGAAAAATAAAATAAACCGTTTTACAGCTGCGCATGTGTGTAAAAACAGGACACAGCACTTCTGCCGCCCCACGTGCCAGTAATGCTCCGACTCCTTTACTCCTCATTCCCAGGCCCAGGGGCAGGCTCTACTGTCCTCTCCATTTTACAGGCAAGGAAACTCAGGCTTGGGGTTAGAGAGCAGAGATGGCCTGTAGTGAGTTGGACAGGAGCCTGGGACCTTTGGCTCCAGGGTGCCACACTCCCCCAACCTACTGTCCCAGGTAGAGGAGCTTTTGGGGGTGGGTGGTTACTTTCTGCTCATCTCCTTCCTTTTTTATGTTTATGTTAATTTTATTTTATTTTATTTTATTTTGGGACATGGTTTGGCTGGGTCCCCCAGGCTGGAATGCAGTGGCCTGATCACAGCTCATTGTAGCCTCCAACTCCCAGGCTCAAGTGAACCTCCCACCTCACCCTCCCGAGTAATTGGGACTACAGGAGAGCGCCACCATGCCTAATTTTTTTTTTTTGCATTATTTGTAGAGATGGGGTTTCGTTATGTTCCCCAGGCTGGTCTCAAACTCCTGAGCTCCAGTGATCCACCCATCTTGGCCTCCCAAAGTGCTGAGATTACAGGCATGAGCCACCACACCCAGCCTGTCTGCTTCTATATGACTTTATTTTTCTCCCATGACCATTTATTACTCTTTTAATCATGAAGAAAAAGAGGCTTCCTTGTTGGAGTCCGGTCAAGCAAGAAGGAAGCATGAAGGAGGAAAGCATAGCTGGGGAGCAGTGTGTGAAGTTCAGTGACCACCCAGTGAGCAGGGGCGCCCCAGCCAGGCAGTTGCTCAGAAGCACAGCTTCAGACACAGGGACCCATTCTTTCTAGAACCTTCCCAGAGGCCTGCTGCTTCCACCAGGAGGTACTTGTGATTTGTATGAGATGTGAGTTGTCCATTTCCTATTCCTCGTGACCAAATGTGTCTTTTCAATTACGGTCATTTAAAAATGAAATGTGAGTGAAGACGATGATTCTAGGGCAATGGTTGTCAACTGTGGCTGCTCTGTAGAATCATCGGAACTTCAAAAGATACTGATGCCAGCCGGGCGCAGTGGCTCACGCCTATATTCCCAGCACTTTGGGAGCCTGAGGCAGGAGATCCCTTGAGCCTAGAAGTTAAGAGACCAGCCTGGGCAACATAGTAAGACTCCATCTCTACAAACACTTTTTAAAAATTAACCAGGCATGGTGGCACGTGCCAGTAGTCCCAGCTACTCAAGAGGTTGAGGTCGGAGGATCTCTTGAACCCAGGAGTTCAGCGCTACCGTGCGCTATGATTACGCCACTGCATTCTAGCCTGGGCAACAGAGAAAGACCCCCATCTCTTAAAAAAAAATATTGACACCTGGGCCAGGCAAATAATCACAACGTTCAAGTGTGGCGCCTGGCAAAGGGAATTTTAAAAGCACCCTAGGTGACTCTAACATGCAGCCAAGATTAAAACCATTGTTTTCTAGAGAGAGGGGGACATGCGGAGAGGGTAGCAGGAAAGAGAACAGATGTGTTTCGCTTGTTCTTTCAGTATTTCTTTAGGCTCATTAATCAGGAGTGCTTGGACACGAAGAAGGGAACAACAGATAATGGGGCCTACTTGAGAGTGAAGCGTGGGAGTAGGGAAAGGATCAAAAATAAATACCTATCGGGTACTATGCTTATTACCTGGGTGACTAAATAACCTGTACACCAAACCCCCGAGACACGGAGTTTACCTATATAACAATCCCGCACACGATCCCCTAAACCTAAGATAAAAGTTTTTTCAAATCAGGAATACTTAGCCTAGTCCATTTTCATCCCGAATATTGCAGTTCATTTTTCATATTCTACATTTCCACAGATCTTTAAATAAAAACAGAGCAAGAAACAGGCACCTCAAGGGATGGTCACTGTTACAGCGTTCGCCTGAGACAGCCACTTCCGTTGAGAAGTCACAGAAACCTCCACCCAGGCAGGTACCGAGGACAGCAGACCCAGTGATGATGCGCTGAGGGGCAGCTCCAGAGGCTGCAGAATCTCTTTCAACCCCTGAGCGGGAGCCCAAGTCACCACCCTCAGCTGACACAGGAGGAAAACGACGCTCAGAAGGTCCAGTGGCCCAGGCAGCAGCAAAGCTGCAATTTCGAGGCCGACTTGGTTCCAAAGCCCAAGCTTTTAACCGTCACGCTATAGGACACCATGCAGTCCTCCAGATTCGTTATATTTTTTATTATTTATTTATTTATATTTTTTCAGAATTGAATAATTTTATTTTTGCCTTAAGAAACTCTAAGAACCGGCAGTGGCTCACACGTGTAATCCCAGCACTTTGGGAGGCCGAGGCGGGCGGATCACAAGGTCAAGAGATTGAGACCATCCTGTCCAACAGGGTGAAACCCCACCTCTACTAAAAATACAAAAAATAGCTGGGCGTGGTGGCGCAGGCCTGTAGTCCCAGCTACTTGGGAGGCTGAGGCAGGAGAATCGCTTGAACCCGGGAGGCAGAGGTTGCAGTGTGCCGAGATGGGGCCACTGCACTCCAGCCTGGGCGACAGAGTGAGACTCCATCTCAAAAAAAAAAAAAAAAAAAAAGAAGCTCTGAGAACTAACATCAGGAATGGTTAATGAAACGTAGAAGTTAAAGTCATGACAGGGAAGATTGTAGAAGTATGAACATCACAACATTGGGAGAAATGAACGAGGTTTCCTATGGTTGACCAGCCAGGAAGCCAGTGCTGCTGAGTTGGCATTTAACTCTTTAGAATATGCACGCGTTGACAATACAAAATACCTTGATTAATGTTTACCATCTTTATCTTTTTGGTACAATAGGGGAAAATGTGGCGTCATTTCTTCACAGTGGTTGTGTGTGGGGGATCGTTACCACCAAAATCATAATAATCATTTATAGCATATTTTAAAGTTAGTCTTGCAAGATCGTTATGGCATTTTAAAATCTCTGTAGTTTGAACATTTTCATTTTATCATTTCTTTTAACAAATACTATTTCAAATAGTTCCTATCCAGAATATTTACAAGTAATTTAGCATAGAAGCAAATTTGAAGCTAACTTCAAAGAAGAAAAAAAAGTTCAATAGCCAGAGAGCTAAGGATAAGATAGAAAAACCACATAGTAATTTTAAACAGCATCTTGCTGCAGATTTCCAATCCAATGAATACCAGGAATGAAGGATTTTTTTCTCCCAAAGAAGTATTTCACATGAACTCTGAACCTTGGATATGGAAACTTCTAGAAAAACTGAAGACCCTGAGACACATGCAAGTAAGAGTCTTCTGGCAAAAATACAATTTAATTTTCCAGTTTCCCTCCTCTCAAAAAACTCCAGAGGATACCTTTAGTAGGCACAGAGTATAATGTCATGTTCAAAATTTACAAAGCACAGCAGCAGCAAATAATTACGTCCCTATCATTCAGAATGGATAGTTTTTCATTACAGAATTAGCTCCTGGTTTGTCATAATAGGCTTGTAGAAACTGCCAAGTTTTATTATGCAAACTAATTGACCTAGTAGTTGAGTCTGAAAGATCTGGAAGCTCTGTGGGCATCAGTGTCATTTACACTGGTAGAAGTAATTATGTCTAACTAGTGAAATAGCATTAATGAAACTCAAACAAATTTCCACTGATAACATTTCAGAGTGCACGCTATAGTCAAACAGCAATGTTATAAATACCTATGCAGAAAAGAAACAGATAGGGTGATTCCAGAGACCACAGAGTCTTAAGTTATAAGGTAATTTCAAATTTCCCAAGGGTTGGTTTACAAAATGGTTTGAAAGTCTAAACTTACAGAACAGAAAACAGATAAATGCACATCACTCTACCCCTTGGCAAGCAAAGGATATATATTTTTTTGTCTTATTGCATGAACTGATGCCTGATACCCTCAGCTACCAACTTAAGTAACGCTGAAACCCCTACCTTCAAGTCCAGCTTACCGTCAGATGAACTATGTATACATGGGAAATTATGATTAAAGCTTTACGTTCAAAGTCAAGTAATAGACTATTTTTAAAAATACATGGTAAGGAGAAAAAAATGTCTATGTTGAACAACTGAGAAACACTTAAGCGAGGTTACAAATGACTAATAACTATGCACAACAATCTTTTCCAGTATCAACTTTTTCCTTTGCGAAAAAAAATCATTTACAGACATTCAACAAGTTAATTCTGTTATAAATGATAGGCCATATGTATGTTCCAACCTGCTTCCTTTTAGTACTAGGACAGTGTAGTACCAGCACTTCAGTAAGTGTTAACTTTATTTTCTAAGTGTTTAAATATGTTTTGTTTTATGAGGCGGAGTCTTGCTCTGTCGCCCAGGCTGGAGTGCAGTGGCGCGATCTCCGCTCACTGCAAGCTCCACCTCCCAGGTTCACGCCATTCTCCTGCCTCAGCCTCCCGAGTAACTGGGACTACAGGCACCTGCCACCATGCCCTGCTAATTTTTTTGTATTTATAATAGAGACGGGGTTTCACCATGTTAACCAGATTGTCTGGATCTCCTGACCTCGTGATCCGCCCACCTCGGCCTCCCAAAGGGCTGGGATTACAGGAGTGAGCCACCACGCCTGGCCTAAATATGTGTCATTTTCAAAAGAAGAAATGTGATATTTATTGTTGTTAAGATAAATGGGAACTGACAAGCCTATATAACATTCCTTACGTAGTTTCTGATCGCTATAACATTGCCACAATTTGCAGATGAAATAAAACTTATTTTTGAAGGGGTAAAAACCTAACAGATCTTGCTGAAAGGAAAATACTAGAACACGGATTCAACTATTTCAAATAAAGACTTCCTATTGGAGATTCTAAGTAATATGAACATTTAAAAATATATGCCAGTAGGCTCCCACCTGAAATACATAAAAGTCTCACCTATGGAATCTATCATTTACAAGGATTTATACATAAAGATTCATTTGGTGGCTTTCAAATTCCAAATTTGAACATTTTCATGGGAATATTTCCAACCCTAAGAAGCAAAAGGGAAATCTCCATTCAATTCCATTCTCTATCATGTGACAGCCACAGAATTAAAAATACGTGCAACCGGTGAAACCCAGTCTCTACTAAAAATACAAAAAATTAGCCGGGCATGTTGGCAGGCGTCCGTAGTCCCAGCTACTCGGGAGGCTGAGGCAGGAGAATGGCATGAACCCAGGAGGCGGAGCTTGCTTGCAGTGAGCCGAGATCGCGCCACTGCACTCCAGCCTGGGGGACAGAGCGAGACTGTCTCAAAAAAACAAAAAACAAAAAAAAAAAAACACGTGCAACAGAACTTTTCACATCCTCCTGTCTGCATTACAGATATTTGTTTTTTACCCACGGAGACCGTATTGCAAAGGTATAAAGTGGTCTACCCAACAAAGTATTTTACAGATGATGGCGATGAAAGCAAGGATTAATTCTAATTAGCTAAATCTAATTTGTTCTTCAGAGGAGAGACTTGTCTGCAAGGTTGCAAGGGAGGGTAGCAGGAAGTTGCTGTCCACTTGGACTAGCAGAATACACAACTCAAGTGGAGATTTATTCTGACATTTTCCAGAACAACTCTAAAACTCTAAAACTTCTTACTTACTCTTTATGCCATCTACAAGACACAACACACATTTATTGTCTCAATGTTAAGAAAACTGAGAAGCCAGCACTAAAGTGCTAACATGGAAGGGAAAGTTGTAAGAGGTACTAGGGTATGCTAATAACTCCAGTTTTCTACTCTCCATGCCTGCTTCAGAGAGCCACTGCTTCTCCTTCTCGGGCCACAGGGAAGGCTGGGAGTCCCCCGGCAACAACAAGGGCACTCCCCGGCGATTCTGTCCCTTCCTTAAACTTCGCTCCAGTCTTGGTCGACGTGGACGCAGCCGCCGCCTCATTATATTTTTTAAAACACATGAAAAGTCATGTCATATTCTAGCCATATAACAAATGAACCGTTTCGGATCACAAATCCCAAACCCAGTCAAAAGCGTGTAGCCATTGTCTTAAATTCCAAGTCATTGGTTCAGATGAAACCTGTGAAGCTAAAAATCTACTAAATCCATTTTTAGGAAGAAGAAAAAACCACCCTGCCACAAACCAGCAAACTAATCGCACCTGTATGTTCACAGGGATGGGATGCGCAAAGCAAACCCTGCCGTGTGAAGGCAGCTGAGACAAAGAGCTGGCCAGGTAGGTCCCTGCCCGGCCATCCCCCGTCACAGTACCTGCTGAGGCTGCAGAGCAGGGGCCCAACACGCAGACACCCAACGTGCAGTGCAGGCCACGGGCGGGGCTTCTGCCCAAAACCAGCTGTACCAGGCGCCATCCTGACACCTGCCCGCCCGGGAGAGCAGAACACAGTGGGAGATCCAGGGGCTTCTTCGGAAGAGCACCGAGAGATCCCGTCTCCTCCGCAGGCTCCCTCTCTCCGGGCCAGGCCTGCCCTTCACAGCACAGAGTTCACCCTTAGTGTCCCCAAGGCCCTGGACTTCTTGGGTGTGCTGGTGTCTCTCTGACTTTCTCCCTTTGGACTTTCTGGTAACTCTGGCCCTCCAGGGCAGCTCTGGTACTTGGGAAGCCTCTAGAAAGACTTGGGCAGAGGCAGCGATGGCCTAGGCCCACTCAACCCAGAGAGCTCTGAAGACACGCCCTGCCTTCTGGGAGAACTGCCTGGTGCCTCCTCAAGCAGATCCTGGGGGGCCCTGTGTGGGGGTCAGTTCCCTGTCCTCAAGGAGCTCACTTTGACTCTGGGGCAAACCTAGTGTGGGTGGTCGGCATCAGCCATTGTCCATGTGGGGAGACTGAGGATCAGAGGGGCACATCCAGCCTGGGAAAGCCAGACCACGCGCAGCTCTTGGCATTGTCCTCACCTGCTCCGTCAGCAACACCACCCCCTGGGGGGCAGCTGGGTGACCCCCATCTCACAGCAGGGGAGACAGGGCTTCGAAAAGCCCCTGTGCAAAGCAGAGCTGGGACTTGAGGCCATGGGATTTGGTGCAGAGGAGACAGCTTGGATCCAGGGACAAGCTCTGCCAGCAGGGAGGACAGGACTGGGTGATGGGAGCTTAGTTTTGGAATAAAAAATCTGCAAAGGAGCCTATCTGTCCAGTAAGCACCACAGAAACAGAGTTCCCAGTGGCAGCCACCATTCCTTGAGGGCCTCCCCTGTGTCTAGCACTTTCCAGAGTTTTCTCTCTGATTCCTCCACTCAGACCTAGTAGGGACAACTGCAGGGCCTGGGCTGCAATGGTGGGGCTGGGCTGCAGTGGTGGGCTGGGCTGCAGTGGTGTGTCTGGGCTGCAATGGTGGGCTGGGCTGCAGTGGTCGGGCTGAGCTACAGTGGTGGGGCTGGGGTGCAGTGGTGGGCTGAGCTGCAGTGGGTGCAGTGGTGTGTCTGGGCTGCAGTGATGGGCCTCAGCTGCAGTGGTGTGTCTGGGCTGCAGTCGTGTGTCTGGGCTGCAGTGGTTTTTCTGGGCTGCAGTGGTGAGGCTGTGCTGCGGTGATGGGGCTGGGCTAGCGCTTCACGTGTGGGTCTCTCACGCCTGGTAAACCAAATGCCCTGCAGCAAGGAGTCCACACAGGAGCCTGCCAGGGGCGGCTGCTGATGGCTCCGGCTTCTGCACCACTTGCCCGGGGATGTGGGGGCTCCGTATACCCTAGTATTGTTACCAGAAAGGAGTCCCAGTCCAAACCCCAAGACAGGGTTCTTGGATCTCAGCTGAGTATACTTATACTGATTTCTGGATTATAGGCTCAACAACAGGTGGATTGTTTGTGAGTTTTCCAAGAAAGGGGAGGGGATTTTTCTGAACTGAGGGTCCCTCTCCTTTTTAGACCATATGGGGTAACTTCTGGACGTTGCCATGGCATTTGTAAACTGTTGTGGCACAGGTGGGAGTGTCTTTTAGCAGCTAATGCATTATAATTAGCGCATAATGAGCAGTGAGGACAACTGGAGGTTCCTTTTGTCGCCATCTTGGTTTTGGTGGGTTTTGGCTGGCTTCTTTACTGCATCCCGTTTGATCAGCAGGGTCTTGGTGACTTGTATCTTGTGATACTAATCCTGCCAACCTCCTATCTTATCCTGTGACTAAGAATGCCTAACCCCCTGAGAATGCAGTGCAGAAGGTTCAGCCTCATTTTACCCAGTCCCTATTCAACATGGAGTCGCTCTAGTTCACTCGCCTCTGACAGTGATGATCTATCCTTTACTGGGGCTCAGCCTTCACCCACTGAGGGGCCCTGGATGGAAGCATGTGTTTGCTTGGTGGGGATGACAAGTCGAATTTCCCAGCCCCTGTGATCCAGAGGCTCTTCCAAGACACCGGGACTGGAGAGGAGTGGGGGGCCTAGATGGGGGTGGGCACAAGAGGCTGGTGATGGCTTCAAGAGGGGAGGGGCACACTTGCCAGGAAGAGGCTGAGTGCAGCAGAGAGCAGCGGGACTGACATTTGAGGCAAGGGTCCTGTGGAGGGAGGAGGGAAGAAGTTGGAGAGTGATGCCTGGAGGCCAAGGTGGCACCACTGGGCCCTTCCGCAGCTCCTGGGGGGAAACTGGGTTGGGCCCAGGTGAGCAGAAGGGAAGGGAGGGTTCACCCTGGGAGTGCAGGGTGGGTGCTGGTTTAGGGTGAGGACCTGGGGAAGCAGGAGAGGTTAGGAGAACGACCACGCTGAAAGTGAAACCGCCTTTGCAAAAACTCTATCAATTAGAAAAATTGTAAGAGTGAGCTGAGCTAACCCGCCCCTCATCTTTCCTTTCCCTTAATGATTCCTGGGCTTTTGGGCTGAGCTAACCTTGGGAGACATTTAATTTATAGTTTAAATAACAGCAGGCCTCCCCCAAAACTCTTCTGCCTGTGTAAACCTAATGAAAAGCTATGAGGCGAGAGGGAGAAGCTAAGGTGTAGACCTCTCTAGCAAAATACACAATTTCCCCAACTGTAGATTGGTCTTTTGAGATATCTTTTCAGGTTTTTTGCAGGTCTGATACCCATGGCTCTACCTGGAACCCCCAACCTCACTCCTGTGACACCCCCCTAAGAAGCGATTTAGCCTGCAGGAGGACAGCTTTGACCCTCCATGAGTTCATGTCTGCCCCAGCCAATCAGTACCTGTTACTTGGCCACCCCTGACCCCCCAAACTGCCTTGAGAAACCCCTAGCTATGAGCCTTTGATGAGATGATTTGAGTACAAACTCTCTCTACCATGTGGTTGGCCTCATGTCTATTAAACTCTTTCTTTACTGGAATGCATGGTCTTTATTTAGAAAGGGAGCAGGAGGAACCCCTTGGGTGGTTACAGAGGGCAGGATGAAATCCCTTTGAAATGAGCAGTACAGAACTCCAAAGGAAGAGATGGGGTCTGTGTGTTTCTTCTGCCACCTGAAATAATTGAAAGGTTCAAAATCCAATGTTATAGAGTTTATTCGAACTCTAAGTTTGACGACCACCACTCAAAAAACACAGACTCTAAAGGAATGGGCTCAGTGCTCTGAGGTGGAGGGATTTGGGCTTCACTTAAATGGGAAAATACAAGGAGGTTTAGCATGATTACATTTTCCACATAAGATTGGCTTATGAGTTGCAGCAATTTGTTTGGTTATATCCTGTTCCCTTCGGGAAAAGTATATTTAACATACTGTCTTATGGAATTTGATAGGCATGGGGTCTTTTGTACCATCTGGTCTGAGTTGGGTGCAAGAAAAGAAAGAAGTTAATTCGTAACAAAAGGTCAGTAACTAAGAAAGGGAAGGGGTCTTACATCTGGTGCCATTTAGTCTTTCATAACATTTTACAAATCAAGAAAGGAAGAGCGTTAATCTATAATTGGAGAAGCAAAGTTCACAGCGACTTGCTGCTTGACTAGGGTGTCAGAATCACATTCTTTCAAGGCTGGAAGTAATTTAAAGTTCCAACAGCTTTAATCTGATGAGCTTATTGTCGACAAAAAGAGTCAAACTCTGAAAAATATTTGAAGAGATTTATTCTGAGCCGAATCTGAGTGACCAATGGCCCGAGACAGAGACCTCAGGAGGGCCTGAGAACATGTGCCCAGGGTGATCTGGGCACAGCCTAATTGTATACATTTTAGGGAGACATGAGACATCAATCAAATACATGCAAGATCCACATTGCTTCTGTCCAGAAAGGTAGGACAACTCGAAGGTGGAGCAGGGAGGTTCCAGGTTATAGGTAGATTCAAAATTTTTTTATTGGCAATTGGTTGAAAGAGTTATTATCACTAGAAAGGAGTGTCTAGGTTATGATAAGGGGTTGTGGAGACCAAAGTTTTATCATGCAAAGGAAGCCTCCAGGTAGCACGCTTCAGAGAGTATAGATTGTAAATGCCACTAATCAGACTTAAGGTCTGTGTTAATGTTCATGCTGGTCAGCTTTGCTGAATTCCAAAAGGGAGGAGGACATAAATGAGGCATGTCCACTCCACCTTCTCTTCACAGCCTGAACCGGTTTTTCAGGTTAACTTTGGAGTGCCCTGGCCAAGAGGAGGGGTCCATTCCGATGGCTGGGGGAGTGGGCTTAGAATTTTATCTTTGGTTTACACTACTTTCAAGCTGCGAACATCATAAGCCACCTTCTGCCAGGTGTGGCCCTGGGGAGGGGTCCCTTAACATGTGATAGGAGGTGCCACCACGGCTAGGCAGCTACTTGTCATTAGACCACAGAAGAGCCTCTTGGACCTGGGGAAGGACCTGTGAGACTCTGTGAAGAGGAAAAGTCAGTTTTGAATCAAACCCATTTTATAAATAAGAAAAATTACAAAACGCTTCTCAGAAGGCGGCGGGGTGGGGGGCGGTGGGGAGGGGGACCCAGGGCACCTAAAGGCTAATTCTTGCTAGAGTCATTTAAATTTTAACTTAAATTTTCTAATGTTGCTAATAGACTTAATTATCTGTTCACACCTTTTAAAAATGGCTAAACATGGCTGAGCGTGGTGGCTCATGGCAAAATCCCAGCACTTTGGGAGGACGAGGAGGGTGGATCACTTGAGGATATGAGTTTGAGACCAGCCTGGCCAACATGGTGAAACTCCATCTCTACTAAAAAATACAAAACTTAGTCAGGTGTGGTGGCAGGCACTTGTAATCCCAACTACTCAGGAGGCTGAGGCAGGAGAATCACTTGAACCTGGGAGGTGGAGGTTGCAGTGAGCCCACATTTCACGACTGCACTCCAGCCTGGGTGACAGAGGGAGACCCGTCTCAAAAAATAAAAAATAAAAAAAGGAATGGCTAAACATAAACATTACTTTTACAATCAAAACCATTTCAAAGGCCTTACTTCACTGGATTCTCAGCCAGTGCTGCCCCCAGAGCAGAAGGCAGCTGTGGCAAGCAGAGGGGCGGCCCCACCTCCACCTGGAAGATTCCTGCTCAGATCCTGGGTCACCTGCCCAACTGATGATGCCCCAGCTGCTCCTGCTGCGAAGCCGAACCCAGAACCCACTCAGGTCTGGTCCCCACTCCGCCCCCAGCACCCCTAGTGCGGCCACGCGGGAGGATGGGGCCCGAGGCTGCAGGGGAGGAAGCGGGTGGATCAAGGCAAGCCTCGCCTCGCCTCGCCTCACCCATGGGTGTTGGTTTTTGTTTTTTAAACCAAACAGAGCAGAGAGGGGCAAGGAAGCAAAAATGACTCAAGCCCACAGAGGCAGCAGCTCTCCCTGTGCTGGGCACATGCCCAAGGCTGGCTTTGGGGACAAAGAATAATCAAAGATGACACTTTGGGGCTGCCCTCTCCCCAGCCCTCCTGGGCAAAGTCGGTGCATCCCAGGAGTCAGCCTGGACTTGAACCTCTGACACCCGATTGCTGCTGGCCTGGTGCAGGGACCCGAGGGGCCCGAGGACACAGGAAAGGGCCTGGAGGGAGAGAGCAGCCGGACTCCGCCCAAGCAATTTAGGCGCCTGCCTCATCTGTGGTCCCCCACACCCCCAGCTCACCAAGCAGCAGGACAACCCCTGGAAATCCCCCAGGGAGGCGGGGCGCAGGGATTGCAGTGAGGCCCTGTGCCCAGGCTGGCTGTGCCCTACCTGCGGGAAGAGTCACTCCAGTCCCTCTGGGCTGGTCCAGGTGCAACCACAGTAGGACACAGGTCAACTCCAGTGAAATGTGGAGGGAGGAAGGGTGTGCCTGCCTGCTCCTTCCCCTCCCTTGCAGGGAGGGGCGGTTGCCCTCAGCAACAGAATGCCCACGTGGGATACTGGAAGCTTCAGCTTACCCCACCCCACCCCTCCAGGCCCGGTTTGTCCTGGGCGCAAGGGGCTACTTCAGAGCTGCCAGGCCTCCACAGCAACACATTAAATGTTCTGGAAACTAGGAGATGTGGCACTGCTGTACAACGGTCAGGAATAGCCATCCTGTCCTCCTGACCCGGTGAAAACCAGCTTCTGCTGGGAAGGAGCATGGGGTGGCGCCTGGCTTTTGGAGTCAGGAAGAACCAGGCTTAAGTAATAGAACTGCCTGACCTCCAGCTTGTCTCTTCAGCTCCCAGGTCTGTGCTCGATTTGGGATTATTGGGTGGGGCACATAAGAAGCTGCGTTCTGTGCTCTCAGGGTGCTGGACGCTGTTTCAGGTACCAGTACACACCAGAGGGAAGAGAGTGCCTGATGGCATGGTGATTGATTTTAGTGGAGACAGCTAGACACTAAACCAGGAGTTCTGTCATGCCAGTTGGTGATAAATTGATTTCTTGAAGATTTTTCCACTTCCAGGCAAGGTAGAATAGATGCACCTGTCCCCACGCCCTACACTAAGGACAGTTAAAATCTCTGTATATTTCCCCGGGTATTACACATACATATATAACTACATACATAAACGTATGTATATCAAACACTAAAAGGTGGAGAGAAGAAGGCAGACCATGTAGGGACCTTGGGACCTGAGGAATGACATGACAGGAGTTCCCTGGGTTTTCTTTCTGCCTCATATATCTGTGACTGTGTGCTGGAAAAGCCAGCAACACGAAACACCAAAAGACACAGACAAAAACCAACAACAACAAACCCAACAAGTTGGCCCTCAGCCAAAATAATTAGGCAAGAGGAAGAAATAAAAGGTATCCAAATTGGAAAGGAAGAACTTAAATTGTCCCTGTTTACAGATGACATGATCTTATAGAAAACCCTAAAGATTCCACCAATAAGATGTTAGAATAAATGAAATCAGTAAAGTTGCAGGATATAAAATTAACATACAACAATCTGTAGCATTTCTATACCCTAACAAAGAAATCAAGAAAACAATGTCATTTACAATAGCTACAAAAAATACTTGCAAATAAATCCAACCAAGGAAGTGAAAGATCTGTATGCTGAAAACTATAAAACATTTGTGAAAGAAATTGAAGATACAAATAATTAGAAAGCTGTCCCATATCTGAGATCAGGTGCCAAAAAAAAGACATCCCATGTTCATGAATTGGAAGAATTAATATTGTTAAAATGTCCATACAACCCCAAACAATCTACAGATTCAATGCAATCCCTATCAAAATTTCATTGACATTTTTCACTGAAATAAATAAAATAATCCTAAAATTCGTATGAGGGAGTAACACCTGCTCCACAGTGGCACAAAGCACTGTCAGGTGCCACACACAGCCTGTTGGGACATGTGGGCCACAGTACTTCCCCACCTAAAGTACTGTAGAGGCCCAGGAGACATGAGCCAGGGCCATTTTAACTGTCAGTAATGGCCACAAAGACCCCTAAATAGCCAAAGCAATCTTAAGCAAAAAGAACAAAGCTGGAGACAATACACTACCTAACTTCAAGATATACTATAAAGCTATAATAATCAAAACATCATGGTATTGGCATAAAAACAAACAGACCAATGAAACAGAATAGAGAGCCCGGAAGTGAATCCATGCATTTACGGTCAACTGATTTTTGACAGAAATGCCAAGAAACACAATGTGGAAACGACAGTCTGTTCAATAAATGATGTTGGGGCCAGGTGCAGTGGCTCATGCTTATAATCCTAGCACTTTGGGATGCCGAGGTGGAAGGACCACTTGAGGCCTCCCTCCAGGCTCCGGAAGAGACCTCCTCCATGATCCCTTGTCTAAGGGGAAGGTTCCTCAGGACCTTACCGTGGGGGCTGAAGGTGGCCACCCCTCCAGGAACTTATGCCCCAGGCGCTGAATTTGGGCTGCCTAAGTCTGTGTGCGTGAGTCTGTGTTTGTGTGCATGTCTGCATGTCTGTGTGTTTGCATGCATGTCTGTGTGTCTGTGTGGTCTATGTGTCTGTGTGTACACTTCTGTATGTCTTTCTCTGTGCATTTTTGCATGTGTCTCCATGTGTCTCTGTGCATGTCTGTGTGTCTATATGTCTGTGTCTTTGTATCTGTGTATCTGTGTCTGTGTGTCTTTGCGTGTCTGGTGTGTGTCTGTGTGTGTGTGTCTATGTTTGTGTGTCTGTGTCTCTGTGTGTCTGTGTCTGTGTATGTAATGGTGCGTCTCTGTGGCAAGAAGAGGGTGTGTGTGATTGTGTGTATGTGTGTCTTTCTGTGTGTGTCTGTGTGTGTAATGGTGTGTCTCTGTGGCGGGGAGGGGATGTGTGTGATTGTGTGTCTGTGTGTGTGTCTGTGTATGTCTGTGTGTGTCTGTGTATGTAATGGTGTGTCTCTGTGGCAGGGAGGGGCTGTGTGTGTCTTTCTGTGTATGTGTGTGTAACGGTGTGTCTCTATGGCCGGGAGGGGGTATCTGTGATTGTGTGTCTGTGTGTGTCTGTGTATGTAATGGTGTGTCTCTGTGGCGGGGAGGGGCTGTGTGTGATTGTGTGTCTGTGTGTGTCTGTGTATGTAATGGTGTGTCTCTGTGGCGGGGAGGGTGTGTGTGTGATTTTGTGTCTGTGTGTGTCTTTCTGTGTGTGTCTGTGTATGTAATGGTGTGTCTCTGTGGCGGGGAGGGGCTGCGTGTGATTGTGTGTCTGTGTGTGTCTTTCTGTGTATGTGTGTGTAATGGTGTGTTTCTGTGGCCGGAAGGGCGTATCTGCGATTGCGTGTCTGTGTATGTAATGGTGTGTCTCTGTGGCGGGGAGGGTGTGTGTGTGATTTTGTGTCTGTGTCTTTCTGTGTGTGTCTGTGTATGTAATGGTGTCTCTGTGGCGGGGAGGGTGTGTGTGTGATTTTGTGTCTGTGTGTGTCTTTCTGTGTGTGTCTGTGTATGTAATGGTGTCTCTGTGGTGGGGAGGGGGTGTGTGTGATTTGAGGTGGGGACGGGGCCTAGGCTTCAGTTACTCACAACAGGACGGACAAAGGAAACAGAGTTTACCCGTTCTGCTAAAACCAAGGGCGGGAGGGGGACGGGGCTGCCGGCAGCCCTCCCAGAGCCCCTGGCAGCCGCTCACGGGTTCCGGACCGCCTGGTGGTTCTTGGGCACCGCAGTGAACCTCAGCTTCCTCAGGACGGCGGGCCAGCCCAGCAGCTGCTGGTCCCACAAGTACTCGGGGGAGAGCACCTTGGTGGGTTTGTGGCGCAGCAGGTACTTGTTCAGGTGGCTCTCGTCGTGCCACACGGCCTCGATGCCGTTGGCCTGGTCGACCATCATGGCCTGGTGGCAGGCCCTGGTGAGCCGCTGCACCTCTTGCACCGACCCCCCGAAGAACCCCCCCAGGTAGTAGAAATCGCCCTCGTCCTTGGGGATGTAGGCCTGGGACTGGGGCCGGCGCTCGTAGGTGAAGGCCTCCCGGCTGCTTCCGTAGAAGCCGGGGTGCAGGGTGCCGAACAGCGGAGTCAGGATCTCCACGCCCACGTGGTCGCGGAACTCCATGTCCACGTCCACGCACACCAGGTAATCCACCTCGCTGAGGAAGCGCCGCTCGCAGAAGTCACTGATCATCTCCATGCGGCGCATGGACACGTCCTGCCAGCGCTTGTAGGCGCGCACCTCCAGCACTGACAGCTGCCGACCGGTCCCCAGCGTCACGCGGGGCACCGCGGCCAGCTGGTCGGTGAAGACATAGTAGTGGACACGGTGGCCCACCATGAAGTGCTTCTCCGCCGTCTCCAGGAACAGCTTCAGGAAAGCCACGTATCTGCAAGGCAGGCGGACGGGGGCTGGGGGAGCCGCCGGCCGTGCACCCCTGGGCTGCAGGAGGCCCGTCCTGCACCCGCCCGCCAGCGGCCATTGGAAGGCTTAGAGCAGCAGATGCACCACGTTCTCCTGCCCTGTCCTGAGCGAGTCCTCGGGCTGCGATTCACTTCATCCTCTTCCCAGCGATGGGGGACCACCAGCACCCCCTCTTACTAAGGAGGGCTGAGGGCAGGTGGCTGGAGGCTGGTAGCAGGCCGCAGGCTGGCGTCCGCTCACTCCCCCTCAGCCTGGCCTGAGCCACGCCTCCCCACGCAGCTGCCCCTCTTATGGCCAGGCCGGCCACGTGCTCCCTCATTATAAGCTGCACGCGAGGCCTCCACACACCCGCCTCTGCACCCTAGAGCTTCCTCCCTCCAGGCTTGAACTGCACCTATTCCTAAGAGTAAGTCATTCCTGGCCTCCGCCACTGTCGCTGGCCCAGCTGCCCACAGCTGCCGAGAAGTCAAGTATGTGTCTGCGGTTGCCTGGCTAGCTCCCTCTCTGGCCTGGCCCAGAGTCCCAGGGCCTTGTGGGTCAGCCACTTCCTTTGGTGTCTGGGGCCAACTGCTTTGCCTGCCCCACCTACATCTGACAGAGAAGTGACCACGGCTCTGCCAGCATCCTCTTTCTAGGGTCCAAGGACAGCAAACAGGTGTCCCCCTCCTGCTATCTCTGGTCAGTGAGCAGGAAACATCTGGAGCCTTGTATTGAGGGGGTGGCTCAGCATGACGGCCGGCCACAGTTACAGAGAGGAGGGGGCAGCAGAAGCCACCATCCCTGGGTGAGACGCAGCCTCTGGAGAAGGAGCTGGGTTTTACCGACCTGGCGAGCCCACAAGCCCACGAGCCCACGTGAGCTCAGTAAGATGCTGCATGAATGACCTTTCCCATCTACCCTCTGGGAGGACAAGGCTGGCCGCCACCCCACTCTGTCTTGAACACAAGGAGAGACCTCAATGTCCACAGTCACTCGCCACTGCCTGGGTCTCTACCCTCGGCCACCTCACTGACTTACTTCTTGATGGCAAACACAGTTAACCCAATGGTGGTGTTCTGGAGCCTGAACTGCTCGTTGAGGATGTCGATGTTGAATGTGCCCTCCCAGACAATGGGAGCCAGCCAAGGGGTCACCACGAGGACATCCTTCCTACTGCACATGGAGAGAGGCGTGCGGTCACATGGAGCTGGCAGGGTGCCACCCACATGCGCCTCTGGCACACGGCCGCCCCCACCTGGAAACTCCACTCAGCTTCTGCCTCCTCTGACCACCCTTCCAGAGGCAGCCGCCCTTCCCCGGGAAACCAACCAGAGGCAAATGCGACTCCAACCGGGCAAATCATTCCCAGCCCTCCCTCAACATTGGACCTGCGGGAACACACAGCAAGCTGAGCTTTGCTGGCAAAGAGATAGGAACAAACCCTCCCCAGCACCCAACCCCCGCTGCCCCTCCCCAGGTAGGAGGTACCTATCAGGCCTTTGCAGGGGCTTTGGAGAACAAAGGGACAGGAAACAAGAGACGCAAGTCAGAGAAAGCAAAGGGAAAGAGGACAGCCATGTGGGCCTCTGAATTCAGATGTCAGGAGAATCTGAGAGGAGAGAACGAAGCAGCCCCAACTGAGATTTACATCAAGGAAACCGCCCTCTAATACCTTCAGAACAGCCCCTTGAGCTGCGTTCAGTTTCAGTGTCAGTAACTTTACTCACCACGGTGTCAGCACCTTTGGCTGGGGGTAGACCATCCTGCAAGCACAAAGCGCCGCCACGTGAGTTTGCATGGAAAGCGTGGGATGCAGGTAAGCAGGGGTGTGCACAGCCGCTGAACCATGACTGGGCATTGACCCTCCCGCCAAGGCCACACTCCCAGGCTGGAATCACTGTGGTTGCTTGGGGGCTGTGTCAGCTCATAATCCCGGGAACTCGGGAAAGGGCCAAAGCTCAGAGTCTCTGATTCAGCACTTACAAACTGGCAAGAGGGACTAAGTGACCTCAGGGGCCATTGCTTTCCACTTGACTTAAGGCTGGGAGGGACGTAAGGGGTTGTGTCTCAATTCACTGTGGGCAGAGAGGAGGCTGGGTGTGTGGCCTCTGTCCCTGGTTGTTCCCAGGGAAAGGCCCTGAGATGTGCAGACCTCCCCACCTGGGCCCGAAGCCTGCTGGGCCTCCTTGTGGGCTGCTGGCTTCCAGAGCCCGGCTTCCTCTCTGAGAAGTGGGAGAGTGACACCTGCTCCACAGTGGCACAAAGCACTGTCAGGTGTCACACGCAGCCTGTGGGGACGTGTGGGCCACAGTACTGTCCCCACCTAAAGGATTGTAGAGGCTCAGGAGACATGAGCCGGGGCCATTTTAACTGTCAGTAATGGCCACAATTTGAATGTCCAAGATGGCCTTTAAAAGCAGGGAGTCAGCAGAAAACAGGAAGGAAATTCTGACACTTGGTACAACCTGGATGGACCGTGAGGACATCACGCTCAGTGATTTGAGCCCGACATAAAAACACAGGTACCATTGACTCCACTTATAAAAGGTAGTTGGAGTAGCAGACTCATAACAACAGACCATGGAATGGTGAGCTGGGGGAGGGAAAATGGAGTTGCTATTTTATGGGGACAGAGCTTCAGGTTGGCAAGATGAAAAGAGTTCTGGAGATGGATGGTGGTGATGGCTGCACAGCAATGTGAATGGACTTAAAGCTACTGAACACTCCAAAATGACTAAGATGGCAAATTTTATGTTAAGCGTATTTCATCACAATTTAAAAAAAATCAAAAGCAGTGTGGCCAGCTTGGCCTTGATTGCCTAGGTCAGCACTGATAAAGGCCCACATCCTGGGAAACAGCCCTCCAAGGCCCCAGACAGAACAGACCAGCTGGTCATCTTCTTTAAAAGCCAATTTGAAGGCCAGGTGCCGGGGCTCATGCCTGTAATCCCAGCACTTTGGGAGGCTGAGGCGGGCGGATCATTTGAAGTCAGGAGTTCAAGACTAGCCTGGCCAACATGGTGAAACGCTGTCTCTGCTAAAAATACAAAAATTAGCCAGGTGTGGTGGTGGGCGCCTGTAATCCCAGCTACTCAGGAGGCTGAGGCAGGAGAATCACTTGAGCCCAGGAGGCAGAGGTTGCAGTGGGCAGAGATGGTGCCAATGCACTCCAGCCTGGGCGACAGAGCGAGACTCCATCACACACACACACACACAAAAGCCGGCGACACGCATTTGGTCAAAACTGAAGCTCCAGCTCCATCGTGCTCTCTGAGTGGCTGCAGGACGAGGGCCAAGTCAGGGTAGAGACTGGGGAAGGAGCGGCCCCCTCCCTCGGAGCCACAGGAGGAAAGAGGACCTGCCCCAGCTCCCACATGGCACACATGTGCCAGGGCTGCAGGACAATTCTGTGACATGGGAGCCACTGAAGGGAGGCACTGACATTATACCTTGGCAACGAGACGCGCTGCAGATGGTCAGGTTCCCTAACAGCCATGCTGCAGAATGAGAACACAGGAGATGAAGTTTAGTCTAGGAGCAGGATTTAGGGCACAAGTGCATGGAAGCCACCCGAGGGTCCCAGTGGAAGGGGCACAGCGTCAGCCTGGAGTGTGGAGCAGAGGCCACCAGAAACAGTCACAGAACAACCATCACTGTGGCGATGGGCCTGACGTGGGCCCGTGTGCCAGACCCTGTAACGGCCAGCGTTGCAGTCTGAGGTCTACGTTCGGGGAGCCTCACAGCCCACACATTCACCAGACACGTCGAAGCCAAGGCCGGGCAGAGTGGAGTTTCAGAACATGTCTACAAACCATGAGGCCCCCTCCCATCAAGAGATGGGGTCTGATATTCTGTGTTTCTAAGAAATAAATGCAGCAGAAGTGATGCTGGGTGACTTCTGAAGCCAGGCCCAAAAAGGTGATCTGGCTTCTGTCTCATCTTTCTTGGGATGTTGGTCTTGGAGCCTCCCAACCAAGCTAAGCAGGAGCCCAGGCCCCAGGGAGAGGCCCTGGGTAGGTGTCTCAGATGACAGCCAGCATCAACTGCCAGAGATGCAGGGAAGTCTTTGCAGTGACCCCAGCCACTGTCTGCCCATGACTGCTGAGGCCCCAAAGTGAACCACCCAGCTGAGCCCAGTCCACCCCAGGAAGCCCAGGGAGAGATAGTAATCAATGATTGTGATTGTTTTCCATGGATGGAGTGGTGTGTTCTGCAGCCATGGATCACTGACACGAGTGGGAATTAGCAGACACAGCAGGGGAGAGACAAGAGTGGTCCCAACAGAGGCCATAGCACAGGCAAAGGCCTGGAGTCAGGACAGTATGGCAGGTGGACGAGTGACAGGCCACGTTGGCTGGAGCACAGAGGGCGAGGGCAGAGGAGGGAGAGATGAGGCTGGGGAGGTCAGGAAGGCAGGATCAGATCATGGAGAGCCTCCTACCTTATGTTCTGGAAAGATCACTCCAGCTGCTGTGAGAAGAAGGGGGACAGGGCTGATGGGGATGGGGAGACAAGTCTGAGGCTGTCACAGAGATGAGGGCAGCCCCACCGGAGCCCTGGAGCAGGACGTCGAAGGCAGGGAGGCCAGTGGGCACGCGAGCTGCTGAAGAGCAGGGCTGGCAGGATTTGGGAACCCAGTGTAGGGGTGAGAGCAAAGGGAGAGTTGAGGATGGCTGGTGGAGGAGGGGTGGGGATGGGGGAGCAGAGACCATGCATGGGAACTCTGGGTAAGCCTGGAGTTGGGGACTGGAGGTCAGAAGGGAGGTCAAGGCTGACTCCAGAGGTATCCAGGTGACCCTTCAAGGCCACAGAGTTGAGCATGTCTACACTGGGCAGAGCATAGAGAGCGGGCCCAGGAAGGGGAGGGGGAGTTCCCAGAGTGGGACCCCCGCCCACAGCCAGCACCCCGGCCAGCATGGATGCTCCACCTGCTCTTCCCTGCACTCACCAGAACCCCCGTTCCAGGCTTCCTGGCATTAGACTTCTGGGGCTTAGGACCCCGTAACTGCAGAAAGGAAGTGTGCCAAGACTCAGGACACAGAACGAAGACTGCCTGTTGGTCCCTTCCTCCAAAAAGTGCATGGTGCGGCCAGCAGCGTGAGCACAAGAGTTCCCGGTGAAGCTGCAAGGCCTCGAGGCAGGTAGGGCAAGTTCTCAGCAAAGCTCAGGCGCCTCGCCACGTCCCACACCGGGAGGTGGGCAGGAGGGTGGTCCCTGGGATATTGCTCACGTATGGGCACCTGCTGGAGCTCCAGAGCCCCAGCTCCCTCACCCCCCGCCACCAGTGCCTTGGTCAGTGCAGTCCCTGAGGCCACGTCAGGGAGTGTTTCCAGACCGTGTCCAGAGATGCCCCAGTAGAGGTGACAGGTGACTTCACTCTTGGTTCTGGGACCTTCTGTGTCTGGAAGCGACTAACAGCTTGGGACCCAGAATTGCCTTCCCCACCCCCAGCCACGCAATTGTGGGCAAGGGGCTTGCTCTCCCAGCCCCAGACTCCACACTTAGGAAAATTTTAAATGGGAGTGAGATGAGCCTGTTGCCCAGGTGAGGCTAAAATAAGGGAGCAAGTAAGCACACCCTCCGCCAGAGCTGGACGCAGGCAATAACTGTCCTTAGGACCCTGATAACTGTGATACTTGGGGAGCTCAGGGAGGCCCCATGGGTCTGATTGGCTGCTGTGGTCACTTCTCCCCAAACCAGGCCAGCCTCGATGGTCAAATGTGTCTTACCCAAACAAGACCAAGACAAGCATTATTAGGAAAAGGATCATAGGTCGAAGTGCGTGGCATTTTGGTTTTCCTGGAAAACAGGAGTAGAAAAATCACATCACTCACCCTCCTTCTCTCACCTGCCCCACTTTACCTGTCCCGCCTTGTAATTCAGGCATCACACCCTGCGACGGGCCTTCATCTGCCAAGATGGTCCCTCTGCCCCACAGGTGATGCTCTGAGCCCCACCTGAGCATCTCCAAACCCAGTCCAGATCTGGCCCTCCTCCCACTCAGAGAAGAGGGAGGCGGTCTGCTCCTCCCAGCTCATCAGCCCGACTGCTCCTGCAGACTCTGAGAGCCACCCCGGCTTCCCATTGACCTCCTTCCACTCAGCACCCCCTTCCCCTGGGAGACCGGAATGAACCACACTGAAATGAGCACGTCGAGGTCACTGTCGAACCCACCGAGGGAGGCCAGGACAGCCTCATGGCCAGGCTGAGCCAGGAGCCCAGACCAGTTCCTGCCAGGGAGAGGAGCCACCAACTTCCCCTAGTATCTCCCTGCTGTCTCAGAGGCTCATGTTCTGGAAACAATCATTGTCTTTAAGGTGATTTTATGTATATTAAAGTCACGTACAGTAGTTCCCTTATCCACACCTTCGCTTGCTGGAGTTTCAGTTACCCATGGTCAACCAAAGGCCAATAATAGGTGAGTACAGTACAGTAAAATATTTTGAGGACAGGCATCGTGGCTCGTGCCTATAATCCCAGGACTTTGGGAGGCTGAGCCAGCAGAATTGCTGGAAGCCAGGAGTTCTAGACCAGCCTGGGCAACATAGTGAGAACTCATTTCTATCAAGAAAAAAAAAAAAAAAACAATTAGCTGGGCATAGTGGTGCATGCCTCTGGTCCCAGGAGGCTGAGGTGGAAGGATCACTTGAGCCTAGGAGGTGAAGGCTGCAGTAAGCCATGATCACACCACTGCACTCCAGCCTGGGTAACAGAGCAAGACCCTGTCTCTTAATAATAAACAAAACTACAACAACAAAAAACCCACAAACTAAGATATATACACATTTTTTTTTAGAGAGACCACATTCACGTAACCTTTATTACAGTATATTGTTTTTGTTGTTGTTGTTGTTTTGTTGTTGTTTTTGAGATGGAGTTTTGCTCGTTGCCCAGGCTGGAGTGCAAAGGGGCACCTTCGGCTCACTACAGCCTCCGCCTCCCGGGTTCAAGCAATTCTCCTGCCTCAGCCTCCCGAGTAGCTGGGTTTACAGGCGCCCACCACTACGCCTGGCTAATTTTTTGTATTTTTAGTAGAGACAGGTTTCACCATGTTGGCCAGGCTGGTCTCGATCTCCTGACTTCAAGTGATCCACCCGCCTCGGACAGTATATTGTTATAATTGTTCTATTTTACTATTAATTATGGTTGTTAATCCCACCCGGTGCCTAATTTATAAATTAAACCCTATCATAGGTATGTGTGTACAGGAGAAAACATACTCTCTGTAGGGTTTGGTACTATCTGTGGTTTCAGACATCCACTGGGGATCTCGGAACCTATCCCCCGCAGGTAAGAGGGGACTATCGTTTTCACAAGGGCAAGCCTGAAAGGCGTCTATCTCCTGGCCCAGTTCCTATTCCTTCCCCCGAAATCAGTCCCTTTCAACTAATTCATCTGTTACTTCTTATCTTATAATGCTTGTGTGTGTTTACCTCCACCTTTCTAAGTCCTGTGACCACGGAGCGATTTATCTCGAATAGCTTCTTGAAACAGAAACGTGGGAGGCAAAACATTTGAACTTTACATGTCCTAAATTATTTTTTCCATTTTTGTAGTTGGTAGATCGTTTGGCTGTAGGGAAATCTTGGTGGAAATAATTTTCCTTCAATGTGGCAAAAATGGTTCCATTTTTTAAAACTTTGAAAATTAATTTAATTTGAGGGATAACTTACATCCAATAAAATGTGCCCACTTTAGGTATACGGTTTTGATGAGTTTCACACAATGTATGTACACATGTAATCACCCCAGTAAGGTCCCTCCTGACCCTGACAACCATGGATCTGATTCCCTGGCGTTTCCCATACACGGAATCCTCTGATACATGCTCTTTTATGTCTGGCCGCATCACACCGCATGCTGTTTTGAAGATTCACCTATATTGTCACGTGTATCAATCGTTCGTTCTTTTTCATTTCTGAGAAGCACGCCATTGTTAATCCGCCACAATTCATTTATTCTGTCTCCTATTGACAGACACTGTGGTTTTTTCACTGTTCGGGGCCACTAGCAACAAAGCTTCTGTAAACACTCATGTGCAGGTATTTGTGGACCTGTGTTTTCATTTCCCTTGAGTAAATACCAAGGAATGGAAAAGATGGGTCATATGGTAAGTGTATGTTTAACTTTGTAAGAAACTGTGTTCCAAAGTGGTGACTGAATTTTCCATTCCCGCCAGGAATGTACGAGAACCACAGTCCTTGCCAACACTTGATGGTCACTCTTTTATCCTTTAGCCATGCTAGTGGATGAGGAGTGGTATCTAAGTGTGTCCAATGACTAAGGAGGTAAATCATCTTTTCATGTATTTATTGGCCATTTGCTTGCTTCTTATGAAGCCTGTCCAGATCTTTAGCTCATTTTATTATTTATTTATTTATTTATTTACTTATATATATTTTTGGGGGGCACAGTCCCACTCCAGTTGCCCAGGCTGGAGTGTGGTGGCATGATCATGGCTCACTACAGCCTCGACTTCCTGGGCTCAGGTGATCCTCCCACCTCAGCCTTTTGAGTAGCTGAGACTATAGGCATGCACCACATCTAGCTGATTTTTTGTGGTTTTGGTAGAGATGGGGTTTCACCATGTTGCCCAGGCTGGTCTTGAACTCCTGGGCTTAAGCAATCCACCTGCCTCAGCCTCCCAATGTGCTGGGATTACAGGCATAAGCCACCTCACCTGGCCCTCTATTTTTATTTTTTTTAGACAGGATCTTACTCTGTCACCCAGGCTGGAGTGCAGTGGCACGATCACAGCTCGCTGCAACCTCGAACTCCTGAGCTTAAGTGATCTTTCCCCCTCAGCCTCCTGATTAGGTGGGACTACAGACATGCACCAACATGCCCGGCTAATTATTCTACTTTTTGTAGACACTGGGTCTCATTAAGTTGTTTCTCTTTTTATTATTGAGCAGAATTTATTTCTATATTTTGGATACAAGTCCTTTGCCAAATACAAATATTACAAATATTTTCTCGCCAGGCACAGAGAGACAGACACTGCATGTTCTCACTTATCTGTAGTATCAAAACATCGAAACAATTAAACTCATGGAGATAGAGAATAGAAGGATGGTTCGCAGAGACTTGGAAGGGTAGTGGCAGGGGTGAGAGGGTATGTAGGGATGGTTAATGTGTACAAATAAATAGAAAGAATGAATAAGACCCAGTATTTGATAGCATAACAGGGAGACTATAGTCAATAATAATTTAATTGCACATTTAAAAATAACTAAAAGAGAGGTCGGGCACAGTGGCTCATGCCTGTAATCTCAGCACTTTGGGAGGCCGAGGCAGGTGGATCACCTGAGATCAGGAGTTCAAGACCAGCCTGGCCAACATGGTGAAACCTCATCTCTACTAAAAATACAAAAACTAAGGCCAGGCGTGGTGGCTCACGCCCGTAACCCCAGCACTTTGGGAGGCCGAGGTGGGTGGATCACGAGGTCAGGCATTCGAGTCTAGCCTGACCAACACGGTGAAATCCTGCCTCTACTAAAAATACAAAAAATTAGCTGGGTGTGGTGGCGCATGCCTGTAATCCCAGCTACTTGGGAGGCTGAGGCAGGAGAATCTCCTGAACCTGGGAGACGGAGGTTGCAGTGAGCCGAGATTGCACCACTGCACTCCAGCCCGGGCGACAGAGCGAGACTCCATCTCAAAAAAAAAAAAAGAAGAAAAAGAAAAAAGAAAAAAAAAGTTTAAAAATACAAAAACTAGCCGGGCGTGGTGGTGGGTGCCTGTAGTCCCAGCTACTCAGGAAACTGAGGCAGGAGAATCACTTAAACCTGGGAGGCGGAGGTTGCAGTGAGTTGAGATGGCGCCACCACACTCCAGCCTGGGTGACAGAGCGAGACTCCATCTCAAAAAAAAAAAAAAAAAGAATAAAAATAACTAAAAGAGTATAGTTGGATTGTTTGTAACACAAAGGATAATTGCTCAAGAGGATGGATACCAGTTCTCCATGATGTGAATTTTCCATTGTATGACTGAACCACAATATCTCAGGGACCCCATAAATATATACACCTACTATGAACCCATAAAATGAAAAACAAAATACTTCTTAGAAAACAAATATTTTCTTTCAGTCGGTGGCTTATTTATTCATTTTTCCTTAATTTTTCTTTTGAAGGGAAGTGTTAATTTTTATAAACTCTAATTTATCCTTATAAAAATGAAACCATTTTTATGGTTTGGGCCTTTTTTTTTTTTTGCCTCATCTATTAAATTTTTGCCTACCCCAAGTTCATGAACATTTTCTCTTATTTTCTTCAGAATTCCATAATTTTTGTGTATTGTGTGAAAGGCTAAAGTCCCTTTCTTCCCTCAATGGATATCCAGTCATTTCAGCCATTTGAATTGAAAATACTTTCCTTTCTCTATCACATTACCTTAGCACCCTTATCAAAAAGCAACTCTTAAAAAATCAATGGACTATTTCTGTGTAGGTCTATTTCTAAACTCTGCATTCTATTCCATTGAACTATCTGTCTATCCTAATATCAACCTATTCTGATTACTATGTAAAATTTTAGAATCAGCTGTCAACTTTACAAAAATTTCTTCTGGAGTTTTAAGTGAGATTATGTGGACTCTGTAGATCCATCTGGGGAGAAGTGACAGTTTAGCAATGTAAGTCTTCCAATCCATGAGCATGGTATATTTCTCCATTTATTTATGTCTTCTTTAATTTTTGTCATCAATATTTTGCAGTTTTCTGTTTTTTTGTGACCTTCTTTTTCTTTTTTTTTTTTTTTTTGTCAGGGTCTTGCTGTGTAGCCCAGGCTGGAATGCACTGCAATCTCTGCCTACTGGGCTCAAGTCATCCTCTCACCTCAGCCTCCTGAGTAGCAGGGGCTACAGGTGCATGCCACCATGCCCAGCTAATTTTTTTTTTTTTTTGTAGAGACAGGGTCTCACTATGTCACCCAGGCTGGTCTCAAACTTCTGGGCTCAAGTGATCTGGCCACCTTGACCTCCCAAAGTGCTGGGATTACAGGCATGAGCCATGGTGCCTGGTTTATATTGCAGTTTTAATTGTATAGACATTTCTCCTAATTTGGTAAATTATTCTCTAAATATTTCATGTTTTATGATGCTACTGTAAATGGTATTTAAAATTTTTCATGGTTCAATTGATTGTGGCAAGTATTATAGAAAAATAATTGATTTATTCTTGTTTTTCTTTTTTCTTTTTTTTTTTTTTTTAGACTGTGTCTTGCCCTGTTGCCCAGTCTGGAGTGCAGTGGTGTGATCTCCAGTCACTGCAACCTCTCCCTCCTGGGTTCAAGCAATTCTCATGCCTCAGCCTCCCAAGTAGGTGGGATTACAGGCGCACCACCACACTCAACTTTTTTTTTTTTTTTGTATTTTTGTAAAGATGGAGTCTTGCCATGTGGGCCAGGCTGCTCTCAAACTCCTGGCCTCAAGTGATCTACCTATCTTGGCCTCCCAAAGTGCTGGGATTGCAGGTGTGAGCCACCACACCCAGCCTGATTTATTCATTGACTTTGTATCTTGAGACCTTGCTAAGCTGACTTAGCTGATGGGCTCACAGCATAAACATATATAATATATATGACAATAATAGCATAAAGGAGCAAGGAGGCAATGAAGTTATTATATATACTGGAGCAAGGAAAGGTCACCAGACAATAGCTTGAATATACAGGAAGAAATCAAGAGTAAAGTCAGTGATAAATATACAGTGTAATATAAAAGACTTGAAAAGTGTTTTTCTCCTTACTTGTCTTACTGAATTGAAAAGAAATAAGATTGTGTGAAACAATAATTATAACACCATGTTGTTGAGTTTATAACATATATAGATGAACATATACGACAATAATACTACAAACCACAAGCAAGGAGGGAGGAAATGGAGTTATACTGGAGTCAAGTTCCTGTATTTTACTAAAATTAGTATTAATCTGAAGTAGATCCTGATAAATTAAAATGCATATTGTAATCCCTGGAGCAAACACTAACAAAATAACTTTAAAATATACACTTAAAAAGAAAAAGGGAATTTAAATGCTACACTAGAAAATACTTAATACAAAAGAAGGTAGTAAAAGATGAACAGAAGAACAAAAAGGCATAAAACATAGAAAACAAATTGTGAACTGATAGATGGAAATCCAACCACAGCAATAATAACATTGAATGGGAATAGAATGAACATGCCAATCAAAAGGCAGAGATCGTTAGACTGGATTTTTTTTTTAAGCTTTGACTATATGCTGCCTGTGAGAGACATACATACTTTAGAAACAAAGATACAAATAGGTCAAAGCAAAAGGATAGTAGATTTGCTATGCAAACAACCGTAAGGGAGCTTGAGGAGAAATGCTAACGTCAGACTAAATAATTTTTTTGTTTTTTTGAGACAGAGTCTCACTCTATCACCCAGGTTGGAGTGCAGTGGCACGATCTTGGCTGACTGTAACCTCAGCCTCCCGGGTTCAAGCAATTCTCGTGCCTCAGCCTCCCAAGTAGCAGGGATTACAGGCGCACACCATCACAGCTGGCTAATTTTTTTGTATTTTCAGTAGAGACGGGGTTTCACCATGTTCGCCAGGCTAGTCTTGAACTCCTGACCTCAGGTGATCCACCTGCCTTGGCCTCCCAAAGTGCTGGGATCACAGGCATGAGCCACCCCATCTGGCCAACTTTTTTAAGATCAAAAATCTTACTAAAGAGAAACATTCTGCCATGATATAAAGTGAATACATCACGAAAATATAACAAACAGAAATATATACATACCTGACAACCTAGCCCCAAAATACTAGAACAGGAATTAAAAGAAATTAAAAACTGTGTAAGCAAAAACTCAGTTGTATGTAAAAAACCAATTCCCCTTGAGGAAGAGAAAGGGCTGGAGTCCTTTAAAAATTAACTGGCTGTTTTTCTGTGGCTAGTGAGCCTTATCTCTCCCTTTCCCAGGCATTGCGAAGACTCTGTTTCTCTAGCTGTGCAGCTGCAAGGTCACTAAACAGATAATCTTGAGTCATAAAACGTGTTGTTCCTTGAAAAGTAAGAAATAATGTAATGCATGTCTTAACTGAATAACTGTCTTTGTTTCTTGCTTCTGTAATACTCTTCCCCCTGCACAAATCTCCCCCCACCCCACAAAATGCTTAAAAGGTAGCTTGACTCTTTGTTTGGGGCCCAGTCCTTTGGATGTTAATCTGATTGGGTCGGTGCACCTAAATAATTAAATAATTCCTCCTCAACCCCATCGGTCTCTCTGATTCCTTAATTATCCCGCAGCAATACATGAAGCAAAAACTCACAGAATTGAAGGGTGAAACAGTCAATTCACCAGTAATGGTTGGGCCAGGCATGGTGACTCACGCTTGTAATCCCAGCACTTTGGGAGGCCGAGGTGGGTGGGTCACTTGAGCCCAGGAGTTCGTGACCAGCCTAAGTAACATGGCAAAACCCTGTCTATAAAAAATGCAAAAATCAGCTAGGCATGATGGTACTTGCCTGTAGTTGCAGCTACTCAGGAGGCTGAGGTGACCTAAGCCTTGGGAGGTGGGGGCTGCAGTGAGCTGTGATCATACCACTGCACTCCAGCCTGGGTGACAAAGTGAGACTCCACCTCAAAAAAAAAAAAAAACAAACAAAAAAAAAAAAACAAAAAAACAATAATTGGACACCAAAATCCTACCCCACTCTCAGTAATGGATAGAATAATTAGAAAGAAAATCAGTAGATACAAATGACTTGACATCACTGGACACCAACTGACATCTCTAGAACACTCCACCTGGCAAGAGCCGAAGTCACGTTCTCCTCAAGTGCACATGGAACAGTGTCCAAGGTCAATCATATGCTGGACCATAAAACAATTCTGAGAAATTCGAAAGGACTGATATCCACAGAGTTTCTTCTCTAGCCACAGGGGAATGAAATCAGAAATTAACAAAAGAAATTTGGGAAACCTATAAATACATAGAAATTAAACAACATAATTCTAAATAAGCAATGGGTCAAAGAAGAAAATCAAAAGATACACTGAGCTGAATGAAAATGTAAACACAACATACCAAAATTTATGAGATATAACTAAAGCTGTGTTTCAAGGGAAATTTATAGCTGTAAATGTCTACATTAGAAAAAAAAATCTTAAATCAAGTGTGTAAGCTTCCATTGTAAGTAACTACAATAAGAAAAGACAGAACGAATTAAACCCAAAGTGAGAAGAGTGGAAACCAATGAACTAGAGAACAGAAAGAAAAAGATAAAGTAAAAAAATATCAAATGGCAGTTCTCTGAAAAGATCAAGAGAATTGACAAAGCTTTAGCTACATTGACCAGAGAGAGAGAGAACACAAATAACTAAAATCAGGACTAAAAGAGGAGACAGCAATTCCAATCTTACAGAGATTAAAAGGATTTCAAGGAAATACTATGTACAACTGTTTGCCAACAAATTATGCAACTTAGGTAAAATGGACAGATTCTTACACATAAACTAGAAAGCGGTTAGAAGAAAATATAAGATTAAATCTTTGTGACACTGGATTAAGATTTCTTAGATATGATACCAGATACACAATAAAAGAAAAAGTTAATAAATTGGAATGGATCAAAATGTAAAACTTTTCTACTTCAAAATACCAATAAAAAAGTGTTAAACTATTGATGGTTGAAAATATTTGCAAATCATATATCTGGTGTGTATATATATATATATATATATATATATATATATATATATATGATACTGTGTATGTAAAGAACTCTCAAAACTGAACAAAGGAGACAACTCAATTTTTAAAAAGGCAAAACATTTCAATAGGCATTTCACCAAAAACATATACAAATGGCTAAAAAGCACAAGAAAAGCCACTTGCCATCATTTGACCTTGGGGAAATGCAAATCAAAACTATAATGAGATACCACCTTTTACCCACAAGAATGGTATGTATTGCTGCAGACGTACAGACAGTGGAACCCTCAGCCAGGCGCAGCGGCTCACACCTATAATCCCAGGACTTGGGGAGGCCGAGGTGGGCAGATCACTTGAGCCCAGGAGTTTGAGAACAGCCTGGGCAACATGGCAAAACCCCATCTCTACCAAAAATACAAAAATTAGCTGGATGTGGTGGTACTCACCTGTAGTCCCAGCTACTCAGGAGGCTGAGGTGGGAGGACCAATTGAGCCCAAGAGATTGAGGCTGCAGTGAGCCAAGATCATGCCACTGCACTCCAGCCTGGGTGACAGAGCAAAACCTTGTCTCAAGAAAAGAAAAAGGAAAAGAAAATTAGAACCGTTATACACTGCTGATGGGAATGTAAAATGGGGCAGTCACTTTGGAAAACAGTTTGCTAGTTTCTTAAAATGTTAAATCAGACTTTCTGTATGACCCAGCAATTCCTCTGCTGGGTATCAACCCAAGAGAAATGAAAACATGTTCACACAAAGTCTTGTACACAAATGTTCATAGCAGTGCTGCGTGCAGTTTAAAATAGCTAAAAAAGCAGAAACAGCCGAAATGTCCTTCAGCTGATGAATGGATAAACAAAATGTGGTCTATCTGTACAATGGATTATTCAGTAATAAAAAGGAATTAAATACTGATACATACTACAACATACATGAATCTCGGAATCATTATTCTAAGTGAAGGAAGTCAGATGCAAAAGACCATGTAACACAGGACTCCATTCATAGGAACTGTCCAGAAAAGGCAAGACTGGAGAGACAGAAAGTGATTGTCTGAGGCCAGGTGGGAATGGGGAATGACTGCGGAGGAGTTCCAGGGAGTTTTGGTGGGCTGGGGATGGAAAAGTTATAAAATTTATTTCACAACTCTGTAAACTAACTGAAAATAATTCATTTGAAACAGGTGAATTTTATGGCATATCAATGACACGGCAATAAAGCTGTTTCTTTCAATGGTGCCATCAACCCCAGCCCCTTGACCCTAAGCTGAAGGAAGAGAGATGCTAGGTGTGTTCAGTAGGGCTCCGTCAAAGCTGATTTTTTGAAGTTATGGGCAGCATTCCGAGTAAGATGTGTTGTGGCAGGTCAGGTCTCACTAACGCAGGCCTCCCTAACAACTGTTTCAGTACTGACTGAGTGGTTAAATTAAATATTAAAAGCCAGTGCCCTTATAAAAAGGCTGGAATATAACAAAATCCCACCAAGAGTTTTGCCTAGACCTTTCCTGGGCCTTCAAGCATGACAAAATAACGAAGGAATTCTTAACAGGACCCATTTAGGATTAAACAAGTTTTATTGGGGATCTGAAGAAATTCCCCAGGACTCCACAAATAAGTTTACTGGGGGTCTGAAGGAACTTCCCAAACCCCCATGATTTAGGAGACAAGATAAGGGTTTTAGATTAAGTAAATTTACTGAGGATCCAGAGGAAGGTCTTCAGGACTCAGACCTTAGTTATAGATTAACATAAGTCAATTACTTATGTCTTGAGATGAATGCACACTTACACATAGACATATAGCTTAGAAGGTATATAAGCTCTGGAAAACTTTGTAATTTTGAGTTGGTCTGGAGATAATTTCCAGGTCTTCTCCTTGTAACTGGTTACAGAAATAAAAACTCTCTTTCTCCCCAGTTCATCTGCATCTCGTTATTGGGCCGCGAGAGATAGCAGCCCCACCCTCAGTTTGGTCCAGGAACAGTTTGATCTCTTCTTGGCCAATCTCTGGTGAGACCCACCAGAATGGAGGAGAGCCGGGACTGGGTGCACTGCCAGCTTCCAAAACTCCTGCACGTGGTCTCAGTCCTCCAGGGATTATGATGGGTGTGAAGGAGCTGAGCATTCTCTAAGGAGCCAGCACATGACACCCAGCTCACCGCCCACCAACCACATCCTCACCGTCATCTCCAAGGCTCTCTCATGTCCTCTTCCTGCCTTTCGGGGGATCACTCCCTCTGACTCCACTACCCTGCTCTCCTGCCCGCCCCAACAAGCCTGACTGATTTGTGGAGCCGGGCCTTCCCCATGTGAGCTCTTCTCCCTGGCATGCTTGTCCCCCAGATTTCCACACACTGGGTCCCTCGCCATTGGTGTCCCTAAGGACACCAGCTCACCAGCTCCTGGCTGCAGGCACCTTCTAGCACAGGCCTGCTTGTTCTCATCAGTGTTCAACCAACATTGGTTGGATGACTAAATCAACATGCAGAATGTGGGTAACCTGAGAATGGGCACTCATTTGCCAGGTTTCTCAAAGACCTAACCTCTTAGTCTTCAAGACGTTTGTCTTGGGTGCGGTCATGGGCCAGAGCCAGTGCCAGAACCCCAGGAGTATAGAGACCAACTGCCCGACCCTGGTCCTCCAAGGCTCCCTGACATGAGACCAACTAAGACAGCATAACCCGTGGGGCAGGACAGACTCCTGGGGTGGCAGCTGTGTTCATCATCTTGACTGGGTCAAGATGTATCCAGCTGTACCTTTCATGTGCGGTTTATTGTATACATCCGTTGAAACATATTAAGACAAAAAAGGGAAAACAAAGACCACAAAGGAGGGACAGGGAAGAACCCGGAAGGCGCTGGCAGCACAGGGAGGAGGCAGGTGTTTGCAGTCAGACCTGAGTCCCAGGCCCCACTCAGCCCTTCCTGCCTAGGACCAGAGCACTGTCCCAGATCTCTCCAAACCTGTTTTCCCGTGGGTGAAAGAATGACCCGGGAAGTATTTACCGTTCCTTCCTGAGAACTCAGCGATACTGAACACAGTGCTGCCTCACAGTAAACACTGACAAATGGTGAGCATTACTGAGGGCAGGGCCTCGACCTACACCATACCCGGTTTTCTTCATGAATTTTCCACTCCTCTGCCTCCCGCTCCTCCAGGGCTGCACCTCCGGGGCAGGAGCCCTCACCAAGTCAGGCCTCAGTATGCCTTATCCGCCACCTGATTCCAAATCAAAGTAAAACATCTCTCCCCAGATGTGTACACAGCACTCCTCTAAATTAAAGGGCTGTGTGCTGGCTCTGGGTACCCCACCCGGCTCTCCCTGGCCTTTGGCGTTGGGGTTCACTGGCCTGCAGCCTGCACCCCGTGGCCCTGCGTTCTGCATCCCTCCCTCTGAAGCGACGTTGTTGTCTGGGTAAATACTCAATTCATCTTCTGGCGCCAAGAAAATTAAGGACAGGTGATCCACCCTCGGCCTCCCAAAGTGCTGGGGTTACAGGCCTGAGTCACCGCATCTGGTTGCCTCAATAATTTCTTCTTAACTCCTATATCACCTGAGGGCCCGGGGCACAGTTCCCCCGTCACGCTTGGCATTGAACTTGCCCACCTCGCCTTCCCGAGGCGCCTCCGCGTTTGGGGTATGGAGGCTGTTCCCGGTCAACCCGGGCGCCTGGCCGCCGTGCCCGAGGGAAGGGCTGGGGGGCGGGCAGGGCAGCCCAGAGCCTTGTCCTAGTCCAGGGTCGGGCGGTAGGTGCTGAAAATAGCAGCTCATGGAAGGCGGGGAGCGTGGAGGGGCGAGGAGAGGCTGGAGACCGCCACGGCGTCGAGGGACCCCGCTCTCACCAGGACCCGGGGACCCCGGAGACGAGCCCCCCGCCAGGCCGCGCCACCGCGCCCATCCTCCCTGCGGGTCCCAGGCACCCACAGCGCGGCCGAGCCCACCTGCCCGCCGGCTCCCCAGGACGCAGGGTCTCGGAGGCTGGGGCGGCGGCCGGCCCGAAGCCTCGCAGCCCTGAGCGCCCCCACCCCGGCCCGGCTGTCGGGTGCACCCCGCATTCCCTGCGGTAGCGGCTCCCTCGCGGGCACCCGGGGCCGAGGCCTGCACTCACCGGCCAGCGTCCGCAACACCTCGGCCATGGCTCCGCGTCTGGTCTCGGCCTCCGCCTTCCGCCCGGCGGCCCTGGGGCGGGGTGAGCCCGAGGCGCCCCCTCCCGGCCCGCGCCGCCCGCCGCCCCGACTTCCCGAGGCCGAACACGGGAGGGGACAGAGGGGCGCGGGAGGCGGCCGCGGGTCCCCAGGGACCCCTGCTAGGAAGGGACGGCGCCTCCTCGCGCGCATCCCCAAGGGACCCGCGCGCCCCTCGTGGCCCTGGTACCTTGGGGCCCTGTCCCCGCATCCCGCCCTGGGGCCGAGCGGCTCCGGGTGCCCCTGAAGCCCCGTCCCCGGGGGCCCCTTGACACCCTGTCTCCCGGGCGGGGGCGACCCCCTGACATCCTGCTCCCCCGGGGAGGCGGGGGAGACGAACCCGTGAAGCTGCGGCCCCAGAACCCACGATCCCCGGCCTTCCGGCTCGCGCGCGCCGCAGCCTGTAGCCCTCCAGCCCCGCAGGACCCTGTGCCCCGCGCCCGCGACGTCCCCCTAGGCAGAGTCGCTTCCCCGGCCCCGGCTCGCGGCCCCACGGAGCTCTGCGTCCCGCAGACTGAGGAACCTTCGCGTTCCCCCTGCGAGCGAGTCCCCCTCCGGCGCCCGCGCCGGGCCCTGAGGCCTCTTCGCGCGGTCCGTGGACAAAGCCCCGCTCCGCCCCGCTACGACCCCCGCCCTTGCCTGGCGTCCGCTCGAGGAAGCTCAGGAGAGGGCGGCGGCGGCTGCAGGGACTGGGAGAGCGCGCCCCGCTGCGAAGAGGAGTTACCTCCCGAAGGGTCCCAGAGGCTTCTTCCTGCTTTTCCTGATATCTCTCAGAGGAGTTTACACTGATACCCCGTTCACAGGACCCTGATCCCGTCCCGCCCTCCCGGGGCACCGTTCTCATCTCCGTGAAAGCTGGGGGCATCTTTAATGCTTCCTTTCCCTCCCACCCCAAGTCCAGTTCGCCAGCTCCGAGACGTGTCCCTAAACATCACACAGAATTACCGTACGAGGCCGGGCGCGGTGGCTCATGCCTACAATCCTAGCACTTTCAGAGGCCGAGGCGGGCGGATCACTTGAGGTCAGAAGTTCGAGACCAGCCTGGCCAACATGGTGAATCCTCCATCTCCACTAAAAATACAAAAATTAGCCGGTCGTGGTGGCTCGAGTCTGTAACCCCAGCTACTTGGGACGCTGAGGCAGGAGAATCGCTTGAACTTGGGAGGTGGAGGTTGCAGTGAACCAAAATCGCACCACTGCACTCCAGCCTGGGCAACATAGCAAGACTCCTTCTCAAAAAATAAAAATAAAAATAAAAATATTATTACCGTATGAGCTGGCAATCCTGCTTTTGTGTATACACCCAAGGAATTGAAAGGGGGTCTGGAAGAGACATGTGCACATCTGTGTTCCTAGCAACGGAACTCACCATAGCCAAAAGCTGGAAGCAGCCGTGGTGTTCACCAAGGCGTCATGGCTGCACGGAGTGAGTCTGTCTCTAGATGGAATGTTTCTCAGCCCTAGAAAGGGAGGAGACGCTGACACCTGCTACAGCGTGGGTGAGCCTTGATGCCTTATGCTAAGTAAAATCCAGTCCAACAAGGAAAAATGCCATGCGATTCTATTAACTTTTTTTTTTTTTTTTTGGCAGAGTCTCGCTCTCTCTCCCAGGCTGGAGTGCAGTGGTGAGATCTCAGCTCACTGCAACCTCTGCCTCCCAGGTTCAAGCGATTCTCCCGCCTCAGCCTCCTGAGTAGCTGGCACCACAGATGTGTGCCACCATGCCCGGCTTATTTTTGTATTTTTAGTAGAGACTGGGTTTCACCATGTTGGCCAGGCTGTTCTAGAACTCCTGACCTAAGGTGATTTGCCTGCCTTGGCCTCTGAAAGTGCTGGGATTACAGATGTGAACCACCGCGCCCAGCCACAATTCCACATATCTGAGGGACTGGAGTCATCAAATTCGTAGAAATAGAGAGGAGAATGGTGGGCGCCTGGGGAAGGCGGGAATGGGGAGCTGTGAACGGTGTTGAGTTTCAGTCTGGGAAGATGAAAAGAGTGTTGTAGATGGATGCTGGTGATGGCTGTACAACGATGTGAGTGAACTCAACACCATGGAACTGTGCGTGTTTAAATAGTTGAGATGGTAAATTTCATGTTATGTGTATTTTACCACAGTAAGGAAGGAAGAAAGGGGAGGATGAAAGAAGAAAAGGGGAAAGAAGGGAGGGAGGGAGGCAGGAAGGAAGGGAGGAAGGGAGGGAGGGAGGGAAGTTCCCTGTGGGCAGCCCTTAACTATTCAGAGGGACAAGTGGGACAAGCCTGGGGGCTGTGTTCCTGCCCCTGAGGGACTCTGGCCCAAGGCTTCCCTGCCTGCAGACCCCATTCCAACAGGCCACTTCTGAGACTGCAGAGCCTTGGTGGTCTCCAGGTCCACGACCAGGGAGCCCCACATGGGGAGGGTGCTCTCCACTCCACCCACCCATGAGCTGAGGGTTAGGCTGCCGCCCAGCATCCTGGTGCCACCTGCCCTGTTTGTGGGGCTGAGTGTTCTCCCTGGACGGGCCTGGCACATGGAAGAGCTCAGTGATCAGCTGTGGATCTGGTCCTCTGAGGCTGTGCCCTGTACCGTGAAGGACACCAGAATATGTCACTCCAAAATGAGCCTCAGAAATTATCTTGAGTTGAAGGCAACTAAGATGCAGCAGAAGCAGGGAAATCTCTCTCTGCCCTGTCCCTCTGCTGTCTGAGGCAGGATGGAAATTATAGGAGAGAGACGCATCAGCCAGAGGAAAGAAGGCACCCTAGGGCTCTGTGAATGAAACTTCCGCCTTAGTTTCCTCCCAATACTCACCTTGCCGGTTTCCCAAACTTGGAAGCCTAAAACCGCTCTCCTGGGTCCTGTCATTTCCCCACACGTTGATTATTCTTTGTTGAAGTTGCTCCATAACCCAGTTCTAAGTCACTGTTCTGAGTTGCTTTTTGTTGAAGCTTCTTCAGTGAGGTGCACTACATGCATTAATGAACTGTTTTTCTCTTTTGTAAGGAGCCCCAGCTGGAACCCTAAGAGGAGCAGAGGGAAACTTTCACTCCCCTACCATGGCACAGTGGCCTGCCATGTTCAGGGCTGGGGGCTAGTCCGGGTTCTCACACCTTTTGGCTGACTTTCTAGCCCCGACCCCTCGTCCCATCAGCTCACTGTTTCCATAAAACATTTGTCATGGCGATGTGCAAGGAGCTCCCTGCCACTGCCTTGAACTTCTTCCCTGAAAGCAGCCAGCCAGTGTTCAGAGGAAGGGAAGGAATAAAAGGCTCTGCAAAGGAGAGCCCGGTCAGACCAGGAGGTGTAAGCATGAAACCGATGTGTTACTCACAAGACCAGGAGGTGTAAGCATGAAACTGATGTGTTACTCACAAGCGGCTGGGCCAGGGAAGGACTTGGTTCAGAAGAGGGAACAGTCTTGCCCAAGGTCTTGCAAGCTTGTGGCCCAAACCCAGGTCCAGGGAGACCTCCATTCTGGTTTGCATGTGTTGGAAACAAGTGCTCGGTGTAGCGAAAAGAAACCCGCACTTAGAAAATTTCTCAGCAAGTCACTTTTACTTCTGTAGAAGGGTGCTGCCTGTGCCTGTTACAATCCCAAGAGCACACTGAACAAAGGAGGGAAGGGGTTTTTATCCCTAATGCAGTTTCTGTTTCTGTGTCCTTCCCCTATTGGCTGGGGTTGGGCCGCATAATCTAAGCTGACCCCGACAGGCTAATGCTTAAACCTTCCCAAATAAGGTAAAGGTGTGATTTTTGAAAAGGTTGTAGGGGTAGGATTTGTTTCCAAGTTATGGCCAGGAAGTTGAATCTTTGAAGAGGAACTTAGTTGTCCCAACAATTTCCCCTCTTCTGTTTTATAGTTCTTCCCCTTCAAATTTATTTAACAGGAGTTGGCTTTGTTGTTCTTCTTTATCATCTAGGAGCAAGAGCTTATCTGACTATGGATGGGGAGAGGTGGGGGAGGTTTTTGTGAGAGCTGCTTCTATGAGCCTTTGGGTTAACCCACGAATACAAGGTATGATACAGCAGCCCACAAGGATGAGTACACCTGTAACTGTTGCAAGGGAGGTAAATATTTAGGTCATGAGTCCCTTCCATTTTCCAAACCATTTCTCCATGACACCTGCAAAGGGGTCATCTATTCCAGAGTTCTCGGCTAATTCATTTGCTAGGGTGGTAAGGCTTGTAAGGCTTTTGTGATTGTCCTGTCCAGGGCTGTGTTATTGGGGATAAAAGTGCAACATTGGACCCCAATCATGACACAGACTCCGCCTTTTTTTGGCCAATATCATGTCAAGGGCTATCCTGTTTTCCCAGGCCATCTGGCTGGTAGGGCCTAATTGTTGAGCTATTCTTTTTATGGCATCTCTGGTGTAATTGATGAATCACTGTTGATTATAGTATATATAATGTATCCAGTCTACATTTTTGTTTATAGTGGACCACCAGAATAATACAGACTCAAACCTGGTGGCTATTTGGTTTCGAGCTTTGAATTCATTTTGTACCCCCCAGCGCAACCCCGATACTGTCTATGTAAATATGAGAGGTCAAAGGACCCGTGAGGGGTTTCTCTTTTCCTTTGGGTTACCTGCTTCCTGTCTGGTTGTTGAAATGCCAAGGTGAAAGGGATGGCCAATTGGATCGGAGTGCAAATGCTGCTCCAATTGTTTGGCAGAGTACTCAATATTGGTCCCCCACAATACCACTGTACATCTGCTTGGGGATGGATTAGGGCTGACTGACTGGTTAGCTCTTGGAAAGGTTTAGGCCCAGTACATCCCATCAGGTTTCCGAGGAACGTCAGATTTTCCCCTTGCCATGAGAGACATGAGGTAAAATTGGCATCAAGAGCTGGAAGTCGAATGGCCCTTGGGGGCTGTCCCGTAGGGCTTCTGACTTTTGGGAAAACTGGTGGTTTTGGCAATTTGAGGGTGTGACTCCTTTGGTAAGGTGGATGTAAGGTTTTAGGGCGGTGCAACCCTCTGAGGAGGTCCAGCCCTGATACTGGGTGGTCTAGATAACATCTCCCCAATTATAACATAACCCCTGGAAGGCTCGTGGTTGTCCATCACAAGGGTTTCTGATTTGTCTGAAGCGGGTGGAGGGGCAGAGGTACTTTTCTGAAGAAGCTAGCTGTTTTTGACTCTAAAGGTCTCCACAGGGCATGACAAGGCAAGCATTGAATGTGATCGTTTGAGGGCAGGGTGATCGGGTTACATTGATGATAAGATGTTCTTTGGTAACTAAAGGAATTAAAAAAAAAGACAGACTAAACCCTTTTGAACATTGGTTTGGAGGGTGTTGGTCCTGGAGTGACAGTCCATGACTTTGCAAGGGGTGGGTCCCTCCTTTTTCGGCCTTTGGATTGCTATCTCAGTGGTTAGGAGTATTAGATAAGGTCCTTCCCAGGTTGGTTTGAACTTTCCCTCTTTCCGTCTTTTGATAAGGACATGATCTCTGGGCTGGTGTTAGTGAACTGGGAATTCGAACTAGGGTGGAGTTTGCCCTAGAAGGCCTTGAGTCCTGAGGGAGGAAAGGGTGGAAGACAGACAAAATATACATTTTTTTAGAAACTGATCTTTTGTTTCAAATGTAGGAAGGTCAGTAGTGGAATTTAGATAAGGCAGTCCATAGAGCATTTCGTAAGGGGACAGGCCGAGATCTTTTCGAGGGGCAGTTTGGATTCTTAGTAAGGCAATGGGAAGGCATTTTGTCCATGGTAACCGCGTTTCCAAGATTAGTTTGGTTAGGTGACTTTTTAGAGTTTGATTCATTCTTTCTACCTTCCCTGATGAGGGTGGATCAGGGAATATGATATTCCCATCTTATTCCTAGTGCTTAGGTTAGCCCCTTAATGATGTGTGCAGTGAAGTGGGTCCCATTGTCTGAATCAATGTTCTCTATTAGTCCAAACCTGGGCATGATATGTTCCAACAGGGCTTTGACTACGTTACTGGCTGTTGCGCTTGGGAAGGGGAGGCTTCTACCCAGTGGGTGAGATGGTCTACTATTACTAGTAAATACTTGAGGAGGCCTACTGGGGGCATTTCAGTGTAGCCAACTTGGGCACTTTGGAATGGCCTCAACCCTGGGTTTTGTCCCCCAGGAGGTTGCTTCTTTAAGGGTTTGCTTATTAGCTTTTCTGCACACTATGCAACCATCTGTCACTTGCCTAGCAAGGGTATATATCCCTACACACCCACAGACTCTCTGAGGGCTGCATCACACATAGCTTGAGGAACCCAGTGAGTTCCCTGATGAAGCTGTGACAATATTTCTCTCATGAGGGGTTTAGACAGCATTTCCCTTCCATCTGGTATTACCCACTTTCCCTCTGGGCTCTCGTTAGCTCCTATGTTCTTTAGTTTCTCTTGGTCTGCACGGGAGAAGGTGGGGATCACAGCTGGAGGGGGAAGACAAGGGGTGAGATGGAAAATGGGTGCCTCTTGGGAAGAGACAGCTTGTTTAGCTATCTGATCTGCGAAGTTGTTTCCCCAGCTTTCAAAAGATGGGTGTTTGGGGGCCTAGGACATGGACAATTGCAATTTCTTCTGGCAGCTGAAGATTTTCATTCATTCATTTATTGAGACGAAGTCTCACTCTGTTGCCCAGGCTGGAGTGCAGTGGCACGATCTCGGCTCACTGCAACCTCCGCCTCCCAGGTTCAAGCAATTCTCCAGCCTCAGCCTCCCAAGTAGATGGGATTACAGGCGCCCAACACAACACCCGGCTAATTTTTGTATTTTTGTAGAGATGGGGTTTCACCATGTTGGCCAGGCTGGTCTTGAACTCCGGACCTCAGGTGATCTGCCCGCCTCGGCCTCCCAAAGTGCTGGGATTACAGGTGCAAGCCACCATGCCCGGCTCAGCAGCTGAAGATTTTCTAGTGCTTGCATAATTAATTCCTTGTGGACCAGATCTTGGCCCTTACTATTTACGAGGTCTTGTTGAGTCCAGATTTTTCAAAGGTAAGGACTACTCCAAAGGCATACTTGGAGTCGGTGTAAATAGTTCCTTCCTGATTCTGCAGGGATTTTAAGGCTTGGTTTAATGCAAAGAGTTCGCATGTTTGGGCAGACCAGGCATTTGGCAGTCTTCCTGACTCTACCTCTGTGAGGTCTCCCCAACAACTAAGGAGTACCCGTTGTGCCTTTTTCCTTCAATGACCCGGGAGGAGCTGTCTATAAATTGGTGACCCCCTGTTTGGAAGGCGGTTTCGTTTAGATCCAGTCTGACTCTAGTTTGATAACTGATTAGACCCAAGCAGAGATAGAGTCATCAAGGTTCTTGGTGTGTTGAACAAAGAACTGAACAAAATGCACAAAGTAAGAAAGAACAAAGAAAGAACAAACGAAAGACAAAGCAACAAAAGACCCGGAAAGCACAGCTTTATTGAAAACAATTCACAGGGTGGGAGTGGCTGGAGCAAACGGCTCAAGAGCTTCCTCAATTAGGGTTTTTATTAAGCTAAAGGAACCTGGCAACACCCCTTGCTGCCCTTTAGAGGCCTCCGATTGGCTGCCATCTGTCAGCTGCTATCTGTCACCAAAATGTGTCTTATTTTAGCAAGAAGTGGAGCATAATCTATTTAACCAATTGCCTCCTGCTGGACTTTGAGAATATTTTTCTATTTTTTAAAAAAATTGTTTTTGTTTTGTTTTGCTTTTTTTGAGACAGGGTCTGGTCTATTGCCCAGTCTGCACTGCAGTGGTGCAATCATAGCTCGCTGCAGCCTCCAACTCCTGGGCTCAAGCAATTCTCCTACCTCAGCCTTCCAAGTTGCTGGGATTACAAGGCACATGCCACCATGCCTGACTAATTTTTCTGATTTTTAGTAGAGACAGGGGGGTCTCACTATGTTGTCCAGGCTGGTCTTGAACTCCTGGCCTTAAGTGATCTTCCCACCTCACGCCTGTCAGCCATCGTGCTCAGTTGTTAGAGGTTTTATAAAAATGAAAAATGTCACATACTGTTTTTCCAGAAACTTCATTGGCACTAGTAAGGTTCTAGGGAGTTGGCAAACACTGATTGGTGAATGACTGCAGTGGGTAAAGCTTAGATGAGTGATGGTGGCAGATGAAGCTGTGACTAGTGAGTGATGGTGGCGGGTGAAGCTCTGATTGGTGAGTGATGGTGGTGAGCAAAGCTCTACCAGATGAGTGATGGCGGCGGGTTGTGGGGGAAAGAAAGAGCGATCAGACGGTTACTGTGTCTATGTAGAAAGAAGTAGACATAAGAGACTCCATTTTGTTCTGTACTAAGAGATATTCTTCTGCCTTGAGATGCTGTTAATCTGTAACCCTAGCCCCAACCCTGTGCTCACAGAGACATGTGCTGTGTTGACTCAAGGTTTAATGGATTTAGGGCTGTGCAGGATGTGCTTTGTTAAAAAAGTGCTTGAAGGCAGCGTGCTTGGTAAAAGTCATCACCATTCTCTAATCTCGAGTACCCAGAGACACAATACATTGCAGAAGGCCAGGCCGCAGGGACCTCTGCCTAGGAAAGCCAGGTATTGTCCAAGGTTTCTCCCCATGTGACAGCCTGAGATACGGCCTCGAGGGAAGGGAAAGACCTGATCGTCCCCCAGCCCGACACCCATAAAGGGTCTGTGCTGAGGAGGATTAGTAAAAGAGGAAGGCCTCTTTGCAGTTGAGATAAGAGGAAGGCATCTGTCTCCTGCTCGTCCCTGGGAATGGAATGTCTTGGTGTAAAACCCGATCATACGCTCTAAATACTGAGATAGCAGAAAACCTCCCTATGGCTGGAGGTGAGACATGCTGGCGGCAATACTGCTCCTTAATGCACTCAGATGTTTGTGTAAAGTCAAGCATAAATCTGGCCTACGTGCACATCCAGGCACAGCACCTTTCCTTAAACCTATTTACGACACAGAGATCTTTGCTCATATGTTTTCCTGCTGACCCTCTCCCCACCATTACTCTATAGTCCTGCCACATCACCCTGTCCGAGATGGTAGAGATAGTGACCAATAAATACTGAGGAAACTCAGAGACCAGTGCCAGTGCGGGTCTTCCATATGCTGAGCACCAATCCCCTGGGCCCACTTTTCTTTCTCTATACTTTGACTCTGTGTCTTATTTCTTTTCTCAGTCTCTCATCCCACCTGACGAGAAACACCCACAGGTTGTGGAGCAGCTGGCCACCCCTTCAGCAGGTGAAGCTCTGACTGGTGAGTGATGGCGGTGGGTGAAGCTCTGATTGGTGAGTGATGGCAGCGGGGTGAAGCTCTGATTGTTGAGTGATGGCAGCGGGTGAAGCTCTGACTGGTGAGTGATAGCAGTGGGTGAAGCTCTGACTGGTAAGTGATGATGGCGGGTAAAGCTCTGATTGGTGAGCGACGATGGCAGGTAAAGCTCTGATTGGTGAGCGATGTGGTGGGTGAAGCTCTGATAGGTGAATCATGACAGTGGTTAAAGCTCTGACTGGTGAGTGACAGCAGCAGGTAAAGCTCTGGTGGATGATGGCGGGTGAAGCTCTGACTGGTGAGTGATGGTGGTGGGTGAAGCTGGTCTTAGTGTCCCTGCAGGTTGTTTCAGCAGCCATGAGATAAAACTGGCCTCCTCCAACTGGCTAAACCTTATGAAGGATTGGCCTGCTACCAATCAGAGGCTGAAGTGGAGACTTGGCCCATGATCATTCAGAGGCTGAAGTGGAAACATCTGTCATGTTATCACAAGAGTGAAGATGTGGCTTGTATGCTGCCTAGAACTTGGTAGGCAAGTGGTTGAATCTCAGTCTCTCGGGCTTACCGCCCCTCAGTGGGGCCAGGCACGGTGGCTCAGCCCATAATCCAAGCACTCTGGGAGGCTGAGGCGGGCGGATCACGAGGTCAGGAGATCGAGGCCATCCTGGCTAACATGGTGAAGCCCCGTCTCTCCTAAAAATACAAAAAATTAGCCAGGCCTGGTGGCGGGCGCCTGTAGTCCCAGCTACTGGGGAGGCAGAGGCAGGAGAATGGCGTGAGCCTGGGAGGCGGAGCTTGCAGTGAGCCGAGATCACGCCACTGCACTCCAGCCTGGGCGACAGAGTCAGAATCCGTCTCAAAAAAAAAATAAAAGAAAGAAAGAAAGGAAAAAAGAAAAAGAAAGGCTCAGGGGGTAGAGGAGGAGGCCAGATAGGAGAGTTGTGTGGAGCCCAGATAAGGATCATGTTTATATTGACACCTCTGGGCAGTGAGCCTGGCACCTGTAAATGCCTGTAAATCGCCAGGGAGCAGAGGACAGTGCTGGCTGGGAGCCTGTGTCTCAGCCCTGCCCCGTCGAATGATGTGGCCTGTGGCCAGGAATATCACCTCAGTCTTTCAATTTCCTCATCTGCAAAATGGGGATAGCAATGCTGGCCATTCCTTCTCCCAGATCAGTGATGTGGTCCGAAAGTCCTAAACAGTGTCACTAAGTAAGGTGAAGTCTAATAAGTCATAAATCCCAGCCTGCCATAGGGACCTAAGAGCTATTCCCCTTCTCCTTCCCTGTGGAATCTGGGACACAGCAAGGAGCAGGACCAGGTAGCAGCAGGCTTCATGCTCCTTCCCCAGCAGCCTTCAGAGAGGACACCAGGGTTACCCAGGGATGGTTACCTGGTCCCCAGATCACCTTGTTGTGGCAAGTACCAGAATTGGGCACTGGCCAGTGATGGGCTCATAATAGCTCCAGCCAAATGCCCCTCTTTCCTTTGTCCTTACAGGGAAGGTGGGTTACACTTATCCTCCTGGAGCCATAATTCCTTTTTTTTTTTTGGAGACAGATTCTCACTCTGTCACCCAGACTGGAGTGAAGTGGTGCAATCTTGGCTCACTGCAACCTCTGCCTCCCAGGTTCAAGCAATTCTCCTGCCTCAGCCTCTGTAGTAGCTGGGATTACAGGTGTGCACCACCACACCCAGCTAATTTTTTGTATTTTTAGTAGAGACGGGGTTTCACCATGTTGGCCAGGCTGGTCTCAAATGCCTGACCTCAGGTGATCCACCCACCTTGGCCTCCCAAAGTGCTGGGATTACAGGCGTGAGCCACCGCACCCAGCCCGGAGCCATAATTCCGTTAGGCCTTACCCTGCAGTGCCTGGGCACCTGCCCTAGTGCCCTATGTGATTACGAGCATAGGTAACTACTTCTTCTTTCTTCTTCTTCTTCTTTTCTTTTTTTTTGAGACAGGGTCTCAACCTGTCACCCAAGATGGAGTGCAGTGGCATGATCTTGGCTCACTGCAGTCTCAATTGCCTGGGTTCAAGTGATCCTCCCATATCAGCCTCTGCAGTAGCTGGGACCACAGGCGTGCACCACCATGCCTGGATGACTTTTACATTCTTTTGTAGGGATGGGGTTTCACCATGTTGCCCAGGCTGCTCTTGAACTCCTGGGCTCAAGCAGTCTTCCCACCTCAGCTTCCCAAAGTGCTGGGATTACAGGGGTGGGCGACTAGCCAAGCCTAGGTTAACTTCTTATACTGCAAAGTTACAGAGTGTGGCAAGAAAAAAATAAAGCTCTCCATCGAGTTCAGGGATGAGTCATTTCAGGAAATACCATTAGTTTTCAAGACAATGCAATTTATATAATATTGTAATTCCAAGCTCATCAATGTAGTTCAGATATTCTCACAGTCATGGCAGACTAAATCTAACTTAAAAGGAAGCACATGCTATAGAGGTCTCACAAGGACCTCACTAGGACCAGTTCTGATACTGTCCCAGTCTATTGTGTTGCCTTCACAGAATGCTTGAGACTTAGTAATTTATAAACAAAAGATGTTTGGTTCACAGTTCTGCAAGCTGTACGAGAAGCATGGCACCCCCATCTGCAGGGCTTCTGGTTAGGCCTCAGACTGCTTCCACTCAAGGCGGAAGGCAAAAGGGAGCTAGTAAGGAGTGTAATTCCCAGTTTTAAAAGTAAAGATTTGAAAGCATTAGTTTGGAGACTTGTAGCCCACAAAAATTTAGGATTTTGTCCAAACTGCCGAAAAACTCAAGAACAGCGAACAACAGGTATACTATAGCTTTTCTTTTGAAGCATAATTTTTCTCTCTTCAGTCTCCATTTTTATTAAAAACAAATCATGATAGAATGATTTGTTTACAAAATAAACTTTAGTCTTATTATACTTGGCCTGATTATTTGCACAAAGCACACCAAGAATAACTATTTTTCACATAGGCCTTTAAAATTGGCTTTGATGGAACTCTGTTCTGTAAGGAATCTCAAATAAGACTTTTTTAAAGCTAAGCCCAGCCATGGGTTTGTACACTCAAATACCTATGAGTTGGGTAAATTTCTCTCCTCCTGAGGTCCCAAGAAAACTTGGGTCTCCTGAGACTGTTAGAAAGTGACATTCTTTACTTACCACAGGTCAGGAACTTTGAACAGGGACTGTGTAGACAAGGTATAAGGCCAGATTTCCCAAGGGGCTTTTATTAGCTCAATAACTCAACTTTGATTCTCCTTTTTTTTTTTTCTGAGACAGAGTTTCACTCTTGTTCCCCAGGCTAGAGTGCAATGGCACGATCTCAGCTCACTGTGACCTCTATCTCCCGGGTTCAAGTGATTCTCCTGCCTCAGCCTCCAGAGTTGCTGGGATTACAGGCGCCTGTCACCATGCCCAGCTAATTTTTGGAATTTTTTTTCTTTTTAGTAGAGATGGGGTCTCACCATGTTAGCCAGGCTGGCCTCAAACTCCTGACCTCAGGTGATCCGCCTGCCTCAGCCTCCCAAAGTGCTGGGATTACAGGCATGAGCCACCTCGCCCAGCCAACTTTGATTCTTTAAAAAAAGCATGCCATTCTAGTCAAAGCCTTGATAAAATAACCAGTTTCTCCCATTGTGTCCTGTTACAAAAGAAAACAGATTATCATTGTACTTATGCAAATAACTATACTGCCATATGTTGAGAATATTCACAAATAGTTTCCAAATTCTGGAAAAATCAGGTAGGGAGAAACAAATATACTCCAAATTTTTTCACAGGAGTATATTTTATTCAACTGTTAAAAGCTGTAAGTAGCTTAAAAGAAAAGTTTTCTTGGCTCTGGAAAACAAAAAGGATCAGCAATGTTTTAAGCAAAAAAGTTAATACAAAAGATTACTGGGCTAGGCTCAATGGCTCACACCTGTAATCCCAGTACTTTGGGAGGCCAAAGTGGGTGGATCACCTTAGGCCAGGAGTTCGAGACCAGCCTGGCCAACATGGTGAAACCCCATCTCTACTAAAAATACAAACATTAGATGGGCATGGTGGTGAGTACCTGTAATCCCAGCTACTTGGGAGGCCGAGGCAGGAGAATCACTTCAACCCGAGAGGCAGAGGTTGCAGTGAGCCGAGATGATGTCACAACAGTCCAGCCTGGGAGACAAGAGCGAAACTCCATTTCAAAAGAAAAAAAAAAAAAGATTACTTCAGTTTTCTATTAGTTCAATCAATTCCATTAACTCCTGTTCTGTTTGATATTTATGAACATTTCAGCTCCCCATGAGAGTCCTGGAAGTTATTTCCTCTATTCTAATGTCACATTCTCCAAAGTTATTGGAAACCTGAATTCAAGAGCACCTGTCAAAGTTCTAGAGCTGATTATAAACCACCTTTTGAAGAGCATCAAACAAGACAACAATTGTCTGTGGATGACAACAATTGTCTGTGGATGACAACAAATCTTAGGACGGCCATTATTAAAGCCACAGTTGACTAGGAATTTGGTTACTTCTGTGGCATACAACAATTTTACATACAAATTATAACTATTATATTAACAGCATACATTCAATCATATCAGAATTATAGGAGTTTCTCATAATTTTGGAACACATACTAATAACATATTTATACAAATACAGCCCAAAGAAAGCCAAACAACATTTTATATTTGACAATGCTTCCTGTATGATTTTTATACCACGTAAGCCAGATGTCATTTTTGGACATTAGAGGACCTAATATCTAAAAGATTAGGTTAGAAAGAGACATAATTATAATCAAATTATAATTTATAATTTGATTTTGGAAAGTTTGTCAAATATCAAAGATTTATTTTGTGGATATCACAAAATAGAATCCCAGGTCACCATAAGTCATTCATTTGACCAAAATGATAACTCCAAAATTTTAAAAAGAAAAACCCTTTACTCTGATAGAGGAGACATAGCTTTCCAAACAAGAAGACCCAATGAAGATAGCATGAGGCCAACTGAATCGTATCTTCTCTCTCCTCCCCTTTTTCCCTGTAGTTTACCCAAAGGGGCAAACAAAACCCTTTCATTTTCTTTTACTATAAAAAATCTTTTACATAATCTTTTATGTAAAAAATCTTTTACATAAAAATCTTTTTCAAAAGAGAAAACCAAATTTAATGTTTGTATTAGTGCATTTTTAATGCTAAGGCTGGTTTTACAATAAAAATTTACAAATGTATTCAGTCTTAATTAGTCTGACCATAAGGTAAGATTTTCATAAACTTTTTTGAACACTTTATAATTTTTCATTAAACAGTCGATCAGTTTTCTAAGAAAACCCTGTTATTTGGACACCTGGGCTCAGATTCTGGCCCTGTATTCGTGTGCTTTTATTTTAATGTTCAACCTACAGAAAAAAAAATTAAATAATCCCCTTCCAATATTAGCCAACTTGCTCATACCCACAGAACTTTTTTTTACAAGACCAACCCTTCATAAGCCCTTTTCACTTTGTTTAAACCTCCAGTTTTGTCCCATTACTCTTTTAGGTTAAGATAATCTTTAAACCCTCTGAACTAGACAAAATTATATTCCTTTTTTGTTTTGTTTTGTTTTTGATATGGAGTCTTGCTCTGTCACCAGGCTGGAGTGCAGTGGTGCAATCTTGGCTCACTGCAACTTCCATATCCCAGATTCAAGCAATTCTCCTGCCTTAGCCTCCTGAGTAGCTGGGACTACAGGCATGTGCCATCGCATCCAGCTAATTTTTGTATTTTTAGTAGAGACAGGGTTTCACCATTTGGCCAGGATGGTCTCGATCTCTTGACCTTGTGATCCACCTGCCTCAGCCTCCCAAAGTGCTGGGATTACAAGCGTGAGCCACCGCGTCTGGCAACATTCCCTTTAATAAAAGCCATATTCCCATGCCTTCCTATAATCTTTTACTTTCCTTACACACCTTACATGTAGAACTGTTTCTCCAGTGGTCTCAATTACATGTTACAATGTTACCTCTTAGCAGCTTTTATTTTTGGTGAAAACCTGATAAGTGATTTTAATTATGTACTAGGTGTGGAGTCTAGGACATCAGACAGAAGTGAAGATAAGGCCTAACTCTTTCCAAAGTAGGCAAATTAAACAATTTTCAAAAGTCAAAGAAACAGCTTACAACCTTAAAACATTTAGTAAATCTGATATCTGACGTTAATTTAGACCAAATGTCTACATTTTGAAGACATTTTTGTTTTTATCAATAATTTCTAAAACTGTCTTTATTTCCAAAAGATTATTAAAGTCACGTGTACAAAAGGCATTAAAGTTTCTCTTTTTCTGACAAAATATTTGATTTCGGCATCTATTTTTAAGCCAATTAAACAGAGTTCTTTTTGTGTAAATATTACACACACAACACATATGAATACAGACAGATAGAAGATTCAGCACTTGTAAGATTTTTTATTTACCAGTTTCTTAATTGGATTACTGGCTTCAGGGTGGAGGAACAGGGCCAGGAAACCATGCAGTTTCTGGGGCCTAATAAGGAGGCACAGCTGGAAAGGAGAGACAGATCCCCCAAATTAGGGTGCCATTCTATATGTATCCTGGATCCCTAAAAAGGAAAGAAATACTACAGGAGAAGACAGTGCAGTGCTTCCACCACACATGTCATCGCAAGGAAAACCAAAGCCAATCAGCCCATTTTGTAACCAGCCAATCCCCCATGGGAGTCTCATCTCTCAGTGGGGGTTGGGGATGTTTCCGTATCTTCCAGGTGGCCAAGAGCATGTTTCTCTGATCCAAGCTTGCAAAGAGCTAAGTATGTCTTCATAACTGACATTAGCCAATTCTTAAAGTATATTTTTTACCTAGTTATTATATATCAAGCCCTCCTATAATTCAAAGTAATTTTTGATACCCCCAAGACTCAAAACCGTTAGATAGCACAATGCAAAACAGAACAGACTTAGATTTTGAGGGGGACCTATCTGCTTTTAATTCCTGGGGTTTCATGAGGAAAACAGGGTTTTTTCCCAAAATGGGGTCTATAGCACCTCCTCTGTTTTTCCCAAGGAATCTCAGGCTACCAGAAGTTATCTTAGGGCCTCTCATGTGTGCATTAATAGTGGTAAGACAAAATGGAGAAAAATAATTCAGTCGACTAAAAGAAAAAAAAAACCTTTTTCCAGCAAAACAAGATCCATGAAAAGAAAAGCATAAAGACCTTTTAAATATACCTACAGCTTGCTTATGCACTTTTAATTAAGTTGACTTTTAACCATAGTGGTCTTTAAAAAAATCCTTTCACATCTCTGATTACCTGACTTTATCCATGCAGTCAATATTTCTGGCTTTTGAACTTTACCAAAAGTAACCAACCTCCCAGGTGCTTCAAAGGCATGGTAAGCAGTTTCTTTTTTACTAGATTTAGAATCTCCCTAAGGTAGTTCAGAGAAAGAAAAATTCAAGAGAAGAAATCAGAAGCTATCCATAAAAACCTCAAATGGCAAAGTTACACACATAACAAACCAGAAAGGAATCATTCCAGAAGCCAAGAATTGAACCCAGGCCACCACTGTCAAAAGATAAACCCTTAGTTACTGAACTATACAGCATTGAGCAGTTTCTATTGCTTTTCCCAAAAGGAGCCTAGAGAGGCCAATTTTGAGTTTGAGAAGGCTTTTAACTGCTCAAGATAATTCTTAGGGCTGTGACATGAACCTCAAAATTCCTGTCCTCTGGATGGCAGAAACCAAGATAAAGTATCCCCACAAGGTTAAGCTCTTAAGGACACAAAACAAGACCGATCTTACCGAGTATTGTTTTCAGGGACCCGTAGCATAGTTTGTAATTGACCAGTCTGCTGGGTTGGCTTGAAAAATGGGCTTATAGGGATCCTAAACCCACATTGTATCCTGTGATACTCCTTTCTCCATTACAGAATATAGAAAGACAAACTTTTAGTACAAAGTACACCAGATTTGCTACAGCCTAAGACCAGTCTCACAAATCCATTTTTCTATTAATCAAACTCTTGCAGAGGAGACAAATATAGTGACATTTACCATTTATGCAGACAGAGAAAGAGAGACCAGAAACTTGGCTGGTAAGAATTTCTTATCCTTTTTTGGCATACCAGATTTATGGGTTCCCTTTCTCTGCAGCTTCCAGAAGAATGGAGCACCTTCTGATGACCCTGCTCGCTGTGCCATAGCTGTGGGATTCAAGCCACTTTACAAAAGAAAATCACCCTTTTCTGTTTTATGGAACCATAGGCAAAAGATAATCAATTTGCAAGATGTTGCCCAATGGGCTGCATTGGGGAACTGAATGAACATTTTCCATCCCAGCAAAATACACAAAACAAAACAGACACTAGTCACCCCATTCAGCACCCAATATCAACCTAGCAAAGCTCAAACTTTCTCCAGACGGTCCCTGTTGTCTTTGATCCATTCCAGCTGGGGAGGGATGACCTCCAAATGATAATTCACAGTGGGGTCTCTGGGCAAGGCAAAGAGCCAATAGTCACCCCGAGAAAGGCCTATCGAGCTTTCTTCAGGGCTCACCAAATGTGACCAGACAAATAAGGAGGATTCTCCAAGTTAGGCCTGCTGGACTTCCATCAGCAATTTCTTCTGAGATCCCCTCCACATATACAAACACACACAAAGACACGACAGACAGAAGGCCTTCCAAATCAGATCCCCAACAAAGAACTCAAGAGTATCCCTCCCAAACTATCTTCCTATTCTCTGTCTGAGAAATCTCCCCAAAATCTTCTGGACTGAGAAGAAGTCTCCCCAACCAAGATTCTTCCTACTAGTTAGGGAGAGCCAACAGAGACCCCCTAGGAGCCAAACTGAGACAGACACCCCGCAATGGGGCTACAGACAAACAGACACCCCACCAGGGGGCTACAGAACCAGTCGGGAGAAGGAAGGGGTCATTGGCGGTACCTAGAATGCTCATCAACCCAGACCCCCACAATGGGATGCAGACAGACACCCCACCATGGAGCTACAGACAGACACCCTGTGATAGTGCTACAGTTAAGGGATATCGCCCCAGGACTATTTCTCCATTGCAATTAAATCCATGCACATTGGGTTGGCAGCACCCCGCCAGTAGAGAGTACCAAAGTCAGCCCCTAGTCCAAGAGAACTAGGCAGATGCTTGGGCTAGCCTCTGGATCCATCGCTAGAGAGGGGCTACCAAACCACGGGCAGGTAGCTGCAAGGGCAATCCTGATGAGCCTCGAAATTTGTAACCACCCAGTGGGTTCACTTTGCCCACTGCCTAGACAGAGTGGATTTATCAAGACAGGGGAATTGTAATAGAGAAAGAGTAATTTACACAGAGCTGGCTGTGTGGGAGACTGGAGTTTTGTTATTGATCAAATTAGTCTCCTGGAGCATTTGAGGATCAGAGTTTTTAAGGACAACTTGGTGAGTCAGGGGAAGCCAGTGAGCCAGGAGTGCTGATTGGTTAGGCAAGAGATAAAATCATGGGACGATGAAGCTGTCCTCTTGAACTGACTGTTCCTGGGTGGGCGCCACAAGATCAGATGAAGCAATTTTATCGATCTGGGTGGTACCAACTGATCCATAAGGTACAGGGTCTGCAAAATATCTCAAGCACTGATCTTAAGAACAATTTAGGGAGGGTCAGAATCTTGTAGCCTCCAACTACACGACTCCTAAACCAGAATTTCTAATCTTGTGGCTAATTTGTTAGTCCTACAAACACAGTCTAGTCCCCAAACAAGAAAGAAGTTTCTTTTGGGAAAGGGCTATTATTGTCTTTGTTTTAAACTGTAAACTATAAACTAATTTCCTCCCAAAGTTAGTTCAACCTATGCCCAAGAAGGAACAAGGACAACTTAAAGATTGAAACCAAAATAGAGTCAGTTCGTTTAAGTCTTTTTCACTGTCTCAATCATAATTTTGCAAAGGGGATTTCAGGATCAACTCAAACAGAACACCACCAAGACACATTATATAATCAAATTTTTGAAAGGCAAAGTCAAAGACAATCCTGAGAGCTGCCTGAGAGCTGTTACTTGTCAGTATAAGTGATCCTCAATCAGATTAACAGCCAATTTCCCATCAAAAACAATGGGGTTCAGAAGGTAGTGGGATAACATATTTAAAGTGCTGAAATTATTTTTTTTAACTATCAACCAAGAATCCTACATTCAGAAAAGCTAGCCTTCATAAATGAAGGATAAATTAAGACATTCATAAATAAACAGAAGCCAACTGAGTTCATTGCTGGCCAATCTGTCCTATAAGGAATGTTAAAGGAAATCCTTTGGACTGAAATGGAGAATAACAAACAGTAGGTCTAAGCCATAGAAGAAAATAAAGAACGCAGGTTAAATAAATATAAAAGCCAGTATTGTTGTACTTCTAGTTTGTAAATCCTTTTTTTTTTTTTTTTTTTTAAGATGGAGTCTTGCTCTGTCACCAGGCTGGAGTGCAGTGGCGTGATCTCGGCTCACTGCAACCTCCACCTCCCGGGTTCAAGTGATTCCCCTGCCTCAGCTTCCCAAGTAGCTGGGACTACAGGCGTGTGCCAGCACGCCCGGCTAGTTTTTTCTGTTTTGATAGAGACGGGGTTTCACCATGTTGGCCAGGATGGTCTCAATCTCCTGACCTTCTGATCCACCCGCCTCAGCCTCCCAAAGTGCTGGGATTACAAGTGTGAGCCACTGTGCTGTGAATCCTCTTTTTAAAATAGGATTTAAAAGACAAATGCCACCAGGCGTGGTGGCTCACGCCTATAATCCCAGCACTTTGGCAGGCTGGGGCAGGCAGATTACTTGAGGTCAGGAGTTCAAGACCAGCCTGGCCAACATGCTGAAACCCCATCTCTACTAAAAATACACAAATAAGCCAGGCGTGGTGGCAGGTGCCTGTAATCCCAGCTACTTGGGAGGCTGAGGCAGGAGAATCACTTGAACCTGGGAATCGGAGGTGACAGTGAGCCAAGATTGTGCCACCACACTCCAGCCTGAGTGACAGAGCAAGACTCCATCTTAAAAAAAAAAAAAGACAAATAACTAAAACAATAATCATAAATCTATGTTGCTGGGCACAGAATGTAAAAAGATGTAATATGTGACACTAACAATGTAAAGAGGGAAGGACAGAGAAGTACAATAGTAGAACTTTTGTACACTATTGAAACTAAGTTGGTATAAATTTAAAATAGGTTGTTATAAATTTGTTAATTGTAATCCCTGTGGTTACTACTAAGAAAATAAAATATTCAGAAAGTAAATGAAAAGGGAAACAAAATGGCACACTACCAAAAGACCACTTAAACACCAAAGAATGCAGCAATGGGGGAATAGAAGGGAAAACCAAATACCTAACGCACGCGGGGCTTAAAACGTAGGTGATGGATTGATAGGTGCAGCAAACCACCATGGCACATACATACCTACTTAACAAACCTGCACATTCTGCACATGTATCCCAGAACTTAAAGTAAAATAAAATAACAGGTATAAGGCATTAAAAAAAAATAAGAAAATGGCAGAAGTCCTTCCTTATTAGTAATTACTTTAAATGTAAGCTGATTAAACACTTCAATTAGGCCGGGCACTGTGGCTCATGCCTGTAATCCCAGCACTTTGGGAGGCTGAGGCGGGCGGATCACGAGGTCAGGAGATCGAGACCATCCTGGCTAACATGGTGAAACCCCGTCTCTACTAAAAAATATAAAAAATTAGCCAGGCGTGGTGGCGGGCGCCTGTAGTCCCAGCTACTCGGGAGGCTGAGGCAGGAGAATGGCCTGAACCCGAGAGACGGAGCTTGCAGTGAGCAGAGATCGCGCCACCGCATTCCAGCCTGGGCGACAGAGCAAGACTCCGTATCAAAAACAAACAAACAAAAAAAACCAAAACACAAACAGCAACAACAAAAAACACTTCAATTAAAAGACAGAGATTGGCAGAATGGATTATTTTATTTTATTTTATTATTTGAGACGGAGTTTTTCTCTGTTGCCCAGGCTGGGGTGCAATGGCGCAGTCTCGGCTCACTGCAGTCTCTGCCTCCCAGATTCAAGTGATTCTCCTGCCTCAGCCTCCTGAGTAGCTGGGATTACAGGCACCCACCACCATGGCCAGCTAATTTTTGTATTTTTAGTAGAAACGAGGTTTCACCATGCTGGACGGGCTGGTCTCAAACTCCGGACCTCAGGTGATCCACCCACTTCAGCCTCCCAAAATGCTAGGATTAGAGGCGTGAGCCACCACACCCAGCCTTTTTTTTTTTGAGATGGAGTCTCGCTCTGTCGCCCAGGCTGGAGTGTAGTGGCGCGATCTCGGCTCACTGCAACCTCCCCCCTCCCGGGTTCATGCCATTCTCCGGCCTCAGCCTCCCGAGTAGCTGGGACTACAGACTCAACGCTACCACGCCCGGTTAATTTTTTGTATTTTTAGTAGAGATGGAGTTTCACCGTGTTAGCCAGGATGATCTCGATCTTTTTCTTTTTTTTTTTTTTTGAGACGGAGTCTCGCTCTGTCGCCCAGGCTGGAGTGTAATGGCACCATCTCAGCTCACTGCCATCTCTGCCTCCCGGGTTCAAGCCAGTCTCCTGCCTCAGCCTCCTGAGTAACTGGGATTACAGGTGTGCACCACCACTCCTGGCATTTTTGTAGAGATGGGGTTTCTCCATGTTGGCCAGGCTGGTCTCAAACTCCTGACTTCAAGTAATCCACCCGCCTCAGCCTCCCAAATGCTGGGATTACAGGCGTGAGCCACTGTGCCCAGCCTAGAATGGATTGTTTAAATAATACATTGATATACTGTCTACAAAAAACTTACTTTAGATCCACACACAAACCATTGAAAGAGAACAGAAAAACATATTTCACACAAGTAGTAACCAAAAGATAGCTGAGGTGGTTATATCAATATCAAGCAAAATAAACTTTAAGCCAAAAATTGTTACAGGAGATCAAAGAAGACATTATATATTGATAAAGTTTCAATCCACCGAGAAGATATAATAATTATAAACATATACACACCTAACAATGGAGTCCCAAAATATATAAATTGAAAATTGACAGAAAGGTGGAGAAATAGTTCTACAAAACAGTAGGAAACTTAAATATCCGACTTTCAATAAGGCATAAAGCAAATCCATTAAAGAAGTTTTATTGAAAAAAAAAGATCAATTAGGAAGTAGAGGACTCGAACAACTCTATAAACCAACCAGATGTAACAAACATATATACAACACCCAGTCAAATAATAATAAGGCTGAGTGTGGCAGCTTATACCTGTAATCCAAGCACTTTGGGAGGCTGAGGTGAGAGGATAGCTTGAGCCCAGAAGTTCAAGACCAGCCTGGGCAAGGTAGTGAGACTCTGTCTCTACAAAAATTTTTAAAAATTAGCCTGGGGTAGTAGTGCATGCCTGTAATCCCAACTACTTTGGAGAGTGAAGCTGGAGGATCATTTGAGCCCAGGAGTTTGGGGCTGCAGTGACTATGATTGTGCCACTGCACTCCAGCCTGGAGGAGAGAGTGAGACCCCGTGTCAAATAATAATAATACAGCAGACATTCTTCTTGAGTGCACGTGGACCATTCTTTCTCCAACACAAACCATATGTAAATCAACAAAATATGTCTCAATAAATTTTAAAAGATTGAAATTCTACAAAGTATTTTCTCTACCACAATGGAATGAATCCAGAAGTCAATAAAAGAAGAAAAACTGGAATATTCACAAATATGTGGAAATTAAACAATATACTGTCTTAAACAGCAAGTGGGTCAAAGAGGAAATCACAAGAGAAATTATAAAATACTTTGAGACAGGCTGGGAGCAGTGGCTCATGCCTGAAATTCCAGCACTTTGGGAGGCCAAGGCATGTGGATCACTTGAGGCCAGGAGTTCGAGACCAGCCTAGGCAACACAGTGAAAACCCTTCTCTACTAAAAATATAAAAATTAACGGGGCATGGTGGTGCATGCCTTTAATCCCACCTACTCAGGAGGCTGAGGTAGGAGAATTGCTTGAAGCCAGGAGGTGGAGGTTGCAGTGAGCAGAGATCGCGCCACTGCACTACAGCCTGGGCAACAGAGCAAGACTCTGTTTCAAAAAAAAAAGAAAGAAAGAAAGAAAAGAAAAGAAAAAAGAAAAAAATGCTCTAAGACAAATGGAAGTAAAAACACAACATATCAAAATTTATGGAATGCAGCAAAAGCAGTGTTCAGAGGAAAATTTATACCTATAAACACCTATACTTTTAAAAAAAACAAAGATCACAAGTCAATATATATATAAGGAGCTGAATATATAAAGAACTCTCACGATTCAACAAGAAGATAACCCAATTTTAAAATGAGCAAAAAGGACAGGCATGGTGGCTCTCACCTGCAATACCAGTGCTTTGGGAGGCTGAGATGGGCGGATCACTTGAGGCCAGGAGTTCAAGAGCAGCCTGACCAACATGACAAAACCCCATGTCTACTAAAATACAAAAATTAGTTGGGCATGGTGGCATGTGCCTGGAATCCCAGCTACTCGGGAGTCTGAGGCTGGAGAATTGCTTGAACCTGGGAGGCAGAGGTTGCAGTCAGCCGAGGTCACGCCACTGTACTCCAGCCTAGGCAACAGAATGAAACTCTGTCTCAAAAATAAATAAGTAAATAAATAAATAAAAATAAAATGGGCAGAAGGGACAGGCGCAGTGGCTCACATCTGCAATCCTAGTGCTTTAGGAGGCTGAGTCAGGAGGATCATTGGAGGCCAGGAATTCAAGACCAGCCCGGCCACCATGGTGAACCCCCATCTCTACTAAAAATAAAAATAAAAACATAAGTAGAGGAATTTAAATGGCAGAAAAATTAAAATTAAAGTAAAAATGCTTTAAAAGCAACAGTGATCTTAAACGAAATTTACTAATTTCTATGTGACTATTTCATTTATAAAATTAGTAAATTTCATTTAAATTAAGATCACTTTTAAATTAGGATCACTTCATAAATGAAATAATATCTATCTTCCTTCCATGATGAAGTAATGGGGATCAGATTTACTGTTCTGTTTTAAACAACCACCAAAAAAACCCATCAAAGTGTATGGAACAATGATTCCCAGACCTTAAACAACAGATGGCACCCCATCTCCTAGGAGAGCAACCCCTAGGAGACGACAAACCAACCAGGTGAGGTTTATGATTGTCCCATCTTCCTGTCTGGAGAGTTTTTGGACAATGGAGCAGGAAGGGAGAACCCAAAAGAGCCTGGCAGTCCCTGAGTTGAGGAGACAAGTTGAGAATTCAAGGAGGCCAAAGCTAAAGAAAGAAGAACCATAGGGGAGAGAGGTTCCCCAGGAGGGTGGGGGGCTGGGGAGTGGGGGAGGCTCTGCAATTCTTCTCTCAAGCCTTCACCTGAGTATTGATCGCTCTGTGCATTTGAGAAAAACACTGAAGGTCTGTTGGACAGGTGGGTAGATGAAAAAGAAAAAAACAAATACTGAAAGCCAGGGAAAGGACCACAAGACAAGAGCAGGAAGAACAACACCAGAGCTTCCATAGGGCTGGAAATAGTTCTGCCAGCCAGCCTAGAAACATCTCACAGTATCTGGGTAATCAGAAAGAAGGGTATAGCCTCAGTTGTGGTTCCAAATTAGCCTTAGGACAGCTGCTCTAGCCCTGCCCAACAACGCTGGAGATCAAGCCTGGAAAGAATCAAACTATTCCGGGAGGTGGGGGGAAGCCCCCACCCGGCCAGCCGCCCCGTCCAGGAGGTGGGGGGCAGCCCCCACCTGGCCAGCTGCCCCGTCCGGGAGGTGGGGGGCGGCCCCCGCCCAGCCAGCCGCCCCGTCTGGGAGGTGGGGGGCACCTCTGCCCGGCTGCCCCATCTGGGAAGTGAGGAGCCCCCCTGCCCGGCCACCACCCCGTCTGGGAGGTGTACCCAACAGCTCATTGAGAACGGGCCATGATGATGATGGCGGTTTTGTCAATAGAAAGGGGGGAAGTGTGGGGAAAAGAAAGAGAGATCGGATTGTTACTGTGTCTGTGTGGAAAGAAGTAGACATAGGAGACTCCATTTTGTTCTGTACTAAGAAAAATTCTTCTGCCTTGGGATCCTGTTGATCTGTGACCTTACCCCCAACCCCGTGCTCTCTGAAACATGTGCTGTGTCCACTAAGGGTTAAATGGATTAAGGGCAGTGCAAGATGTGCTTTGTTAAACAGATGCTTGAAGGCAGCATGCTCGTTAAGAGTCATCACCACTCCCTAATCTCAAGTACCCAGGGACACAAACACTGTGGAAGGTGGCAGGGCTCTCTGCCTAGGAAAACCAGAGACCCTTGTTCAGATGTTTATCTGCTGACCTTCCCTCCACTATTGTCCTATGACCCTGCCAAATCCCCCTCTCTGAGAAACACCCAAGAATGATCAATAAATACTAAAAAAAAAAAAAAAAAAGAATCAAACTATTGGCAGGTAACTTCATTGCACGCAGAACAAGAATATTTAAAGAAAGGGGAAAATATCCAGCAAGGTTAAATTCACAATGCCTGGCATCCAATCCAAAATTACTAGGTGTGGCTGGGCACGGTGGCTCAGGCCTGTAATCACAACACTTTGGGAGGCCAAGGTGGGCAGATCACTTGAGCTCAGGAGTTCAAGACCAACCTGGGCAACATGGTGAAACCACATCTCTACTAAATATACAAAAATACAAAAAAAAAAAAATAGAAAATTACTAGGTGAAAAAGAAGCAGGAAAATAAGGCTCCTAATGAGCGTAAAAATCAACTAGTGGCCAGATGTGGTGGAAAAATACAGAAATTAGTTGGGCATGGTGGCAGGCACCTGTAATTCCGGCTACTCCGGAGGCTGAGACAGGAGAATCGCTTGAACCCAGGAGGGGGAGGTTGCAGTGAGCCAAGATTGCGCTATTGCACTCCAGCCTGGGTGGGACCAGAGCAAGACTCTGTCTCAAAAAAAAACGAAAAGGAATTATGGCTCCGGGACAGGTGTAACCCACCTTCCCTGTAAGGACAAAGGAAAGGGGCATTTTACTGGAGCTACCATGAGGCCATCACCGGCCAGCGCCCAATTCTGGTACTTGCCACAACAAGGTGATCTGGGGACCAGGTAACCATCCCCTGGTAACCCCAGTGTCCTCTATGCAGGCTGCTGGGGAAGGAGCATGAAGCCTGGTGCTGCCTGGTCCTGCTCCTTGCTGTGTCCCAGCTTCCACAGGGAAGGAGAAGGGGAACAGCTCTTAGGTCCCTATGGCAGGCTGGGATTTTTGACTTATTAGACTTCACCTTACTTAGTGACACTGTTTAGGACTTTTGGACCACATCAGTGATCCGGGAGAAGGCATGACCAGCATTGTTATCCCCATTTTGCAGATGAGGAAATTGAGGGACCGTTGGTGATATTCCTGGCCACAGGCCACATCATTCGACGGGGCAGGGCTGAGACACAGGCTCCCAGCCAGCACTGTCCTCTGCTCCCTGGTGATTTGCAGGCATTTACAGGTGCCAGGCTCACTGCCCAGGTGTGTGAATATAAACATGACCCTTATCTGGGCTCCACACAACTCTCCTACCTGGCCTCCAGCCTCTACCCACTGACACTGAACCTTTCAATCGGCCATCAGCCTGAGACACAGATTCAACCATTCGCCCCCAAACTGGGAGTGCTTCTGGGTCCCCAGCTTCCTGTGGGCAATGTACATGGAGAGCAGAAGACATATTTTGGTGACAGATGTCAGCAAGAACACCTCATTTCTAGAAGTAGCAGTGGCCAATAGGAGATAGACCACAGGAAGAAAAGATGAGAAAATATGGAGAGTTTTTCACCTGGTGAGACTTGGTGGGAGGTAGGAGCTGCCTCCAAGTCTAGACACTGACGATGCTCTACCCTTCCCCTCCCAACCTCTCCAGGCTCAGCGAATCACACCCCTCTCTGGCCTACATTTGGGAGCTGATGTGCAGAAAAGCAAGGACAGCAGATGCGTATTTTGGCGGCAGAGAAGAGCCTCGTGGACAGAGGCAACAATGGACAATAAGATGTGACCGAGAGGGGCTGGCTGGTACGAGTGCTGCGGTGTATATAACTATGGGTCACGACAGATTTCTTTGTTCTTTCCCCACTCCCACTGCTTCCTTTGACTAACTTAAAAAAGAATATGGACAACAGGGAAGAAAAGTTAAGAAAAGCAGAGAGTTGATCCAGAAGGCCTGATATATACCTCTTAGGTGTGGTGCACATTAAGTGCAGAAAGTCTGAATGTGATGTCGTGGGAGGAAACTCCCAAGAGCATCGTATGAGAAACATTTCCAGAAACAGAGGCAAGAATATCCCAATTGGAAGGTCTTCCTCTCAGTGTTCAGAAAATTGGGTGAAAGTACGCCTAGCCAAAACACAGCATGCCCAGGAACTAGGGTTCTCTAAGACCCAGCCTCTAACAGTCCTGAAAGGCCTGGGTAGGTCCACTTTGACCCTGGCCCCTGGGGATCAGGCTGGGAGGTGGCTCACAGCCCAGCCTCATCTTCTGTTTGCAGACAGCAGGAACTAATGAGGCAGGAGAATAGGGAATTAGAGTCACGGGGGTTAAGGCAGAAGCAAAAGGACAGCAGGTGCAGCCAGTTCTAGGCAGCACACAGGCCACATCCTCACTCCCGTGATAACAAGACAGCAGTTTCCACTTCAGCCCCGGCTTTGCAGTGGCTCATACCTGTAATCCCAACACTTTGGGAGGCTGAGGCGGGTGGATCACCTGAGGTCAGGAGTTCGAGACCAGCCTGGCCAACATGGTGAAGCCCCGTCTCTACTAAAAATACAAAAATTAGCCAGGCCTGGTGGCGGGCACCTTGTAATCCCAGCAGCTCAGGAAGCTGAGACAGGAGAATCTCTTGAACCTGGGAGGGGGAGGTTGCAGTGAGCCAAGATGGCGCTATTGCACTCCAGCCTGGGTGACAGAGCAAGACTCTGTCTTACAGTAGGGAAGGAGAGAGCCTCGGAGGAGGGGGCAGGTCGGACCCGGTCCACCCCCGGCGTGGCACCCTCAGCCCTTTCCAGCTCCCGGTGCCTCTTAACATTGCTGGCAGGTGTGAGCCTGGGGTCGTGCCAGCCTCTGAGCGAGCTCGGCCCCTTACTCACCATTTCCAGCCTCACCTTCCTCTCCCATGAAGGGGGCACGAGGGTAACAGCTCCCTCGTGGGAGTGCAAGGCTGGTACGGGCTTTAGCTGCAACTCTGAGCCCTTTCACCGAAAACGACTCAGAGAACGAAACAGCTGCACAGAACATTAGCATCCACCCCCACCCCAGAGACGGCTTCCCGGAGCTCAACAGAGGAGGGCAGGTATGCAGGTGGGAGGAAGAGGAACGTGGCCTCCCTCCATGTGGCTCCTGGTCTGAAGGCCCCAACTCAGACATCTCCAGCCTCCCATGGGGCAGCTGCCTGAGTGGCAGGTGGTGTCTGGGGCCAGGAGACCTGATTCTGCCTAGCTGGGCCTCAGTTTCCCAGGAGGCGACCTGGACAGAGTTACACCGCCCCTCTCAGTGGCACCTGGCTTGGGACTCCCTCCCTCCCCTCTGCTCTTCCTTCTCTTTACTCCTGGGGTCTTCCAGGAAAGTGCCGATCCCGGAGTAAGATTTGGGGGGCAGTTTCTGTGCTGGCCTCAAGCCCTCGGCTCACCCCTTCCCCAGCGGCAGAGCGAGGGCATCTGGTGCTCCAAGAAGAAGAGCTGGGCTAGGAGCTTAGTGTGTTCCCCACGTCACGGGGCCTCTTCCACCCCCTGGCTCATGGACCCCATGTTGGCTGCACTACAGAGGCCGGCCAGGCTTCCAGATGCCGGCAACTCCCCTCCCGGGACCAGCCTTCTGGAAGGGGGTGTTGAGCCCGTGAGGAGCTCCATGAGTGGGGAAGCAGGTGGGGACGGCCGTGTGCACAGCATTACTTTGGCAGCTGATGGGCGGGAGGACAGGTCCAGGCGGCCTCCAGGCACGTTCCTGTTTGTGTGACATTCACCGTGACATGCTGCATGCCGTGGCACACAGGGTCCTGTATTCAGATGAGCCAGGGCCTCGGAGGAACTCAGGCGGAGGAAAGAGCCGGAACACAAACACAGCGCGACCTTTCCCGGGAAGCAGCCCCTCCAGGAATGCGCCCCGGGCCCCCCTGCAGCGCCCTGGGCCCCCATGGCCAGGGGCAGATCCCCTCACTTCCACCATCCGTGACTCGGTTCAGTCCAGTTGAGCCCCAAAAGCCTCTGCTGAGCCCAGCCCGGAAGGGCGAGGGAGCCTCGGTGGCCAGAGAGGGCCGAGGCCTGTCAGGCTGACGGCTCCTTCGGGACAGGCACCCATCTGTGACGGGGACATGCAGGGACCACTGTGGCTGCCCTGGCCCAAGATGCCCCAGAAGCCAGGTGGGCAGGGCCCCTTCCTCCTCCAGGATGTGGGACTGGGCTGGGTTTTGAAGGATGGCAGCGGCCAGGTGGACTCAGGGCATGGACAGGGAAGGCCACGCAGGCCTAAAACACACAGACTCAGGTGGGCGGGAACTTCAAGGTCAAATCCCCGAGCCCTCGGAGGGGGACTCAGGAAATCAGTTGCTCAGTGGGGGGCAGAGTTTGGAGCCTTGGGGCAGGAGCCGTGTCCAGCAGAGGGGCTGCTGCCCGCCATGGCTGGCCTTGCCATTGGCTTTGGCCCCGGCCCCGGGGAAGTGCAAGGCGCAGGAGAGACACCACAAGGCCCTTGGGTGTCCTTCCTGCACCTTCCTTCGGTGGCAGGCGGGTGACGCATCTATGTCACTGCATCCACGTAAGATGCTCTGTTAGAAAAAAAACAAGAAGGAGGCCGGGCGTGGTGGCTCACGCCTGTAATCCCAGCACTGTGGGAGGCCGAGGCTGGCGGATCACAAGGTCAGGAGATTGAGACCATCTGGCTAACACGGAGAAACCCCGTCTCTACTAAAAATACAAACCAAAAAAAAATTAGCAGGGCATGGTGGCGGGTGCCTGCAGTCCCAGCTACTCAGGAGGCTGAGGCAGGAGAATGGTGTGAACCCGGGAGGCGGAGCTTGTAGTGAGCCGAGATCGTGCCACTGCACTCCAGCCTGGATGACAGAGCAAGACTCCGTCTCAAAAAAAAAATTATGAATCCAAATTAGATATGAAAATAAATATTTGAAGTGATAAAAAAACACACAAAGCTCACACATGAAAAAGCTGATAGGTGCACTAAACGTCATCAAATGGAAGCAAAAAACAAGATTTGATTAGTTACTCCCTGGCACACCTCTATCAAACTTATTTCTTCTATATCTCTTGGCTGCTACCCCTTGATTATTGCTTCCTATGAAAATAATTTTTCATAAATAGAATGGAAAGATAACTCCGCCTTCCTGCTGACGTGAGGTTCAGGTTGGTTTCTCATCATCGGTTGGGGGCTGAATGACACACGCGGCTGCCGTCATGATGTGTGTGTGGTGATGCTGCCACGGGCGTCACCCCGTAAGCAGCAGCTCCGATCAATTCTCCTTTGCGAGGTGACCACCAAAGGAGCGCAGAGCTGGCCGGGCATTCGTGCGTGTTCATGACCAAGAACTTTTCACAGAGAGAGAGAGGACTTCTGTCCTGACGAAGGGGCGCAGAGCTGGCCGGGGCATTCGTGCGTGTTCACGACCGAGAACTTTTCACAGAGAGAGAGAGGACTTCTGTCCTGATGAAGGAGCGCAGAGCTGGCCGGGGGCATTCGTACATGTTCATGACCGAGAACTTTTCACACAGAGAGAGGACTTCTGACCTGACAAAGGAGCGCAGAGCTGGCCGGGGCATTCGTGCGTGTTCACGACCGAGAACTTTTCACAGAGAGAGGACTTCTGTCCTGATAGACGTCGGTGAGGACTGAATCCCCACTTACAGGCGTGCACATCAGGGACTGATGGACATCGCTGAGGACCGATCCCAGCTTACAGGCGTGCACACTGGAGGCTCGGAAGAGCTGACTGTGACTCACTTCCGGCTTCCCCCCAGGACAAAACCTGCCTCTCCTTCCAGACTCGCTGACTTCCCTTCATGTCCCGCTGTGATGTGCAGTCCAGCATCCTTGGGTCATGACACCAGCTGCACTGGCACAGGGAATGAGAGAATATTCCTGAAAATGAAGACTACCGCGGAAGGCAGGAGCTTCTAAGCTAGAGTGACTGGCAGCTTCAACAGGCCCTGCTGCACCTGAACCAGCCCGGGGCCCCCCAGTGCCGCGGAAAGAGACAGCTGTGGCAGATTTCACAAACTCATGCCCAGGGGAGCTCCCGGCTTGCTCATGGCAAGGACCACACAGGGGCATCTTAGGGTCCGCGGGAGGCAGCGGAACTGTGGAGTCCCAGGGCACATTGTCTCCAGCTTCGCCAGCTGGGCCATTGCTCTCCAACGCCAGCACCCATGGGTACTTCCTGATGCACCTCATCCTACCCACGTTACTGTCAGAGTGAGGAATGCGCTCAGCCTCAGGCCCTGAGATTGTCCTCTCCTTACTCAGCTTCTCTTTCTGTCCTTGCAGCATCCGGTTCGCCTCTTCCCCCAACTGCCTTTTCGCATCCTCTGCCTTCTCTTCCCTGCAGTTGTCTGTGTCTACATCATTGGCAGGAGTTCCTCGTGCACTCTGCATGCTGAAACCGTGCAGATGGACACATGGCAGGGCTTTCCCTCCCGTCTGGCTTGCCTCCTGCCTCTGTTAAAGACATGACGTGACTCTTCAGCAGCTTTTGAACTTGCCTCTAGGTCACAAAGGGATTGTCTCATCGTTTCTACTACATATTTTTAAAGTTTTGCTTTTCATATGAATCCTTTTAATCTGTCCGGAATCAACTGTGTGCCGTGTGAGGTAGGAAAATAAATGGATATGTCCTTTTCGTACGGATAAAAGCTTCATTTATTCAATATTTTCCCCTCCAATGTTTTTGCTATGCCCCTTATTTTCCGATTCCATTTCCGGTCTGTTTCTGGACTCTCTCCTGTTCTGGTGATCCATCCATGCAGCCTCGTGACAACACCGCAGGCTTAACGACAGTGGCAAAGGATGCCGAGCTCCGCCGGCCGTGTGCCCCTGCTGCGCTTCCCTGAGGCACGTGAGCTTCTCTTTGGCCTCCATCTGCAGTGTCTGTCACCTCGCCTTTCCTAATGACGTTGAATTGCTGCTTTTCTCATTGTTTTCTTCATCAGTCTTGCCAGACGTCTACCCATTTTATTGTAGTTTCCTCTAAGAGCCAGTTTTGCGTTTGTGGGTTATCTCCAGTTTTTCTTTATTTTCTGGTCCACAGATTTCTCTTCTTTATTATTTCTGTCTTCAAATTTCTTTAGGATATGTGTTATTGCTTTTTTATTTGAATGTCTACTTTGTGTGTGTGTGTGTTTGTGTGTGTGTGTGTGTATGTGTGTGACAGAGTTTTGCTCTTGTTGTCCAGGCTGGAGTGCAATGGCATGATCTCGGCTCACTGCAACCTCTGCCTCCCAGGTTCAAGTGATTCTCCTGCCTCAGCCTCCTGAGTAGCTGAGATTATAGGCGCCCGCCACCTCGCCCAGCTAATTTTTGTATTTTTAGTAGAGACGGGTTTCACCATGCTGACCAGGCTGGTCTCAAACTCCTGACCTCATGATCTGCTCACCTCGGCCTCCCATAGTGCTGGGATTACAGGCATGAGCTACCACACCCGGACTAACTTACTTTTGTATTGTATAGTAATAGATGCATCTAATGCTGTAGACTTGAAGTTTATATTTCTTTTTATGTAACACTCTGTTCATTGTTGATTCTAGTTTTATTGCCTTGTAGCTAAAAAAGGCAGGCTCCACTGTGTGGGTTCTGTGAAATTCCCCATATTGCCTGGTATGTGGCCTATTCTTTAAACCACTCTATGGGTACTTTAAATATTCTATGTGTACTTAATTCTTAATTGTTCATTGTAACAATTATAACAATATAATTGTTTAGCTGTTGGAGCAGTGTCTTTGTACACTTTACAATTTTGGTTCCAAATCTTCAACGTTGGTGTGAACTTTTAAAATTCTTGGCCGGGCTCAGTGGCTCATGCCTGTAATCCCACCACTTTGGGAGGCTGAGGTGGGCGGATCACAAGATCAGGAGATCGAGACCAGCCTGACCAACATGGTGAAACCCTGTCTCTACTAAAAATACAAAAATTAGCCAGGCGTGGTGGCATGCACCTGTAATCCCAACTACTCAGGAGGCTGAGGCAGGAGAATTGCTTGAACCTGGGAGGTGGAGGTTGTGGTGAGCTGAGATCGCGCCATTGCACTCCAGCCTGGGCAACAAGAGTGAAACTCCAACTCAAAAAAAAAAAAAAAAAAAACAAAAGAAAAACCCTCTTGCTCTCTGCTTCTAACGGAGAAGTTCTGGCATCTTCCATTCTGACTGTGGATTTGACCCCTTTGTTCTTCAGTCTCTTTTGGCTTCCTGCATTTTGATGCAGTATGCCTTCAAATTCATGAACATTCGTCTTCTTGTGATTGTGCTTTTAATTGTTTTCATGTTGGCCCCCTTTCATCTATACTGATGAAAAATAAATCATGCTTTCATCTAACAGGCTTATTTGTTTATTTATTATTATTATTATTTTTGAGATGGAGTCTTGCTCTGTCACACAGGCTGGAGTGCAATGGTGTGATCTTGGCTCACTGCAACTTCCGCCTCCCAGGTTCAAGCGATTCTCCTGCCTCAGCCTGCTGAGTAGCTGGGATTACAGGTGCCCGCCACCAGACCTGGCTAATTTTTGTATTTTTAGGTGAGACGGGGTTTTGCCATGTTGGCCAGTCTGGCCTTGAACTCCTGACCTCAGGTGATCTGCCTGCCTCGGCCTCCCAAAGTGCAGGCATTGCGGGTGTGAGCCACCATTGCACCTGGTCCTTTATTTGTTTTGAAAATGTATTATCCCTGCCCACCCCGTTCCAGTTCCCTCTCACCATAGATCATTCTCCTGCACTTAACGGGCATCTTTTGTTCCTATGAACACCTGCATGTGGGCACATGTGTTTTGTGTGCATTTAGCACTCTTTAAATATCCACTAAAACAGAACCTTCCTCCCCCACCATTAAAGTCTGCACCAATCGTGTTTGTACAGCCAGCAGGTAGTTTGCTTTGCTGACATTGATCCCCCGCCCCCGGTCTGCTACAGAAGTGCTAAAATTCTCCCTTTCAAACTTCCTCTGATGGAAGCCAGTGAGTGGTAGAGGCTGTCCGTTGTTTTTTAACGTCTGAGATGTCTTTATTTTGCCTTCAATATTTTATGAAAGTTGTGCTGAGAATAGCATTCAAAGGTAAATGTTATTTTCCCTAGGTCTGTTAAAGACGTCACTCCACTGTCTCCCAGGAGGTAGCGTTGCTGTTGAGAAGTCTGCCGTCAGCTGACATCTGCATTTTTGGTAGGTACTGTGGCTCTTCTTTCTGGTCGTTTTGACTTTTTTCTCCTCTCCTGGATGATCTGCATGTCACTGTAATATTCTAGAAGTGGATTTCTCTTGGTTTGTAATTTAGATCTGGGATCTCATGTCTTTTCAATTCCAGAGAATTCTGAGCTATTATGTTGCTTTGTTGCCAATTTAAATATGTTTTTCTGGGGGGAGGAGCCAAGATGACCGAATAGGAACAGCTCCAGTCTATAGCTCCCAGCGTGAGCGACGCAGAAGACGGGTGATTTCTGCATTTCCATCTGAGGTACCGGGTTCATCTCACTAGGAAGTGCCAGACAGTGGGTGCAGGTCAGTGGGTGCGCGCACCGTGCACAAGGTGAAGCAGGGCGAGGCATTGCCTCACTGGGAAGCGCAAGAGTTCCCTTTCCTAGTGAAAGAAAGTGGTGACAGACGGCACCTGGAAAATCGGGTCACTCCCACCCGAATACTGCGCTTTTCCGACGGGCTTAAAAAACGGCGCACCAGGAGATTATATCCCCCACCTGGCTCGGAGGGTCCTACGCCCACGGAGTCTCGCTGATTGCTAGCACAGCAGTCTGAGATCAAACTGCAAGGCAGCAGCGACGCTGGGGAAGGGGCGCCCGCCATTGCCCAGGCTTGCTTAGGTAAACAAAACAGCCGGGAAGCTCGAACTGGGTGGAGCCCACCACAGCTCAAGGAGGCCTGCCTGCCTCTGTAGGCTCCACCTCTGGGGGCAGGGCACAGACAAACAAAAAGACAGCAGTAACCTCTGCAGACTTAAATGTCCCTGTCTGACAGCTTTGAAGAGAGCAGTGGTTCTCCCAGTACACAGCTGGAGATCTGAGAACGGGCAGACTGCCTCCTCAGGTGGGTCCCTGACCCCTGACCCCCGAGCAGCCTAACTGGGAGGCGCCCCCTAGCAGGGGCAGACTGACACCTCACACGGCCGGGTACTCCAACAGACCTGCAGCTGAGGGTCCTGTCTGTTAGAAGGAAAACTAACAAACAGGAAGGACATCCACACCAAAACCCCATCTATACGTCACCATCATCAAAGACCAAAAGTTGATAAAACCACAAAGATGGGGAAAAAACAGAGCAGAAAAACTGGAAACTGTAAAAAGCAGAGAGCCTCTCCTCCTCCAAAGGAAGCAGTTCCTCACCAGCAACAGAACAAAGCTGGACAGAAAATGACTTTGACGAGCTGAGAGAAGAAGCCTTCAGACGATCAAATTACTCCGAGCTACGGGAGGAAATTCAAACCAAAGGCAAAGAAGTTGAAAACTTTGAAAAAAATTTAGAAGAATGTATAACTAGAATAACCAATACAGAGAAGTGCTTAAAGGAGCTGATGGAGCTGAAAACCAAGGCTCGAGAACTACGTGAAGAATGCAGAAACCTCAGGAGCCGATGCGATCAACTGGAAGAAAGGGTATCAGTGATGGAAGATGAAATGAATGAAATGAAGCGAGAAGGGAAGTTTAGAGAAAAAAGAATAAAAAGAAACGAGCAAAGCCTCCAAGAAATATGGGACTATGTGAAAAGACCAAATCTACGTCTGACTGGTGTACCTGAAAGTGACGGGGAGAATGGAACCAAGTTGGAAAACACTCTGCAGGATATTATCCAGGAGAACTTCCCCAATCTAGCAAGGCAGGCCAACATTCAGATTCATGAAATACAGAGAACGCCACAAAGATACTTCTCGAGAAGAGCAACTCCAAGACACATAATTGTCAGATTCACCAAAGTTGAAATGAAGGAAAAAATGTTAAGGGCAGCCAGAGAGAAAGATCGGGTTACCCTCAAAAGGAGGCCCATCAGACTAACAGCAGATCTCTCGGCAGAAACTCTACAAGCCAGAAGAGAGTGGGGGCCAATATTCAACATTCTTAAAGAAAAGAATTTTCAATCCAGAATTTCATATCCAGCCAAACTAAGCTTCATAAGTGAAGGAGAAATAAAATACTTCACAGACAAGCAAATGCTGAGAGATTTTGTCACCACCAGGCCTGCCCTAAAAGAGCTCCTGAAGGAAGCGCTAAACATGGAAAGGAACAACCGGTACCAGCCGCTGCAAAACATGCCAAAATGTAAAGACCATCGAGACTAGGAAGAAACTGCATCAACTAACAAGCAAAATAACCAGCTAACATCATAATGACAGGATCAAATTCACACATAACAATATTAACTTTAAATTGTAAATGGACTAAATGCTCCAATTAAAAGACACAGACTGGCAAATTGGATAAAGAGTCAAGACCCATCAGTGTGCTGTATTCAGGAAACCCATCTCACGTGCAGAGACACACATAGGCTCAAAATAAAAGGATGGAGGAAGATCTACCAAGCAAATGGAAAACAAAAAAAGGCAGGGGTTGCAATCCTAGTCTCTGATAAAACAGACTTTAAACCAACAAAGATCAAAAGAGACAAAGAAGGCCATTACTTAACGGTAAAGGGATCAATTCAACAAGAAGACCTAACTATCCTAAATATATATGCACCCAATACAGGAGCACCCAGATTCATAAAGCAAGTCCTGAGTGACCTACAAAGAGACTTCGACTCCCACACATTAATAATGGGAGACTTTAACATCCCACTGTCAACATTAGACAGATCAACGAGACAGAAAGTCAACAAGGATACCCAGGAATTGAACTCAGCTCTGCACCAAGCGGACCTAATAGATAGCTACAGAACTCTCCACCCCAAATCAACAGAATATACATTTTTTTCAGCACCACACCACACCTATTCCAAAATTGACCACATACTTGGAAGTAAAGCTCTCCTCAGCAAATGTAAAAGAACAGAAATTATAACAAACTATCTCTCAGACCACAGTGCAATCAAACTAGAACTCAGGATTAAGAATCTCACTCAAAACTGCTCAACTACGTGGAAACTGAACAACCTGCTCCTGAATGACTACTGGGTACATAACAAAATGAAGGCAGAAATAAAGATGTTCTTTGAAACCAATGAGAACAAAGACACAACATACCACAATCTCTGGGATGCATTCAAAGCAGTGTGTAGAGGGAAATTTATAGCACTAAATGCCCACAAGAGAAAGCAGGAAAGATCCAAAATTGACACCCTAACATCACAATTAAAAGAACTAGAAAAGCAAGAGCAAACACATTCAAAAGCTAGCAGAAGGCAAGAAATAACTAAAATCAGAGCAGAACTGAAGGAAATAGAGACACAAAAAACCCTTCAAAAAATTAACGAATCCAGGAGCTGGGTTTTTGAAAGGATCAACAAAATTGATAGACCGCTAGCAAGACTAACAAAGAAAAAAAGCGAGAAGAATCAAATAGACGCAATAAAAAATGATAAAGGGGATATCACCACCGATCCTACAGAAATACAAACTACCATCAGAGAATACTACAAACACCTCTACGCAAATAAACTAGAAAATCTAGAAGAAACGGATAAATTCCTCGACACATACACTCTCCCAAGACTAAACCAGGAAGAAGTTGAATCTCTGAATAGACCAATAACAGGAGCTGAAATTGTGGCAATAATCAATAACTTACCAACCAAAAAGAGTCCAGGATCAGATGGATTCACAGCCGAATTCTACCAGAGGTACAAGGAGGAACTGGTACCATTCCTTCTGAAACTATTCCAATCAATAGAAAAAGAGGGAATCCTCCCTAACTCATTTTATGAGGCCAGCATCATCCTGATACCAAAGCCGGGCAGAGACACAACCAAAAAAGAGAATTTTAGACCAATATCCTTGATGAACATTGATGCAAAAATCCTCAATAAAATACTGGCAAACCAAATCCAGCAGCACATCAAAAAGCTTATCCACCATGATCAAGTGGGCTTCATCCCTGGGATGCAAGGCTGGTTCAATATATGCAAATCAATAAATGTAATCCAGCATATAAACAGAACCAAAGACAAAAACCACATGATTATCTCAATAGATGCAGAAAAGGCCTTTGACAAAATTCAACAACCCTTCATGCTAAAAACTCTCAATAAATTAGGTATTGATGGGACTTATCTCAAAATAATAAGAGCTATCTATGACGAACCCACAGCCAATATCATACTGAATGGGCAAAAACTGGAAGCATTCCCTTTGAAAACTGGCACAAGACAGGGATGCCCTCTCTCACCACTCCTATTCAACATAGTGTTGGAAGTTCTGGCCAGGGCAATTAGGCAGGAGAGGGAAATAAAGGGTATTCAATTAGGAAAAGAGGAAGTCAAATTGTCCCTGTTTGCAGATGACATGATTGTATATCTAGAAAACCCCATTGTCTCAGCCCAAAATCTCCTTAAGCTGATAAGCAACTTCGGCAAAGTCTCAGGATACAAAATCAATGTACAAAAATCACAAGCATTCTTAAACACCAACAACAGACAAACAGAGAGCCAAATCATGAGTGAACTCCCATTCACAATTGCTTCAAAGAGAATAAAATACCTAGGAATCCAACTTACAAGGGATGTGAAGGACCTCTTCAAGGAGAACTACAAACCACTGCTCAAGGAAATAAAAGAGGATACAAACAAATGGAAGAACATTCCATGCTCATGGGTAGGAAGAATCAATATCATGAAAATGGCCATACTGCCCAAGGTAATTTACAGATTCAATGCCATCCCCATCAAGCTACCAATGACTTTCTTCACAGAATTGGAAAAAACTACTTTAAAGTTCATATGGAACCAAAATAGAGCCTGCATCGCCAAGTCAATCCTAAGCCAAAAGAACAAAGCTGGAGGCATCACACTACCTGACCTCAAACTATACTACAAGGCTACAGTAACCAAAACAGCATGGTACTGGTACCAAAACAGAGATATAGATCAATGGAACAGAACAGAGCCCTCAGAAATAACGCAGCATATCTACAACTATCTGATCTTTGACAAACCTGAGAAAAACAAGCAATGGGGAAAGGATTCCCTATTTAATAAATGGTGCTGGGAAAACTGGCTAGCCATATGTAGAAAGCTGAAACTGGATCCCTTCCTTACACCTTATACAAAAATCAATTCAAGATGGATTAAAGACTTAAACATTAGACCTAAAACCATAAAAACCCTAGAAGAAAACCTAGGCATTACCATTCAGGACATAGGCATGGGCAAGGACTTCATGTCTAAAACACCAAAAGCAATGGCAACCAAAGCCAAAATTGACAAATGGGATCTAATTAAACTAAAGAGCTTCTGCACAGCAAAAGAAACTACCATCAGAGTGAACAGGCAACCTACAAAATGGGGGAAAATTTTCGCAACCTACTCATCTGACAAAGGGCTAATATCCAGAATCTACAATGAACTCAAACAAATTTACAAGAAAAAAACAAACAACCCCATCAAAAAGTTTGCAAAGGATATGAACAGACACTTCTCAAAAAAAGACATCTATGCAGCCAAAAAACACATGAAAAAATGCTCACCATCACTGGCCATCAGAGAAATGCAAATCAAAACCACAATGAGATACCATCTCACACCAGTTAGAATGGCAATCATTAAAAAGTCAGGAAACAACAGGTGCTGGAGAGGATGTGGAGAAATTGGAACACGTTTACACTGTTGGTGGGACTGTAAACTAGTTCAACCATTGGGGAAGTTAGTGTGGCGATTCCTCAGGGATCTAGAACTAGAAATATCATTTGACCCAGCCATCCCATTACTGGGTATATACCCAAAGGACTATAAATCATGCTGCTATAAAGACACATGCACACGTATGTTTATTGTGGCATTATTCACAATAGCAAAGACTTGGAACCAACCCAAATGTCCAACAATGATAGACTGGATTAAGAAAATGTGGCACATATACACCATGGAATACTATGCAGCCATAAAAAATGATGAGTTCATGTCCTTTGTAGGGACATGGATGAAATTGGAAATCATCATTCCAGTAAACTATCACAAGAACAAAAAAACAAACACCGCATATTCTCACTCATAGGTGGGAATTGAACAATGAGAACACATGGACACAGGAAGGGGAACATCACACTCTGGGGACTGTCGTGGGGTGGGGGGAGGGGGGAGGGTTAGCATTGGGAGATATACCTAATGCTAGATGACGAGTTAGTGGGTGCTGCACACCAGCATGGCACATGTATACATATGTAACTAACCTGCACATTGTGCCCATGTACCCTAAAACTTAAAGTATAATAATAATTTTTAAAAAATGTTTTTCTTTGGGAACTCCTATTCTGTTTATATCAGAGCCTCTCAATCTATTCTCCATATATGTTACCTTTGAGTGTGTGTACGTGTGCATTTGTATATGTGTGCATGTGTGTGTATGTGTGTGTATGCATGTGTGTGTATATGTGTGTGTGCGTGCATGTGTGTGTATTGTGTGTGTGTGTGTATGTGTGTGTGTGTTGTGTTTTTCAAAGCTGCTGCACTCTGGTTGGTTTCCTCCACTCCATTTTATTGCTAGATACAGGCTGGAGTCTCTGAATCTATTTGTAACACCTCAGTTTCTCTTTTGAATTTTTCTTTCTTCATTGACTATGTTAGTACTATCTTCCATGACACTAAGTCTCTTTTCTACTATGTCAAGTCTGGAATTTATCCTATCTATTGTGTTTTTTATTCACTCTACTCTTCATCTTCAAAATTTATAATTATTTCTACTTTCTCTCTCCTTATTTCTTTATATTCTGGCCACTTCTAATTTTATACTACTTTTTAAAAAAAAAGTCTGGTGTAAGTTCCTGTACCAATTGCTCATTTTTAGCCTGCCTTTCTTAGTGTGGTGTTTCCTTGGGTAATTTGGAAACTGGCCTTGCTTATTTCAAGGTGAGGATATTGTGTCTCTGCATTTCTGCCTTTCTCTGCCATCTTGTTGTCATTGTCCTCTGTCTAGCAGTGTTTTGTAGCCTCTGCTCCCATCCTGGGTCCCAGGCTTCTGCTCTGCAGTGATGCAGAGCATGTCACAGATAAAGTCATCCTTTCCGAGGACGGCTTGTCTCAGCTTCTGCCCTTGAGGCTGTGTTGATGTCCTCTTGCCTTCCTATGCCCACAGTGCTCCACTAAGTTATACGAAGTTACAGCTCTGGGATGTATCAAGGAGGGTTTCTCAGCCTCCTTTCTGGAGTCAGGGAAGACACACCCATCACTCCCAGGAGGTGGATCTAGGCCCTCTCTGCCTGCCTTGGGACTTGGAGCTGACAGGCCCCTGCCTCTGCCCCATCACCAGCCTGTGCTTCTCCTCCATTCCTTGTTTTATGTGAGTGTGTGTGTGTTTGTGCATGTGTGTGCATGTATATATGTACACACCTGCATACACACACACACACCTGTCTTGGTCTTCTGTCTGTCTGACCTATTGCTGCTCTGTGTGTGGAGCAGAGAGGGTCCTTACTGCACACCTTGCTCAGGACAGTGGACACCGTCCTTAAATGCACACGGTATCGTGTTCACACAGGAGGGTCCCTTTTTTTCCATGATGAATCTGAGGCCAAGTAACCTGCCCAGAGATGCAGGAAGCTCAGCCGAGCCCCAAGCCCACGACCCTCGGACTCCAACCCCAAACCCCCTTGACGGTGTGCACGTCAGCCCGTGTGGGATGGCTGGGGGGCGCCTGTTACTGCCGCACATGTCCCCAGGAGGCCTGCACGCCCTTCACTCCCTTCAGTTTCCTCCCAGGTGAAATCTGCAAACCCGCTCCTCTGGACCTGGTCCTGTCCGGATGATCCTCTGGAATTAACAAGCTGTTATTCACCAGCCTCCAGCAACAATGGCACGTTACCTGCTCCATTGCAGAACTGGCCGTGGTTTACATCCAGGAAGGGATTGGTCAGTCACCTGTGCCAGGTCCCCGGGGGATCCTGAGCCCAGCGGTATAAAGGGTGGCTGTGGGAGTGGCACACCCTCTCCCAGCCCCAGCAAGCAAACCGTCAGGCGGCCGTGGACTCAGATCCCGGAGATGAAGCCCCTGCTCCTGGCCGTCAGCCTCGGCCTCATTGCTGCCCTGCAGGCCCACCACCTCCTGGCCTCAGACGAGGAGATTCAGGATGTGAGGCTTGGATGGGAAGGGTGGGCTGGAGGGGGCAAGGGGCGAGGCTGAGACTGCTGGATGGAGACCACATCCCTCCCCCATCCAAGGAGACCCTCATTTTCGGGTTGGGCGTAAAAGCCCTGCCCTGAAAGATGGTGAGATGGGACAGCAGGAGTCTGGGCTGGGGGGACAGGGATGCAGAGGGGCAGAGCTGGGAAGGTGGGGGTCTGGCTGACTTCACTTCTCTCCTGGGGGTGAGGGCTCCTGTGGTCCTGGCCAACTTGTGGGGGCTGGAGCCACCTTCGGGTGGACCTGGCGAGGGTGCTGGGTGTTTTCTGGGTGGATTAGATTGGGGAATGTTCCCCGTCTCCAGCCTGTGGGGTGCGGTAGAGTCTGGGGGCTGCAGGCCAGGGAAGGGGGAGGCTCTGGAGCGGTCGGCCTGAGCCTGATAGAGAGGGGCCTTCTCCAGGTGTCAGGGACGTGGTATCTGAAGGCCATGACGGTGGACAGGGAGTTCCCTGAGATGAATCTGGAATCGGTGACACCCATGACCCTCACGACCCTGGAAGGGGGCAACCTGGAAGCCAAGGTCACCATGCTGTGAGTGTCTGCCAGCCGGCCGGCCAGCCTGCAACCTGGTCTAGGGCCTTCCCTTTCCCCACCCAGGAGAGCTCTGGTGCTGGGGAGGTGGGCAGACCTGCTGGGAGGCCTCTCTCAGCCCCTCCTACAAGGCTCGGCAACTGGCAGCCTTGAGGGCAAACTGTGCCACTGAAGAACCTCAGCTGGAGGGACCCTGAGGGGGCAAAGGCCCCGGATCAGACCCTGTGAGCTACCAGGGGCAGTGCTGGGTACCACCCACCTCCTCCTAGGACTGAGGAATGTGATCTGCGTGCTGAAGCCTTCTGCTGAGCTGGGGCAGAGGTTTCCGTCTCCACCACCCCCCATTCTCTCCGACCTTGTCAACACCCTCAGATGAAAGTCGAGAGCAAAGGGGCAGTGCTCAGCAAGATACACCTGACAGAGAACGCTCAATGATGCCAGCTGCTGTCATTATTGTGCTAATTAAATACAGAGTAATTCTGGAAGAAAGTGTAAAATAATAAAAATAATAGCCAGGTGTGATGGCTCAGATCTGTAATCTCAGCACTTTGGGAAGCCAAGGCAGGTGGATCACTTGACGTCAGGAGTTTGAGACCAGCCTGGCCAACATGGCAAAACCCCATCTCTACTAAAAATACAAAAACTAGCCAGGTGTGGTGGTGCACAGTTCTCCTGCCTGGTGGTTCACATGATTCTCCTGCTTCAGCCTCCCGAGTAGCTGGGATTACAGGCACACACCACCACACCCAGCTAATTTTTTGTATCTTTAGTAGAGATGGGGTTTCGCCATGTTGGCCAGGCTGGTCTTGAACTCCTGACCTCATGATCCACCCGCCTTGACTTCCCAAAGTGCTGGGATTACAGGCGTGAGCCACTGAGCCCAGCTGTAAGGTTCTTATACTAGATGAAGGTAGACTGTGATAAATTAAAGACATACTATAAACCCTAAAGCACCTGTTAAAGTCAACAAACAAACAAGAAAACAAAAGACTGTCAGTGAATAAGACAACAAATAAACTGAAAAGATTGTTTTAAAAACTAAATTCAAAAGAAGACCAGTAAGAGGGAAAGGGGCCTGGCGCAGTGGCTCACGCCTGTAATCCCAACACTTTGGGAGGCTGAGGTGGGCAGATCACTTTAGGTCAGGAGTTCAAGACCAGCCTCACCAAGATGGTGAAACCCTGTCTCTACCAAAAATACAAAAATTATCCAGGCATCGTGGCATGCACCTGTAGTCCCAGCCACTCAGGAGGCTGAGGCAGGAGAATCACTTAAGCCTGGGAGGCGGAGGTTGCAGTGAGCCGAGACTGTGCCACTGCACTCCAGCCTGGGCGACAGAGTGAGACTCTGTCTCAAAAAGAAAAGAAAGAAAAAAAAATCCATGGCAGACAGAGGCCCTGCAGTGGGATCGGGGTGAAAGTCCAGCATCTGTGACCTCAGACGTGTCACATCCTTGCTCATCACAGCTTCAGCATCGATCACACTGGCATTCATTCATTCAAGAGACATTTGCTGGCTGGGCGCAGAGGCTCACACCTGTAATCCCAGCACTTTGGGAGGCCAAGACCAGTGGATCACCTGAAGTCAGGAGTTCAAGACCAGCCTGCCCAACATGGTGAAACCCTGTCTCTACTAAAAATACAAAAATGTTAGCTGGGCGTGGTGTCAGGCACCTGTAATCCCAGCTACTCGGGAGGCTGAGGCAGGAGAATCACTTGATCCTGGGAGGTGGAGGTTGCAGTGAGCCAAGATAGCACCATTGCACTCCAGCCTGGGCAACGAGAGCGAAACTCTGTCTTAAAAAAAAAAAAGAGAGAGAGAGAATTGCTGAACGCCCACTAAGTGCCAGGCACCATTCTGGTTGCGGCCTCATTGCTGAATAATGCGGGCAGAAACCCCAACTCCGTGGAGTGCCTGCTTGGTGAGAAGACTCCCTTGTAGAACTCTGTGAGGGTCAGAGACGATGGATGGGAGGTCCTGCCAGGAGGAGGCGCTCAGGAAGTTTCTTCGCTGCTCCTCCCCACTCCTTCACTCCTTTCTTGTTGCTCCTCTTTCAGGCCTGGGTGTTTGGGGAGCTTCATTCTCTCATTCCACAGATATGCCTGCAGTGCCCCGCCTGGCCTGTGCTGAGCCTGGTCCAGGTTTGTTGAATGCAGACGTGCTCAGAGAGGTCATTCCGGCTGCTGGTCACTGGGAACTCCGTTGCATCTGCCTCGGGCCCAGGTGCCCCCCTTTCACTGGAGCATCAGCGAAGAGCAGTCACCCCCCTCCCCGCCCTGGGTATGGCAGGCCCAGGCTGCAGAGCTTTCTTCGTGAAAAAGGAGCTAAACATGATCAAGATCTTGCCACGGCCCAGGCAGGAGTCTCACCACACTGCTGGTGTCATCTCATGAGACTGCACAACAAACCTTCGCAGCAGGTCCCCGAGTGTACCCTTTCACAGCTATGGACAGGACCCAAAAGTCTGAGTCGAGCGTGTGTGTCACTACCCTGTATGTGGATTCACAGCCTCTGGCTATCTTAGAAGGTCCTTCCCCCATGGCCTGGCTCTGCCCGTGAACCGTTGAATGTCTCTGCTCCCTTTGCCACTTCCGCCTTCCTGATACTGGGGAACCAGGTCATCTCTCTACTCTTTCCTGGAATCTTCTCTTTTCCAAGGATCATGGTGACTGAGAAACTGAGGAGCTGCACAGGCCCAAGACAAGCCCTCTCCCACCAGCCCACAAATGTACTGCCCATGGGCCGGGCATGGTGGCTCATGCCTATAATCCCAGCACTTTGGGAGGCCGAGGCGGGCGGATCACCTGAGGTCAGGAGTTCGAGACCAGCCTGGCCAACATGGTGAAACCCCATCTCTACTAAAAATATAAAAATTAGCCGGGTGTGGTGGTGTGCACCTGTAATAGCCACTCAGGAGGCTGAGGCAGGAGCATCGCTTGCACCTGGGAGACAGAGGTTGCAGTGAGCTGAGATCGCACCACTGCACTCCATTCTGGGTGACAGAACAAGAGTCCATTTCAAAAAAATAAAAAATGTACTGTCCATGTTTACTGATGACTTTATGTAGTTAGTGGATCCTGCCAGCACAGCCACAGTTCCTGCTGATCTCTGTCCCGCAGTTGACCACCCCGTCTGTGTTTTTGCCCCAGCCTGTATTGCTGGGCTTGAGTCTTCTGTCCTCACGACCCTCACCGGGGACTCAGACACAGCCCTTCTGCTCTGGGGACATGTCAGTCCTTGGCCTGAGCGTCCAGGCTCTGCGCGGCCCCGTTGTCCTTACAGGGACTCCGTCCCTGGGGAAACTTCCCACGTGTCAGAACCTTCCCTTCCTTTGTTTGAGAAAACAAAAAATTCTTCCTCTCTTGACCAGGAGCAGTGGCTCACGCTGGTAATCCCAGCACTTTGGGAGGCCGAGACAGGAGAATTGCTTGAGGCCAGGAGTTCAAGACCAACATAGCAAGATCCCATCTGTTTATAGATCTATATCTATGTATCATCTCTCTATATAGTACATGTAATATGTATATAATATATAATAATCATATATATAATTCTTCCTTTTTTGCGGGGGGAGGGGGTTGGAGTCTCACTCTGTCACCCAGGCTGGAGTGCAGTGGCATGATCTAGGCTCACTGCAACCTCCCCGTCCTGGTTCAAGCGATTCTCCTGTCTCAGCCTCCCAAGTAGCTGGAACTACAGGCATGTGCCACCGCATCTGGCTAATTTTTGTATCTTTTTTTTTTTTTTTTTTTTGAGATGGAGTTTCACTCTGTCGCCCAGGCTGGAGTGCAATGGTGGGATCTCAGCTCACTGCAACTTCCGCCTCCCTGGTTCAAGTGATTCTCCTGCCTCAGTCTCCCAAGCAGCAGGGATTAGGCGCCTGCCACCACACCTGGCTAATTTTTTGTATTTTCAGTAGAGATGGGGTTTCACCATGTTAGCCAGGCTGGTCTTGAACTCCTGACCTCAGGTGATCCGCCCGCCTCGGCCTCCCCAAGTGTTGGGATTACAGGCGTGAGCCACTGTGCCTGGCCAATTCTTCCTTTCTTGAATGCCCTTTTCTGCCATCCTAATTTTCCCATCGTTCAGGGTCAAGGTTGATGCTCACCTTCCCCAGTAAGCCCTCCCTGATGTCTTCCCAATTCCTGTGGGGTAAGCAGGGCAGCTCAGTGGCTGAAGGCACATGCGTCACAGCCAGGAAGCCCTGGTTTTCGCTCTGACCCCACTGCTTCTGGCTGACCCTGGAGAAGCCATCCACGCTGAGCTGCAGAAGGGCCACTACAGCCTGTGTGCAGCCCTCACAAGGCGTATACGGGAATTACTGCAGCGATACGGGGGATTCCTCGAGGAGCTCACTGAGCATGCAGGTGTTACACCCCAGAGCGCGCTGAAATCATTCAAATGAGCCAAGCCTAAGCCTCCCTACCGCCTCGCCCACCCCCTCCCATGGAAACCACATTACGGGCTTCACCCACAGTTCTGCCCTCTCCTGCCTCCTGACCGACTCCAGCACTTCCCCGTGTGGCCCTGTGTGGCTTGGGGTACCCCTTCTCCTGGAAACTGTCGTAAACTATCCTTTCAATGGCAATTATCTCCTGATCTGGTGGCCTTACTGAACCTCAAATTTTCAATAAATACGTTGTTTTTTAAGCCAGGCTTAATAGCATGCACTTGTGGTCTCAGCTACTTGGGAGGCTGAGGTGGGAGGATCGCTTGAGGCCAGGAGTTTGTGGCCGCAGTGCAGTATAATTGCACCTGTGAAGAGCCACTGCACTCCAGCCTGGGCAACGCAGGGAGACCCTGTGTCCAAAAAATAATTATTATATTTTAAAGACAAGCAGACTATGCATGGAGTCCCGAGGGTGAACAGGTGTCGGGGGGCAGCGGGAGCGTGGAGAAAGCCGGGAGGAGGTGGGAACAGGAAACCCTCAGGGTCACACCCCAGAAGGAGAAGGCCCTAGCCTGAATGGGACTGCTGGGAAGGGGCTGAACACCAGCAGGGAGTGGAGCTGCGGAAACACACACGGAAGTGGGGCATGGGTGCTGGGTGGACACTCCACTTCCAGATAAGAGGGGATCTTGTGGATGGTGGTGGAGGCGCTCCTGGCCCTACTGGGCTCCGGCACTCAGCCTGCCCTGCCACAGAGGCAGCCCATACTAGAGGCTACTGCACGTCAGGAGAGGGGCAGGCTCAAAACCAGAAAAGTTATACTCTGGGCTCTGCCAGCCCCACCCTCCCAATCCAGGAAACCCAATTCATCCAAATATGAGTATCAATATCCACCCAAAGATACCAGAGGGAAAAAAGAAACCTAAAAGGAGCGGGTGGCCAGTGCAGTGCTCACTCCTGAATCCCAGCACTTTGGGAGGCTGAGGCGGGAGGATCGCTTAAGCCCAGGAGGTCAAGACTGCAGTGAGTTGTGACTATGTCACTGCACTCCAGCCCAGGCAACAAAGCAAGACCCTGTCTCAAAAACAAACAAACAAAAAGGGAACAGCAAGACTTCCCTGCAGATGAAGAAAACACAGAGAAAACCACTGCCACAAAGCCAAGTGAAAGTGGCAAGCCAGCGGGCAGCCCCATGATGCAGCTGGGGAAGTGGCCAGGGGAGTGGCTGCAGCGGAAATGGCCATGGGGAACTCTGCGGCCCCAGGAAGAACAGGTGGACAGGTGCTGGTGGAACTTAGGAAGGACTGGAAGCAAAGGCCACAGACACAAGTCTAGAGATGCTGTGGAAAGTGCAGCCAGGAAGAAACAGGGACGTGAAGAGGCACAACAGCAGCAGAGCAAGCAGGCAGGAGAGGCGGTGGCGGGGGAGGCAGCAGCAGGGGAAGCAGCGGTGGGGAGGCAGCAGCAGGCAGGTCCTTGGCTGGCAGGGCAGAGCCAAGACAGGACAGACTCCAAGGTAGAAGTCCAGACAACTTTGCTAAAACAAACGAATTGAGGCGGAGCATTACTGCTGAGCTTTGCCTCCTGTCAGATCAGCGGTGGCATTAGATCTTCATAGAAGTGCAAACCCTACTGTGAACTGCGCATGCGAGGGATCTAGGTTGCTCACTCCTAATGAAAATCTAATGCCTGATGATCTGAAGTGGCACAGTTTCATCCCCAAACCATCCCTCCCACCACCCCTACTGTCCATGGAAAAATTGTCTTCCAAGAAACCAGTCACTGGGGCAAAAAATGTTGGTCAAAAGTACCGCTGTACTAGAGTGAATTTTAGTTAACTGAGAGATGATCACAGATAGTAAGAGGAACAGGGAGTGAGCACTCACATATTCAACTAGAGGACAGGGACCGAGATAAAAACAGCAGCAAGTTGTGATGGGTACGTACGGTGTGTTCCCTGCCAAATCCACACACTGATGTCTTAACCCCAAGCACCACAGAACGTGACCTTGTTTGGAAATGGTGTCACTGCAAATGTTATTAGTTAAGATGAGGTCACTAAGGTGGGCTCTAATCCAATGTGACTGGTGTCCTTATTATAAGAAGAGGCAATCAGGACCCACAGACAGGCACAGGGGGAAGATGAGAGGATGCTGTTTGCAGGCCAAGGACAGCACCCAGGAACAGCCTTCACTCAGGGTCCTCAGAAGAAACCAACCCTGCTGATGTCTGGACTGGACCCCTGCCCTCCAGAGCTGTGAACAATGAATTCCTCTCACCTAAGCTGCTCTGCGGTGCTTTGTTAATGGCAGCCCTAGCAAACTCATACACAAAGGTAACAGAATGTGTAAAAAAACAATTTTACAAAGGCAGCTATAACAGTATGAGACAAGAAAGCAGAGAGAGGATGGAAAATAGAATCGCCCTGCTGATTCCTTCATATTATAGTTGGATTCTAAAGACATCACTTAATGCTGACAAACTGAGAAGTTTAGCATATTAAAGAGGACAGAGGCAAATACTAAGAAATATAATAGTATTCATTCAAAAAATGGGTGGGCCGGGCATGGTGGCTCACACCTGTAATCCCAGCACTTTGGGAGGCCGAGGCAGGTGGATCACCTGAGGTCAGGAGTTCGAGACCAGCCTGGCCAACATGGTGAAATCCATCTCTACTAAAAATACAAAAATTAGCCAGGCTTGGTGGCGCGCATCTGTAATCCCAGCTACTAGGGAGGCTGGAGCAGGAGAATCGCCTGAACCTGGGAGGTAGAGGTTGCAGTGAGCTGAGATGGCGCCATTCCACTCCAGCCTGGGTGACAGAGCGAGGCCTGTCTCAAAAAAAAAAACAAAAAAAACCATGGGTGGTAGAAAAGAGAGAGAAGGGAGAGAGGGGAAAGGTTTACAAATTATTTCATAGTAGGGAACTATGAGAACTCTTTTAAAGGTTGAGGGGACTAAAGATATTATTTAAGGGTATGAACAGTAAGTAGCAACTAGACCCAAAAAAAATCAAGCCTTCCTAAAAACCAGAAGAGCTACATTTTTTAAGAGCAAATGCAGATTAAGTAATGACTATATGTAGTAAATGTGAAATAAAACAATTTCAAAAAGAACAAAGTTGGAAGACTCATGCTACCCGATTTCAACACTTACTATAGAGCTGCAGTGATTAAGACGGTGTGGCGCTGGCGAAAGGTTCAGGGGAACAGAACACACAGTTTAGAAATAGACCTACACAGATTTATGGCCAATTGATTTCAGATGAAGGTACAAGGGCAATTCTACGAAGACAGTCTTTTCAGCAACTGGTCCTGGAACACTGGACATCTTTATGCAAAAACGAACCTTCAAAATGGTTATGCCATTTTATTTATTTATTTATTTACTATTTTTTGAGATGGAGTCTTGCTCTGTCTTCCAGGCTGGAGTGCAGTGGCGACAGCTCGGCTCACTGCAACCTCCGTTTCCCAGGTTCAAGTGATTCTCCTGTCTCAGCCTCCCAAGTAGCTGGGATTACAGGCACCTGCCACCACGCCCGGCTAATTTTTATATTTTTAGTAGAGATGGATTTCACCATCTTGGTCGGGCTGGTCTTGAACTCCTGAGCTCAAGTGATCCACCTGCCTCGGCCTCCCAAAGTGCTGGGATTACAGGAGTGAGGCACCACGCCCGGCCACAAGTCCTTTATTATACTGTATGTTTTACAAATATTTTCTCCCACTGTGAGCCTTTTTATCTGTTTTCCTAATTTTTAATTTTTGATGAAGTGCAATAATTGACAGAATGAATAGATAGAAAATTGGCACCAGGTGCAGTGGCTCACGCCTGTAATCCCAGCACTTTGGGAGGCCGAGGAAGGCAGATCACCTGAGGTCGGGAGTTCGAGACCAGCCTGACCAACATGGAGAAACCCCATCTCTATTAAAAATACAAAATTAGCCGGGCATGGTGGCGCATGCCTGTAATCTCAGCTACTCAGGAGGCTGACAGGAGAACTGCTTGAACCCAGGAGACAGAGGTTGCAGTGAGCCAAGACCGCGCCATTGCACTCCAGCCTGGGCAACAAGAGCAAAACTCTGTCTCAAGAAAAAAAAAAGAAAGAAAGAAAGAAAAAAGAAAAGAAAATTGGCAAGGATACAGAACTTGAACTCCACTGGACCTGACATTAAAACACTTGACTCAACAAGAGCAGAAAACATTCTTCTCGAGCACACACAGAACATTTACCAGGAGAGACCACAGTCTGGGCTATGAAACAAACCCTGTTAACTTCAAAAAGATTCAAGTGGTTTTTTGTTGTTTTTTGATACACGGTCTCACTCTGTTGCCCAGGCTGGAGTGCAGTGGCAGGAACATGGCTCACTGCAGCCTCAACCTCCTGGGCTCAAGTGATCCTCCCACCTCAGCTTTCTGAGTAGCTGGGACTATAGGCATAGGCGTGGGCAACCGCCCCAGGGTGATTTTTTAAATTTTTTTGTAGAGACAGGGTCTCGCTGCATTGCCCAGGCTGACCTCAATCTCCTGGGCTCAAATGATCCTCCTGCCTCAGCCTCCCAGTATCGGGATTACAGGTGTGAGCCACCACGCCCCAGCCAAGGACTCAAGTTATACAAAGTATGTTCTCTGACCACAATGAAATTCAACTAGAAATCAGTAACAGAAAGATCTCTGGTAAATTCCCAAATATTTGGAAACTAAATGACATACCTTTAAATAACTCATTAGCCAAAGAATAAATCAAAGGGAAATTAGCAAGTATTTTGAACTGAATGAAAACACAACATATGAAAATTCGTCAGGTATCACAAAAGCAGACTGAACTTTTTAGACCTTACAAATGCATGACTGTCCCCCTTGCCTCTGATCTTCTGCCTGGGGTCTGCCTTTCCCCAATCTTTGTTCACTATACTGAATCCTACATGACACAGTCAACCTATGAAGAAATCCAGAGATAGACTCTCTAAAATAAATGGATTTGGGAATAGCAGCTTATCTGGAATACTGCAACCGTTGAGGATGGTCTTGCAGTGAGTCCTGTTATTGGTCTGTTTGTAGAAATGTCTTGTGGTAAGTCCTGTTGCAGGAATGTGTGCGTGAGGGCTGCTTCATCACCTCCAACTGTTTTAGTTTGACATAAGTGACTCCATTTTGGTACCGGCAACGTTCACAACTTTCCATGTGACTTCAGCACCCTGCACCCCGATCCTTTCCCTGGCCACTTTGCAGGACCACTACCTATGAGACTATGGGTTCCTTGAGAGCTAGGGCTGGGTCTCATTCGCTCCTGAAACTTTCACCCAGCAGAGTGATGGCCCACGCCATGCATGACATGCGTTGCTCAATGACTGCATCCACTCAGCCAGTATGCCAGTCCCCACTGAGCCTCACTCTCAACCTCCCTGGCTGGCATAGGTTCCTTGTGCAGACATCCAGTGGCAGTAAAATATTGCTGGGTTCTCAGCTTCCCCCACCTGCAGCCCTCACTGGCCCACCCAGTTGTCCTGTCTCTGCTCAGGACGAGACCCCCCCCCGCCTCTTCAGTCTCTGTAGCCAGGTGATGGCAGTGGCCTTTTCCAGACCCTCACTGGCCCCTTAGTTCACTATGATGACTTCACCTCTTGGGAACCCATGGGGATGTCTTTCCCTCCAATACATCTACATTTGCCTGACCCAGAATGTAGTTTCAAGATGGGTCCATGCCTGGCTCCAAATCCCCTTATCAGAGTAAGGAAATACCTTAATTCCTAGTTTGCTAAAAACTCGTTATAAATGGCTGTCGCGTCATTTACTGTGTTCCTGTTCTGCAACCATTGAGATGGTCACGTGGGTTTTGCTCCTTTAATCTATTGATATGAATTACACTCTTGATTCTCTGGCATTGAAACTGCTTTGCAATTCTGAATTAAATCCAGTGTGGCACTTTGCTAAACTTGGTTTATTATTGTCTAAAATCTTGACATTGGTATTTGTAGGGACCAGCCCCACAGGGTCCGTGGGTCTCTCCCTCCCTGTGTGCAGCAATGAGAGAGTGTAGAAATACACACACAAGACAAAGAGATAAAAGAAAAGGCAGCTGGGCCCGGGAGACCACTACTACCAATGCTCGGAGACCGGTAGTGGCCCCGAATGTCTGGCTGCATTGTTATTTATTGGATACAAAGCAAAAGGGGCAGGGTAAAGAGTGTGAGTCATCTCCAATGATAGGTAAGGTCACGTGGATCACGTGTCCACTGGACAGGGTGCCCTTCCCTGCCTGGCAGCCGAGGCAGAGAGAGAGAGGAGACAGAGAGAAAGACAGCTTATGCCATTACTTCTGCATATCAGAGACTTTTAGTACTTTCACTAATTTACTACTGCTATCTAGAAGGCAGAGCCAGGTGTACAGGATGGAACATGAAGGCGGACTAGGAGCGTGACCACTGAAGCACAGCATCACAGGGAGACGGTTAGGCCTCCAGATAACTGCGGGCAGGCCTGCCGGATGTCAGGCCCTCCACAAGAGGTGGAAGAGCAGAGTCTTCTCTAAACTCCTCCAGGGAAAGGGACACTCCCTTTCCCGGTCTGCTAAGTAGCGGGTGTTGTTCCTTGATACTTTTTGCTACTGCTAGACCATGGTCCACCTGGCAACGGGCGTCTTCCCAGACGCTGGCGTCACCGCTAGACCAAGGAGCCCTCTGGTGGCCCTGTCCGGGCATAACAGAAGGCTCGCACTCTTGTCTTCTGGTCACACCTATGTCCCCTCAGCTCCTATCTCTGTATGGCCTGGTTTTTCCTAGGCTATGATTATAGAGCGAGGATTATTATAATATTGGAATAAAAGGTAATTGCTACAAACTAATGATTAATGATATTCATATGTAATCATATCTAAGATCTATATCTGCTGTAACTATTCTTGTTTTATATTTTATTATACTGGAACAGCTCGTGTCCTCTGTCTCTTGCCTCGGCGCCTGGGTGGCTTGCCGCCCACAGGTATTTGGTAACTTCCCTTTCTCTTACCTAGTTTTGGTATCAAAGCTAAGTTCACGAATGAAGTGTTCTCTCAATTGATTCTGTTAGAATTTGTCTACGTCTGGAATTACCTGTTCTCTATATCGTGGAACTTCCCTGTAAAACCGTCTAGGGGAACATTCTTAACTACTGACTCAATTTCATCAGTGATTACAACTCAGGCTTTCTATTACTTTTAGTCAGTTTTGGAGATTTTTCTTCCATTTACTTTGAGTTGTTCCAACTTAAGCTGCATGCTTATTTTTCTTTAGCTTTAAAAATACAGACATACAGCGTATGTGTGTATAAATGGCACTATTTATCTGTAGATGCACATACATTTAGGGGCTATGTTTTTTTGTGCTGCTTTAGCTCTGTTCCACAAATCTTAAATTTTTTCTTTTTGAGACAGTCTTGCTCTGTCACCCAGGCTGGAGTGCAGCGGCTCGATCTTGGCTCACTGCAGCCTCTACCTCCTGGGTTCAAGTGATTCTCCCGCCTCAGCCTCCCAAGCAGCTGGGACTACAGGTTTGCACCACCACACCCAGCTAATTTTTTATTTTTAATAGAGATGGGGTTTTATCATGTTGTCCAGGCTAGCCTTGAACTCCTGATCTCAAGTGATCCACCCGCCTCCCAAAGAGCTGGGATTGACAGCATGAGCCACCATGCCAGGCCCTGTTCCACAAATTTTAATACGTAGCATTTTCATTATCCTTTAGTCCCAAATATTTCTAATAGCCATTCGGAATTCTTTAACTCATAGGTAATTTATAAGTGTGTTTTAAAAATTCCAAATATGAAATGCCACTGCACTCCAGCCTGAGTGACAGAGCAAGACTCTATCTAAAAAACAAAAAAAAATAGCTCAAATTTTTTTTAATGACATTGGGATACGGTCAGATAACGACACTGATTCCTTGAAATATCTTAAGACTTCTTTTCTGGACAAAGTAGGTGGTCAGTTTCCATCCATGTTCCATATATGCATGGAAAGAGTATGTATTCTTTTCAGATACTGTTGTGTCTGTCTCTCAGCTCAAGCTCATGCTCACCTCACATCCTATCTTTCACAGGGCTTTTTCATCAGTTGCCTCTGTCTGGTAACAGTCACACCAGCTCCTGTTCAGTTACAGTCTTTGTCTCATAACCGGAGAGTTTCATCAAAAGAATTTTATTTACAGCTTTATCATCCATATGCCACTAAAATTCACCTGTTTTCTTTCAACCTGCACTCATTTTGATTGCCTGGAACTCTGGATTTAATTCTTCCATCCCACTTTGTATCTTGCATTCACTTCACTCTCTCTCCAGCTTTTATTCTTTCTTTCTCTTTCCCTAGGTCCAATGCACTTGACCCAACTCACATGCGTGGACTCCGGGAAGGTACTGCTCCCTCCCTCCAAATTCTGAGCAGTAAAATGCCGCCCCGGGGCACTGGGGAACAGAAAGGAATGAGACCCCAACAGGCAGAAGCCAAGAGAGCGGGGAGGAGCCATGGCGTTCTGCCCCAGGATGCACCACGCCTGGACGTGCTCCCCCGACTCCCAGTGCCAGGTGCCCATATGCCACACCTCAGGGTTGTCCTCTGTTCGGGTGAGCTGCGGACTAACGTGGCCCGGCAGCAGAGGCCACCGTCTTCTGTCCCGTGGCTCCTGCGAACACAGGCAGTGGGGAACAGGCAGTGACTGCCCACCCCCACCGTTCCTCCTCCCTGACCCTGCAAACCTCGGGGAAGCTTTCAGGCCCGGGAAAGCAGACCAGGCCCCAGTCTCCCTCACCCTTTCCCTGGGTCTGAAGGTCCCGGATCCTGCGTTCAAGGATGACGCTGAAACTCTCTCTTTCTCACATGGGATCTGTGATCTGGGCCCTCACAACTCAGCAGAGCACCACTGTGTCCCCCTCACATGGAGAGGCCGAGGTCTGTGGAGATCCTGGGACAGAGCCAGCGTCAAGGACTCAGAGGGTGTCCTGGAGTCTCCTAGGACGGAAGACGGCGGCCCCAGGTGGGAAAGACTCAGACCAGGCCTGCGCGCTCCAGGTCCTGCGGCAGGATGCGGCCCTTCTTGCGGGCTCTGAGCAGGCGGCGCTCGGCGCGGGCCGCCTTCTTCCTGCGCAGGTTCTGCCGCCGCCGGTCCTGGCGCTGCTGCATCTTCTCCACCACGCCGGCCGTGCGCTTCTCCCACCGGCGCTGCCGCTGCGCCCTGCGCTTCTCCTTGCGCTTCAGGGCCTCCTGCAGCAGGCGTTCGTCGTCACGGATCTTCACGCCCTCCGCCTTGTAGAGGAGGTTGGTCCACTTCATCTTCGCCTCCAGCTCCTGCGCCTTCCCCTCATCCTGGCCGCGCAGCTCGTCCAGCCGGCTCTGCCGTGCCTGCAGGCGCTCCAGCAGCTGCCGGTAGTTCCTCCCGGTCAGCGGCGTGAGGTTCCCCTTCACCCTCTGCCTCTTCTCTTTTCTGCGCTGCGCCTTGCTGGCCGGCTCGTCTTCGCTCACCTCCACCTGGGAGGAAGGTATGACATCAGCTCATGCCAGCCCTGCACTAGGCCCCAGCCTTGGCCAGTACCCTAAGGGACCTGCGAGGTCCCCGTCACCACCTTACAGACATGATGGGGTTCGGAGAGAGATCATGAAGCTAACAAGGGGCAACGCTGAGGCCTGAAGCCGACCCAGCCCGCCCAAGGACCCAGCTCCCGCTCACCTTATTGAAGATCAGCCCGGGCGGCTCCCGCGGCTCCGTGCAGGCCCCCTCTGGGGTTGCCTCCACCACCTCCTGGGCCTCCGTGGCCTCCTCAGCCTTCCTGGCCTTCTCTTTCGCCCGCAGCTCCTTTCGCTTCCTCTTCTTCCGGTCCCGTTCCTGCTTTCTCCGCCGCCTTTTCTCCAAGGCGGCAGGGGACAGCTCCTTGGCACTGCCCTGGGGGAAAGAGGCACCCACTCATTAAAGTTCTCTCGATCCCAGGGTCCCCCAGCCTGGCCCATAGTCGAGAAGAATCAGGGCTGGAAGGCAGGTGAGAAAATCCTCACGCAAACAAGGGGCCCGCGGAGTTCAATGTTCCACCATGATGTTCCCCAAAAAGCAAATGACCCCAAAAGAGAGAAGGGACCCCCAAATAAGAATCACAGCTTCCAATTCCCGGGTGCTTACCCCGTGCCAGGATACATTACGCACATGGTTTCAAATGTCATACATCGTTTTATAGATGAGGAGGGTCAAGACCACTGCCTAGAACTTGGAGTTGGCGTCTGAACACCTGTCCTGACCGCTGCCCATTCTGTTCACGAGGTACCCAACGAAGCCCTCCCCAATGGCCTTTCCCATCCCCGGGCCAACAAGAGCCCTACACCAGCCCAAACGAGACCTGTGCTTCAGGAACAAGGGCCCAGAGCCTTGCTCACCTCTTAGGAACCACACACTGTACCTCGGGATGGCGGAGGAGAGTAGCTGGGGACTGTCCCCCACACAGCACGAGGCCTTAAGGAAGGGCCCCAGGAAAAGGGTGGGTAGGGGCCAACACAGGGGAGACAGTACCATTCAGCACAAAGAGCTGCATTGGTGCTTCCTGTGCCTGGCCACTCAGCTCAAGTCCCTACTCAACTCACAGGACTATTACGACATTCAGAGAAACAGACACAGGAGGTGCCCATCCCAGTGTCAGTTCAGCAAAGGCAGCTTCCCAGAAGGAAGGAGGCTGATGAGCTTGGGGACTGAGGTTCTCCAAGAAAATAACTGCTCTCCCAGAGCACACCTGCTGGGGCCCTGCCAGACTCGCTGCAGAGGGGAGAACAGGGGCTACGGCCCCTCGCTGACAGCTGACCCCAGGGAGAACACAGGCAGAGCAGTGACGGCACTCCAGCAAACCTGCCCGCCTACCTGGCCCCGGGCCTCCTGGATCTTCTCATGCAGTCGCTGTCGCAGAACATCCAGAGCAAAGACAGACTCAGGCTCAGTGGCCAGGCCATCTGCAGGGAAGGAGACAGGACTGCAGGGGGCCCTCTCTTCCCCTCCCCCTCCCTCCCTAGGGCCACGAATCCCTGTCCCACTGTGGCCACTCATGGATCTGCAGGGCAATTCCAGTAAATTCCACTCCACCGCTTCAACCTGGACTGGTTCCTACAACATCCTCCAGAACAGGTAACTCAGTGCCTCACGAGGTAGGTCACCGTGGTATGAGAAAACACTTCCTACGGTGCAAGCCAAACCACCTCCTCCAAATTTTGTAGCCTGGGCCCCAGAACAAGTTGGCTCTCACAAGGCCCCTGCAGAGACCTGAGGGCAGGGAAGCTCTTCAAGCCAAGCTGCTCCAGGTCCTCAGAGAGACACAGCCTTGCCCCCTGACATCCTGCTAGCCATGTGGCCTGGAATGCCACACAGTTCCTTCGGTCCCATCCACCCTAGCACTCCTGTGATCTTTGCTCTTGGGGAAGTCTCGTGCTATCCCTGTGCGCCTGCTGCTGCTTTTTTTTTCTTAAGAGCAAAGGGGACCAAGCCCAAGCCCAGCCCCAGCCCCGCCCTGCACAGAACCAACATGCCCTGAAGCCTCTCACCTGCAGGGTTCCCTGCTGAGCTGGAAGCCCAAGCTGCTTCCTCTTTGGCTGCCTCAGGCCTCCTGGCCCCAGAGGCTGCTGGAGATTTCTCCCCCAAGGACTTGGCCTTGTGCTCAGCAGCCTTCTCTTCTCGCTTCCGGAATTTCTTTTGTGTTTTCTTCCTTTTCTTTTTTGGGGGCCCTGCAGTTTCTGAGCCTTGAGTTTTGCCAGCTGAAATGCAAAATAAGAAAGAGTTAAGTCCCAATCTCATGGCCCATTCAATAGGCAGGAAAGGCTCACCAAGGCTTTGATCCCAGGAAGATGCCGAAAGAGGATCAGGATCGGGGGCCAGAGACACTGATCCTAGAGCTCAGAACCACAACCTTGACCCAGTAGTTCTGCTTGTGAGAATTCATCAGGCACAAAGATGAGGCTTCAAGGACGTTCATCACCATTATTTGAGTGAAACATTAGAAAAACCTGAATATCCACCTCCACTAACAATTTCTGGCCCTGCTTTACAATAAGCTACCATGCTGCCATCAAACACAATGGCAAGGGCTTTCATTTTAGCTGCTGGGGGTTATGTTTACATTTTTTCTTTTTTGAGATGGAGTCTCAATCTGTTCCCCAAGCTGAAGTGCAGTGGCGCAATCTCTGCTCACTGCAAACTCCACTTCTCGAGTTCAAGCGATTCTCTTGCCTCAGCCTCCGGAGTAGCTGGGACTACAGGCGCCCACCACTGTGCCCGGCTAATTTTTGTATTTTTGGTAGAGACGGGGTTTCACCATGTTGTCCAGGATGGTCTTGATCTTCTGATCTTGTGATCCGCCCTCCTCAGCCTCCCAAAATTCTGGGATTACAGGCATGAGGCCGCACGGCCGGACAATGTTTACATTTTAAATGGGAGAAATCAGTCTAAGTAAAGTAGGAGCTGAATCGTTTTAATGAAAAAAAAAAAAAATTTCAAAAAGGATGAGAAAGACAGACGGAAGACATACTAGGTAATGAGAAAATTCACTTAAGATTTTGGATTTGCTATAACCAATATATCGTCCTTGAATAAAAAGGAAACCCCGTTTTACCTCTGGTGGTTCCAGAGACCCTGCTGCTCTCCTCTCCTCCTGGGCCCAGACAGCACTGACACGTCCCCGCTGTCGGCTTCCCCACCCGATTATCTACTTCCCTTGTGCAGCGTGGTCACCAGGCCATGAGAACCCTAAGCGCAGGAGCCCTCTGCCATCCTCCTCCTCCCCACACCGCACCATGCCCGTAGTGAAGGGACTGAAAGGGTCTTTTCCCACTGACTGACCATTACTCCTGTCTCTACTAAAAATGCAAAAAAAAAAAAAAAAATTAGCTGGGCGTGGTGGCGGGCGCCTGTAGTGCCGGCTACTCGGGAGGCTGAGGCAGGAGAATGGCGTGAACCCGGGAGACGGAGCTTGCAGTGAGCCGAGATCGCGTCGCTGCACGCCAGCCTGGACGACAGAGCGAGACTCCGTCTCCAAAAACAAAAACAAAAACAAAAAAAACAAATAAGGGAAACGGCGATAATTTCACAAGTCACTTAGATTTTTTTTCTAGTACTTTACAGACTCGTCTACACCGGCTCCGGCCGCGTCCCCCGTTTCGCAGGCCCCTTAGTCCCGGCCCGGCCCTGTGCGTTACCCCGCGTGCGCGCCTGCTGTTCCGGGGCCGAATGGGAGCAGATCTTCTTGGCCAGGCTCTGCAGGTAGGCGTCCTTGGCGAGTAGAGAGGCCATGGCGGAGACCCGGGCCGTTCACGACTCACACCTTCCCCGCTGCGCGTGCGACTCTCACCACCTCCGCCGGAAACCACCACACGGGCAGGCGCGGCCAAACGAACGCCGAGCCGCCAGCCCGCGCGCTCGATTAGCCAAGCCTGACTCCGCCGGAAGCGGCGCGCGGGGCGGGGCGCACAGCATTGCGGGCCGAGGACAGCCAATCTCCGCCCGGAGTCGGTGCAGCAGGGCACCCCCGGGGCCTGGCCTCAGTGCCTCTATCACCCCGGTCCCGCACGTGTTCCTGTGCTCCCCTCACCCCCAACCCCGACACAGCAGGCGCTCATGAGTAGGGGCGAAATGAATGAATGACCAGCAGTACATTCATTCCGTCCTTTGGAGTGGGGGGCCTCAGGTCTCAGGCGGACACAGACTGAGCGCCTGGCACGTGGCAGGCCCTAGGTTCAGTCCTAGGGGACACAAGCAGTGTGTCACACACACAGATGTGTTCTCGGCGAGTGTCTGCCGTAGAGGTGACTGATAAACCTGGCAAGCGTGTGACTGTCAGGTGAGGGGAGCGCCAAAGAAAGCCCAGGGGAAAAGGGAGAAGTGTTGGGCGGGAGGGAGCCTGCATGTTCAAGGAAGACCCCCTGGGCAGTGGCTTTTGCTCTGAAAAATAGAATTACACACTACGATTCCCTCCCCCACCCCGGTGACGGAGTCTCCCTCTGTCGCCCAGGCTGGAGTGCAGTGGCAAGATCTCGGCTCACTGCAACCTCCACCTCCCGGGTTCAAGCAATTCTCCTGCCTCAGCCTCCCGAGTAGCTGGGATTACAGACGTGTACCACCACGCCCAGCTAATTTTTGTATTTTTAGTAGAGACGGGGTTTCACCATGTTGGCCAGGCTGGTCTCGAACTCCTGACCTCAGGTGATCCGCCCACCTCCGCCTCCCATAGTGCTGGGATTGCAGGCATGAGCCACCGTGCCCAGCCCACACTGCGATTTTTAACACAAGATGTGGTCTTTATAATAACTCACTAGGGGCAGGAGAAAAGAGAGGTCATGGCCTGAGGCTTGGGACCACCACACCCCAGTTCCTGCACTGGAAAATTACAGGCTCATTAAGGACCCAGAGCCCCTTCCAGGGCCACCCCGTTGGTAGAGAAGGGAGAACTTAAGAGTCTTAAATTACAATTTGAAAAGGTGGCTGCTGATATATATATTAGAAACAGAACTGTTGTATTTGAAACAGAACTAAACTTTCTTCCCCTAACTTCTGCCATGAGGTGATTTAAAAAAATTTTTTTGGCCAGGCGCAGTGGTTCACGCCTGTAATCCCAGCACTTTGGGAGGCCAAGGCGGGAGGATCACTTGAGCCCTAGAGTTGGAGACCAGCCTGGGCAACATAGTGAAACCCTGTCTCCACACACAAAAAAATTTAAAATTAGCCAAGCGTGGTGGCCGGCCCCTGTAGTCCCAACTACTCAGGAGGCTGAGAAGAGACGATTGCTTGAACCGGGGAGGCAGAGGTTACAGTGAGCCAAGATCACGCCACTGCATTCTAGCCTGGAGTGCCAGGCTGTCTCAAGATATATGTATTTTTTTCACTTTTAAAAAAGGCAGTCAAATTTAGCAGTGTGGGGGTCGAATGCCAACTATAGTGACACTAAGGTTAATTAGTTCTGACATCCCACTGCCATTCAGACCAGCCTAGAGGTGATGTTTCATGGAGGATAGGCGTGACGCTGCTGCTGACTCCCCTGAACTGCTGGGTATCTTAACACCATCACCTACTGAGTTCAGAATGGGCATCTGACCCCCCAAGCCCCATCTCTTCCTCTCACTGTCAACCCTTTTTTCAGTTAAAGCGGCTCCATCCTTCCAGGTGCTTGGGCCAGACCTTGAAACCACTGACTCCTTTCTTATTCCCCACATCCAATGCTTCAGCAAATCCTGTCAGCTGTGCCTTCAGAGCACCTCCAGAATCTCAGTGGACCCACTCCCATCTCATCACCACTTTGGTCCTGTTTTATTTATTTTTTGAAATGGAGAGTCTCACTCTTCCTCCCAGGCTGGAGTGCAGTGGTGTCATCTTGGCTGACTGCAGTCTCCACCTCCTGGGTTCTGCCTCAGTCTCCTGAGTAGATGGGACTATAGGCGTGTGCCACCATGCCTGGCTAATTTCTTTTTCTTTTTTCTTTTTTTTTTTGAGGTGGAGTTTCGCTCTTGTTGCCCAAGCTGGAGTGCAGTGGCCCGATCTCGGCTCACTGCAACCTCCGCCTCCCGGGTTCAAGCGATTCTCCTGCCTCCGCCTACCAAGTAGCTGGGATTATAGGCATGGACCAGCACGCCCGGCTAATTTTTGTATTTTTAGTAGAGACAGGGTTTCTCCATGTTGGTCAGGCTGGTCTGGAACTCCCGACCTCAGGTGATCTGCCCGCCTCGGCCTCCCAAAGTGCTGGGATTACAGGCGTGAGCCACCGCGCCCGGCCAATTTCTATACTTTTTAGTAGAGACAGGGTTTCTCCATGTTGGTCAGGCTGGTCTGGAAATCCCGACCTCAGGTGATCCGCCCGCCTTGGCCTCCCAAAGTGCTGGGGTTGCAGGCGTAAGCCACCGCGCCCGGCCGATTTCTATACTTTTTAGTAGAGACGGGGTTTCTCCATGTTGCCCAGGCTGGTCTCAAAACTTCTGACCACAAGTGATCCACCCGCTTTGGCTTCTCAAAGTGCTGGGATTACAGCAGGAGCCACTGGGCCTGACCTGGTCCTGTTTTAGATTTTAAGACTCCAAAATAACAACCAAATGCAACACACAATAAAAACAGGCATAAAAGCCTTTCAGCTGGAACCGCCACCTTCCAGTAATTCGCCAAAATGACGAACACAAAGGGAAAGAGGAGAGGCACCCAATATATGTTCTCTAGGCCTTTCAGAAAACATGCAGTTGTTCCTTTGGCCAAGTATATGCAAATTGATGAGAAAGGTGATATTGTAGATATCAAGGGAATGGGTACTGTTCAAAAAGGAATGCCCCACAAATGTCACCATGGCTAGACTGGGAGAGTCTACAGTGTTCCCCAGCATGCTGTTGGCACTGTTGTAAACAAGTAAGGGCAAGATTCTTGCCAAGAGAATGAATGTGCATATTCAGCACACTAAGCACTCTAAGAGCCGAGAGAGCTTCCTGAAACGCGTGAAGGAAAATGATCAGAAAAAGAGGGAAGCCAAAGAGAAAGGTACCTGGATTCAACTGAAGCGCCAGCCTGCTCCACCCAGAGCAGCACACTGTGAGAACCAATGGGAAGGAGCCTGAGCTGCTGGAACCTCTTCCCTATGAATTCATGGCATCGTGGGTGTTAAAAAAATAAAAGACCTCTGGACTAGAAAGAAAAAAAATAGGCATTAAAAAAACTATTTGGGGAACAACTGAAGAAATCTGAATACAGCTAGATACCAGAGGATATGCAATCATCATCCATTCTGGTTGTGGTGATGGACGAAGGAGAATGTGCTCAGAGAGGCAAACTGACAAGTACTTCCATGAGTTCCACTGCCCTCAAAATAAAAAGCTTGGGATAAAAGAGTTACATGGACTGAGAATGGGCCGGGGCTTAGCAATGTGGAGGCCACTGGTGACCTTAATAGGTGTAGTTTTGCTAGAGTCATGGAGACAAAACCTGTCTGACGTAGGCCCAAGAGAGAACTGCAAATGGTTATCAGCTGCTTCCCCGTGGAGCTCTGCTGCCAAGGCCATGAGCTGGAGAGGAAAAAAGGTCAGCAGAGCGGCTTGGCTTTAAGAAGGAGAAATAACTTGATTTTCACATGGGAATGATGGTCCTGGCCAAGCAGAAAATGAAGCTGATGGCAGGTCTTATCGCTCAGGATTTTAGGAACAGGGTAAGTGGGATCCCACCACAAAGTCTGGCCAGTTCCTTCCGGGCTCTCGCTTCATATATGCTTCCATCTGGTTGTAATCTTTTTCTTCCTCAGTGGTTAAGTACAAGGCATTTCCACAGCTAAAATAGTGCGGGAACAGATCACCACACGTATCAATGGGGAAATTCTCCCTCAGAGGGGAAGCAACTTCCCTAGGCCACCCCAGAAGCCAGGTCCAGAGCCAGGACTGGGCCTCAAGCTCCTGTCTGTCTGGTGCCTTCTGCTTGGCTGTGGGGTTCTCTGGTTCAGGTGGTGATGGGTCAGCTGTGTTCTTACCTGTCCCCAAGGCTGGATCCTGGGCTGTCACCTCATTCATACATCGGGAAAGATGATGGCCTCCCCCATGAGAAGATGAAGCACATGGATGGTGCTGGAGGAACTGGGGTGGGGTGCTCCCCCACACTTCCTGTGGACGAACTGTGCTCCCCCCACACTTCCTGCCCAGTGTTGTGACTTCTGCATTTCTAAGGTGAGCCTGGCACCAAAAGACACTGGGTCTAGACTTCCATCAGGTTCAAGTTCTGATTCCTGCCACTTCACTTCCTAGCTCTGTGGCCGTGGTACACCTCACCCCTTCTAAGTCCACATCCTCTCCTCTCTAAAATACCGGCACTAGGAGCACCGGCTCTGGTAGCAGTGAGGATGAGATGCCAGCAGAGGCACAGGTGCCTGGATGTGCAATGATGGCAGCAGGTCCATTCACTGAATACTGGGGACCTACCAGGTGCCAATGAGGAGAGAGTGACCTTGGGCCAGGCTGTCCAGGCAGAGCTGAGGAGCTGCTGCTCGGACAACTGCTGGGAGACCAAGGATGGTCCTGGACTGACAAGGAATGAGGAAGAAAGAGCAGCAATGCAAAAAAGTGGCGGTGTTTTAATCAAGTCTCATTACAACGGCAGAATTAGGAATGAGTCCCACCTAGCTTCCACATGCGTGGGCAGCAGCTGTCACACGGGCCTGTCGTGGCACTCAGCCCATGGCACAGACATATGTGGCTCAGGGCAAGAACCAGTGGATGGGGCTCTGCACAGGAACGCTGGCCTCGGGATGGGAGACCCGGCCTGCCCAACACTGCTCAGAGCCCCTCCCAACTCTGACAACAGGCTCGGGTCAGGACTCCCCGAAATCAGGCACCCTCCTGCCCCACTGCTGAGATCCCCAACGGGCCAGACCTAGCTTGGAAACTTTCTTCCACCTGGCTGGCCAGGAAGGCAGCAAACAGAGATGATGACTCGGAATGATGGGCTATTCGGAAATGGCTAGGGAAACAACTGTTTCCCTACTGTCCTGGCGGGACCCACCCTGGGCTAACGGGCTTCCCAAGGAAGTCCTAGTGGCTCTGGGGTCCTGAAGTCCCCAAATGGGAACCTAGGCTGAGAGAAGCAAGGCTGTGAGGGCATCCAAAGGGCTGCCTCAGGTTTTGTTCCTGAGAACGAAGCGTGGCCCCGGAGGCTCAGGCGTGCTCAGTGGGGCCAGGGCCACCAGCATGGGAGTGGGCAGGGGCTGCCACCTGTAGGGGGCCAGCACTGGGCTCCGGGGACGCCAGCAGAGGGGCCGAGAGGCCATCAGCAGAGTCTGTGTCGAGGTCCAGCCTCCCGTAAGCTTCGCACAGAGGCAGGTCATTAGCTTCGCAAAGGCTTGAGCTTTTCCACCACCAGAAACCCCAGGGAGAGACAGGAGCAGGCAGAGAGGAAAGCCAGGGGAGGGGAGAGCAAGACAGAAGCAGAGTTAAGAAAACACGACCACACCCCAGACCTGCCTTTCCCTTTCTCCACTCCTGCTCCATCTGTCCCCTGAGTTGGCAGGCCTGGCAAGGAGAGGCGGCCAGTGGTGAGAGCCACCCTAGCATTCTGAAAGGAGGAAGCCGCCCTGGCCCAACCACCAACAGCTGTGTGACCTCAGCAGGCCCTTCCTGCCCAGCCTCCACGTGGGCCTGTCCTAGCCTATGCCTCCCAGCTGGTGCTGGTCCCCCTCCTCTTGCAAAAAGCTGTCAGCCTGGCCACCCTCCCTCCTCCCTGACTGCAGAAACCCCAGTGTCACTACACTGCAAAGAGCTCTCTGAGGGCAGACTGTGTTCTTTCTGGGTCTGTCCCTGCCTGAGACTTAGCCTGAAGGGGGCGACAGTTGGGAACACAGGCCCTGGCACTTCCCGATAGCCCTACATCAGCCAGGCGGCCTCCAGCAGGCGTCCCCACCTCTAACACGGGGAATCCTCACGGCAGCCAGGATGCAGGTGAAGAGCTCAGCTAGCCCTTCCCATGCCCGCAGCTGTGACAATCCACGCTCGCCTCTTTCTAACCTGCAGGCAGGGGCCCTGGCTTTCCCGCGGCCTGCCTCGCCCCTGGCTTCCTCCCTTGCTCCTGCCCTCAGTGTTCAGTCTCAGAACCGTCCTGGGCACAGAGTGGCATCCCGAGGAACGCAAAGGAGAGGCAGAGCCAGAAAGAGCAACTAACAAGCAGAGAGGGGGCAGGCGAGCACAGAGGCGCAGCTCATGCGGAACAGGGCAGGGCAGGGCAGGGAGCGGAGCGCCCTTTGGGGGACCAGCAAGAAGGGGCAGAGGAAACTCGGCCAGGACCTGGTCGCTTAAAGGCAATGTACAGAGGAGGGCAACTGCTTCTGCCACAGGGGCTGTGTGAGGCCCCCCAGGGGGCGCTGGTGTGGACAGGAGGCCTGCGGGAGGGGACACAGGCTGGCCTGGAAGCCCCGCTGGGTGAAGCTGAGGGACTGTTGGGGGAGGGCATGGGAAGCCTGGCACAGATGTCCTGGGTTTGCGCCCTGCTCTGCTGCAGGGCCGTGAGCAGGTTCCCTCTCTCCCTGCCCCAAGGCAAGGCAGGCAGGCTGAATTACAGGCCCACAGCTGCTCTGTGCAGGGGCCCTCAGGGACGGTGGCTGCCTCAAAGAGACCGACAAACTGAACAGCTGTGGAAGGAGATGCCCAGAAGGGTCTGAAACACCCCAGGACCCCTCTCAGCCACCCTAGTGTGGAGGAAATGCTGCCTCATGTCTGCTGAGTTAATGAGTACTGGGGACCAAAGATTCCCTCAGAACCCCCTGGAAAACTCTAGGACTGCTGCAGCTCAGCAGTGCCACTGAGCCCAGGGCAGGGAAACCAAGCCCCAGGTCATGCTGGCTCTGGATATCTGTGGCTCCCAGCATGGCCAATGGGCAGAAAGGAGTATTTTAAATCCACCACCAGGAAGGAAAGGTTTGTCCAGGAGAAGGCACAAGATGGACATGGACTCTGCATCTGCTGGACTGAATCTTGATTTTCTAAGCTAATGGGGCAGAGTGGAAGGCCTCCCTGTCTCCAGCCTAAGTTTCCCCCTAAGTAAATGATACGTAGACTCTGATTTCTCAGGGCCCCTCCAGCTCAAACGGTCGAAGGTTTCAGCTTCTTACGGAGCCCCACAAGGGTCAGGATGATGGGTTTTGACCCTTCTGCATCCCTGGGACCCAGCACGGGGCCTGGCACGTAGGTTGGCTCCAGCTCCGTGGATAAGGCTGAGTGGGTCACGAATTGGAGCTCCAATGGCTTTCAAGGCCATTCCCTGCCTGGGCTTCATCCCCCACATTCCCATGACTGTCCCTGCCTCCACACTGGGGTTTGGTGACATCCACATGGAATTGCATCCCTGGTGCCCTGGACATAGGTGTGGACCTGACTGCCCAAAAAAGGCTGGCCCAGCCTTGGCTGAAATCTCTACATATGGATTCAGAAGGTAACAGGAGCAGCACAGCCCCAGAACGCACTGCCCGAGGAGGAAGGCTCTCGGAAGAGGGCCTGCGGGGGATACAGCCAGGCGCCTCCCTTCTCCAGACTCGGCCTATCCGACTGGCGTGAGTCCTGTGGTTTTCATCACATTGCACTGTGGGAAAGGCCCAGGGCCCTGGCATATGGATGTGAATTGTCTGTCGGTCAAACGCTCTGGCCAGGAGCTCTGCTCTGAAACCCAGGCATGGCTCCACTGCTAAGACCAGCAAGAATTTGAAAAAGCAGAAGGCAGCCCTGCCTGCTGGCCAGGCCCAGGTAGGCAGGCTCCCGCTCTGCATGGGGAGTCCAGCGCTATTTATACCTGGACGAGTAATACTCCTCCTCCAGCTCGTAGAGGTCAATGGAGATCTCGTCTCGCAGCGTGATGAGCTTCCGGTCGCACTCCTCCTGCAGTGTGCGCAGCTGCTGGTTGCGCTGGTCAATGGCCTCGTTCACGGAGGGGAAGTCATTGAGGATCAGGAACTGCTTGAGGTCGGACACCAGCTTCATCAGGGACTCGCCGGCTCGGACCTGTGGCCATCAGAACCAGGGCGGGCACAGGGTGAGGGGGGACAGCGGCCTTGCCTACAAGTAGCTGATGCTGGGCAAGGGATGGCCTCTCTAGGAGCCTCAGCTTCCTCATCTGCAAAGTGGGACTCTACCCCTGACCTCCACAGGTTCATGTGTGAGAATTAAGTGAGAAAACTGGGATGTCAGTTCTGCAGGGCAGGCCCTCCCCTCTCGTCAGCCTCTGGCTTCCACTCCTGCAGGACTGGCCTCCAGTCCAATTATGCAGGTGTACATTCTGCTCATGAAAAACTCAAACCCCACAGATAAAACTGCGATCCCATTTTGCCTCCTGCCCCGGGGTAGGATTAACATGGCTGCCAGCTGGGCAGAGCTCCTGTGGGACCTTTTTCCATGCATTTTGAGCCCTGGACGTGCACCTGCGGAATTATCTGCTTGCTGTGTTTCTCCTGTGATCCGAAGGAATCCAATGGCGCCTACAGTTCCATTCGGCTGTTTGTCTTTTCACTCACAACTGACCTTAGGAACTCCTGAGTTAGCAGGAAGGGCTACCCTCTTTCTGGCCACTGCACGGCTACAGGACGGGCATGGGTGGCTCTCTGCCCAGCCCTCCTCCAAGTGCCCCACGTGAGGACAGTCTCCTGAGAAATGATTTGCCCCCACCTCATTCTTTAAAGCTGCCGAGTGGTGAAACCAAAGCATCTCTACATTTGCCTCCTTCTGCTCCTTCTCGGGGGAAGAAGACCAGACCAGCCCCAGAGCCCCCTCCACTCCACCCAGGAAACCTGAGGGGACTGATGCTCTTGGAGCCCAGGCCGTGCCCTCCACCCTGGCCACTCACGATGTTGGCGGCTCGCACATGCATCTCGTAATTGTCCTGTTCACCCTGAGTGGCCCGTGACACCTGCGTCTCGTCCTCAATCTGGGGGAAAACAAGAAAACCTAGAAATCAACCCAGCCAAGGCATCCCCACCCCTGGCCCGGCCCAGCCCAGCTTACGGTAACTGTCATCTACCCAGGATGTCCACACTGGCCACAACCTGTCTGTGGTGCCATCTACAGACCTAAGCGCTGTCAGCCAGACCTCTGACAAGGTTCAATTCCACCCTCTCTTGTTCTGGCCATGGGAGACAACATGCACCTTTGCTCAAGACAAATAGAGGCAACCCACGCTGCTTGCTGTACTAGGTGCAGGGATGGGGGCTTATCTTGGCCCGGTCTTTTTGGGCTGTGGGAGCCCTGTTTGGTAGGAACCGTTGTCACTTGCTTGGCATTTGGTAAACTGTTGGATGAGTGAAGGGATGATTTAAGTTTTTTTTCGCGACCATTTCCTGATCACTTCCCAGGTGCCAGGCTGTGTCATGCACTTGACCACCATTAACCCATGCCAGTTTCACAGAAGCCTGGCCTGCCACCCCTGGTGTATAGGTGGCCAAGCGAGGCTGGATGGGGCTTCCCGGCAGGCCTTGCAAAGGCTCAGTTCGGGGTGGGTGTCAGGTACCCTCAGTGGTTAAGACCCAGACTTCGTGGGTTCAAATCCTGGCTCAGCCAGTTGTGAGCTGAGTGACCTTGGGCAAGTCACTAAGTCTCCTGGGCCTGGGTTTCCTCCTGAAATGAAGAGGACAACAGTGCCCACCTCACAGAGTCCTCATGAAGATTCAGCAGAACAGGCACAGATAACCTCACAACGTGGCTTGATACATGGCAAGCACTAAGTACATGCTAGCTTCCATCCTCATCATCATCGCTTATGGAGCCTGCCAGGTCTGCAGCAGCCAGGAGGGATCCAGCCCAATCTGATGCAGCTGTAGCTGCAGTGGTCAGCAGGCTTGCAGGCCCCAGTGCTGACCGCTCCACCTGCCTGGAGGCCCCCCCCCACTTCTCCCCTCAGTCTGCTTTTCTCCTGCTCATTGGCTGTGTGCCAGGCCCCGAGGTAACTGTTTTACACAGATAAACTCACCAGTCATCACAAGGACCCCACCATGCAGGAGAAACTGAGGCACTAAAAAGTGAAATCTCCATCCAAATCCATACTGTTAGTAAGGGCTGGACGTGCCATTATTTGGTTTGCTTATCTACTGACCAGCTCCCTGTGCACTGGGTGCTTCCTGCCTAGAACACTATTCACTCGCGCTGCTCAGCCCCTGGCCTCTCCTGTCTCCACCCCTTCTCAGACTCTGCTCCCCTTGGTGGGCCACCCCACCCCCACCTTGGCGGTCTTGATGATCTCGGTGAAGTTGTCCATGATGGACTTAATGTCGTCCTTCAGCCGCTTGTTGTAGGACTGCAGCAGCGTCTCCTTGCTCTGGGGCAGGGCTCTCTGCTGGGCCATGGCCGAGCCTCAAGCAGCGCAGCGGGGAGACCTGGGACCTAGAGTGCAGCACAGACCTCTGAGTGCAGGCAGAGTCTACCCCAGCCACCCTCTATGCCCCAACCTTAGCAGAACACGCAGATTTCTGGGGATTCCCTTTCTGCCAAATAAAGTCAATCACTGAAACACAGATGAACTCATTCCATCAGCAGACACCGCAGGGGGTGCCAGGACTGGCCCCGCCTTTGCCAGAGCAAGCTCATCCTGGAACTCCTGGCCAGCCCTCCAAGCCCTGTCCAGGGCTCCAGTCCAGACTTCACGTCCAGGCCCACAGCGTGTCCCAGGGAGCCCTGCAAACTCAACACCAGCTCCCCGTCCCCAGCCCTTGGCTTAACTTCTTAGCCCGCCGCCACCTTCGCCACGCCCTCCCATCCGAAGAGTCCTTCCAATTCGACCCCTCTGCACCGCCTACATCCACGCTTTCCTTCCACTCCCACTCAGGCTGCCCCGCTCCAGACCTCATCCCTGCACTGCGGGCCCCGCTCCCTCCAGTCTCTGCGCGGCAGGGAAGAGGTCCTAAAAAGTGGTCATTCCAACCGGGCGCGGTGGCTCACGCCTGTAATCCCAGCACTTTGGGAGGCCGAGGCAGGGATCACCTGAGGTCAGGAGTTTGAGACTAGCCTGACCAACATGGTGAAACCCCAACTCTACTAAAAATACAAAAATTAGCCGGGCGTGATGGCAGGCGCCTGTAATCCCAGCTACTCGGGAGGCTGAGGCAGGAGAATCGCTTGAACCCGGGAAGCACAGGTCGCAGTGAGCCGAGATCGCGCCACTGCACTCCAGCCTGGGCGACAGGGGGAGACTACGTCTCCAAAAGAAAAAAAAAAGGGGGGTAATTCCACTCCCTCGCTTAACATCCCTCATGGTTCCCCGGTGCGCCGGGACAAGGGGCTCAAGTTCCGCGCCGCGCCTCTCGGCCTCTGCCCTCCAGCCGCACTGGACGGCCTCGGCGCTGGAGTTGCCTGGCCCTGGGGCCGGGCCTTTGCGCGCGGTGCTCAGGGAGGGCCCGGGGCCCCCTAGGTTCGGAGTCTGGCGCACGACCGAGCGGACTCCTGGACGCACTCGCATTGTTTGTGCCCATTTTTGGCGGGGTGTGGGAAATAAGTCACACGCAGGAAAGGGGATCTCCGACCCCAGCGCCTACGCACCCACCCACCCCCACTCCCGCCCACACACCCACCCCCCCTCCATCCCCACCCCCCACCACACCCTCATACCCGCCCCAGCGCCCGCACACCAGACGCCGCGTCCGCCGGGTCGGCCTAGGGCGGGGTGGTCAAGTGCCTCTGCGACCCGCACTTTCCCGCGTCTCTCCCACGGCCTGGCCCTCCCGCCGCAGTCTCTCTTCCCCGCCGCGCCGCGGTCCGAAAACCTAGTCAGCCGCCGCAGCCTCTCGGCCCCGCCTCGATTTTTAGCTTTATAGGAATGCTGTTGCTTTAAATCCGAAATCCCGTGCCGGTATCAACTCTCGCGATCTCCGAGGCCGCATACATATTACCCACAATTCCCTTTCCTTTCTCTCTCCTCCCGCCGCCCAAGATGGTGAGTGAGCTGTAGTTCCGTGGCACTATAGCCAGGTTCCGGCTGTATCCGCTGCCATCCTCCTCCAGGCGCGGCCTCGGAGGGCCTCCTGCTCCTCCTGGCGCTAGGAGAGCCCCACTCGGTGTGGCACGGAGACACCGAGGTGGATTAGAGCCCCACTTGGTGTGGCACGGAGACATTGAGATGGACTAGAGCCCCGGGCGGCCGAGAGCGGAATGCGTTGTTCCCGGTGTCGCAGGGCTGGGTGTCGCAGGCCTGGAGCACCGCAGTGCGGGGCTCGGAGCCCTAGCGTCTCTCGGGCTTGCTGGGGGCCGCTCCAGAGGCCTTGTGAGCGACGAGTTCTGAGCCCGCCCCTGTTGCTTCTAGAGCCTGTGGGGCCGCGACTCAGAGGAGTCATGAGTCCGGGGTGTCTCCTGGGTGGGCGACGCGAAGAGAGCGTGGTCTCGGGCTTAGCCTTGCTCTGGCCACTCGGGGTTCCCGGGGCTGCATGCTTGTGCGGCTGAATGTGAGATGCTCCTGTCGAGGGGTGGTGCTGGGGGGTTGCAGAAAGCTGCTCGCCAGCTTAGTTCAGGCAGGTGCTGTCAGCGTCCCTTGTTTTGGAGGAGCCAGCCTGAGCCCTACCCCCGACGAAGCGAGTGGAGGCGGCGGTTTAACTGACGTTTTCTTTCTGCCCAGCCGAAAGGAAAGAAGGCCAAGGGAAAGAAGGTGGCTCCGGCCCCAGCTGTCGTGAAGAAGCAGGAGGCTAAGAAAGTGGTGAATCCCCTGTTTGAGAAAAGGCCTAAGAATTTTGGCATTGGTAAGTAACAAACGGCAGAATGAAAACGGTCTATGTTTTTCTCAAGGGAAGGTGGTAATTGGGTTGTGTTGTATCTTGTAGGTTTTAGTGGGTGTAAAGTGGTCGCAGTCCTTAATTTGTGTCTCTTAGAGACGGGGGCAATGATACATGCTTCTTGCTTTCATTGGGAGTTGCTGAGCGAGCATTCAGCTCAATATGGTAGTGGCCTTGAATTCAGCTTAGCCATCTGGAAACAAGTACAGTAGCAGTGTCGCAGCGAGGTACTAGGACTGCAATTCTGCTGTACTTCGTGGCACCTTGGCTTCTTGTTAGATGAGGAAAAGCATCGTGCTCTTTGTTCTCAGGTGTTTGTGTGCAGATGATGTAAAAGAATATTTGCTATCTGAGAGATGGTGATGACATTTTAAACCACCAAGATCGCTGATGCACCAACACCCTTCCTAGTGGCCCCAGACATGAACTTGACATGGAATTTGAGCCTCACTCGGTGTCACCCTTTACTTCTCAGGACAGGACATCCAGCCCAAAAGAGACCTCACCCGCTTTGTGAAATGGCCCCGCTATATCAGGTTGCAGCGGCAGAGAGCCATCCTCTATAAGCGGCTGAAAGTGCCTCCTGCGATTAACCAGTTCACCCAGGCCCTGGACCGCCAAACAGGTGAGGTTCTGTGGCGTGGAAAGGAGTTTCTCAGGCAAGGATTCCTTATTTCATCCAGAACATGAGGGGGATGGTCTTAGGCTTCTTGAACTGCAGTTGTCATTAAATTATAGTCATATAGCAGGACCGCAGTCCAGCATTTGTTATTAAGTGTTAAGTGACAAGGATTAGAACCTTGACTCCAAGCCTAAACTGAAGAGTGTTTTTCCAGCTACTCAGCTGCTTAAGCTGGCCCACAAGTACAGACCAGAGACAAAGCAAGAGAAGAAGCAGAGACTGTTGGCCCGGGCCGAGAAGAAGGCTGCTGGCAAAGGGGACGTCCCAACGAAGAGACCACCTGTCCTTCGAGCAGGTGAGTAGGCCCCACCTTAGGGTGAACACTGGGGGCGGGCTGTTGCAGTGATGTAAAATTTCTTGGCCTGAAATTACTGTGAAGAGTAAAACCGAGCTTTTTAACACTGAGTCAGCAGCTGAGCCCAGCAGCTTCTTGTGACTAGAGCAGGCCCTGTGAGTGCTCACAAAGTGGTTGTGTGTTCTAGGAGTTAACACCGTCACCACCTTGGTGGAGAACAAGAAAGCTCAGCTGGTGGTGATTGCACACGACGTGGATCCCATCGAGGTGCGTTTGCCTGTTGACTGCTAACCCAAGGGCTTCTGGCAGTACCAGGAAGAGAGAGTAGACCTAATGCCAAGTCAGTGATGGGACCGAAGTGGGTGAGGGCAGTACTGACACAGATCCAACACATGCGTGGCTCTTGCAATGATGTGAATCTCTCACTGAATTCAACCTTGAAGTGCGAATCCATGAGCTTTTTAACCCTGAGCAATTGTTACAAGCTAACTGAAATTTGCTGCTTTTGGTCAAAATACAGTCTTCAGCTAATGCTTTCTTCCAGCTGGTTGTCTTCTTGCCTGCCCTGTGTCGTAAAATGGGGGTCCCTTACTGCATTATCAAGGGAAAGGCAAGACTGGGACGTCTAGTCCACAGGAAGACCTGCACCACTGTCGCCTTCACACAGGTGAACTCGTAAGTACACAGCCTGGCCCCAAACTTCCCCCCAGTTCATTTAATCCATGCCTCACAGTTGTTTCCTTTTGCCTTAAAGGCCAATCTTTTAGTTTAAGAAATATATTTATCTGAACTTTTGCCAATGATGGTTAAGAATTTCTTCACCTGAATAAACCATGTGGTCAGCATTGCATCTGAGGCAAAAGACTGTCTTGAGCTAAAAGGTATTTTTGCATTCTAAAAGGGAAACTAAGGCAAAAAACCCACTTTTGTTTCCCCTCCTGCCTTTTAGGGAAGACAAAGGCGCTTTGGCTAAGCTGGTGGAAGCTATCAGGACCAATTACAATGACAGATACGATGAGGTAAGAGGCAGCTTTACACCAAAATACTGTCATTCACAAATCTTTCTCCCAAATAACTGGCTGGCTTAACCTATGAGAAGTTCTATCTGACGATCAGCTTGGAACAGCCAAACAGAATTAACGCAACTAATAACCTTGAAAATCTCAGAAAACAGTAAGCCAAGCTAACTGCCTCTTTTTGTCTTTTCAGATCCGCCGTCACTGGGGTGGCAATGTCCTGGGTCCTAAGTCTGTGGCTCGTATCGCCAAGCTCGAAAAGGCAAAGGCTAAAGAACTTGCCACTAAACTGGGTTAAATGTACACTGTTGAGTTTTCTGTACATAAAAATAATTGAAATAATACAAATTTTCCTTCAGCCAGTGTCTGTTGAGTATCTCGGGTTGAATCTTACTTGGGGTTAGCAAGTATCTTTTTGAGACACAGCCTCACTCTGTCGCCCAGGCTGGAGTGCAGTGGTGTGATGTCAAAGCAACCTTCGCCTCCCAGGTTTAGGATATTCTGGTGCCTCAGCATCCCAACTGGCTGGCCCATATTTGTGTTTTTGGTAGAGATGGGGTTTCACCATGTTAGCCAGGCTGGTCTGAGCTCCTGACCGCACCCGGCCCTTCCCACCCTTAAATACATTCTTAAACCAGGCATTTTGTTCCCTAGAGATGTAACTTGAGTATCAAGTTTTGGGAAAGTTCTTTGGACTGAAACCAAGCCAGGATTTTATGATGAACCAGTCATGAGCTCATTTAAGGTAGAAGGCCAGAACTTTATACCAGTAGCACATGATCCAGCATAAAGGCAGTCTTGAAATACTGCATTATCCAGGGACAGGGCTTCAGCAGCTGATCTGTCACACACCAGGTGTCCCACGTAGGAATTTCTTAAACCACAGGTAGGATGTAGCTGCAGAGAGTCCATACCTAGGGGTTGAAAGCAAGCCAGCATTAGCAGGCTGCTAGGCTGAAGGGGAGGAAGCCAGAGGGCCGCTGGGGACTCACCAGGTCACGATGTACTGCAGATGCTCGTTCCTCAGAGTAACTCTGGTTTGCCCTCCAATGGGTCCTCCAGGGACTGTGCTCTCTGTGGAGACAGCAGACTCAAGTCCACCCCCTACTGGCCTGCCAGCCTCTGCACCACTTCCTAGTGGCTGTCATTTTTGCGTGGCCAGTTGGAAGTCCTGTATGGCCTTTACGTTGGGTGACCATCCCCGCCCTTGTCCGCTCAGTACTTGCCTAGGTTCTTTGCTGAGTTGCTGCCTCCTCCCACCCGCCATATACACATGTGAGAACATAAGCCACAGTAGTGACTGGGCAATGAGGGTTAGGAGGAAGGACAGTATTCACAAAAGCTACTTGTTCCGAGATGGGCTGGTCCACAACGTACGGAAGTTGGCATCAATGAAGATGGGCTCTGCGCCTGTGATTCTGGCCATAGCTTCCAGGTCTCGATAATGCCAGTGGTTCCTTTCTGGATTGTTCTCAGGGACAAAAGGCTGCCTGGTTTCTGTCAGCCTCACCATCCCAATGAGGTCCACTTCTCCCTCAATCTATAAAGGAAGGTGTGTGAGATTGCATGGAGCCTGGTGGACTCCCAGAGCCTTCTCTAAAGTAGGAAGAGTCCATGTCCCTTACCTGGCCTTTCTGCCGGGTTTCAGGATTCACTTTCTTCCTGGGAACGAACCCTCTATTTACCAGGATGGTGACTCTAGGGTAATGAAAGTGCTACTTCAGGTGGGGAGGGTTTTTGACTAAAGACAGTCACTCATGGTCACTCAGGCACCCATAGGAACAACTAGAGCACCAAGGAAGGCTTTTAAAACAGGGCTGGCTCAGTGGAGCCCTGGCAGTGCCACACAGGCAAAGTCTTCCTCTCTTGAGGCACCTTCGTGGTTGGTAAAAGGCTCCCTGCCACCATCACTACCTTTTTACCAGTGTGGCTTTCCCCTTCTATCTCTGCTTCTTGTGGTCTACCTACTACAACGTGCAACTGGTGAGCAACGCTGCCACGCCAGAGTTTAGACCCCACACCTCTCCCCTGAACTATGGCAAGAGCTGTCTCCAATCCCTCCTCCTAACCAAGGCAGCCGTGAGGAGCAGCCCTGGCACCCCAGCCTGCTGGAGATGAGTACTTGGGCCCCATCCCAGCCCTAAAACAGGAACCCATGGGTTAACAAGAGCCCCAGGTATTTTCATTTTTACGTGAATCCTCCAGTTCCCTAGTTAATCACACAGGTGCTCCTGTACCTGTCATTTGCTTTGCCTGGAATGTTCTTCCCATCTCTTAACTCCCAAATAGCCCTCTAGGGAGCCACCCCTGCCTCCACTCCCTCAAGGTAGGGCTGGGGTCCTTTCTCTTGAAGTCCTCTTGCTGGCCCCTCATAGCTTGCCATCATCTAATGTGTGGGCAACTAGACAGTTCTCCAGAGGCAGGGCCCCTGTTTCACGAATCCCTCCTTTCCCTTCAGAGGTCAACATACAGAAATTATCCAGTCATAAATGAGCTGGCTGAGAAGATTAAGTCAATGTCACAATTAGGGACTTAAACTATGCAAGGAATTGAATCTCCTGGGTATCTTGGGTTCCCCAGGGTCCTACCAAGGTTGGGGATTGTGAAGGAAATAGTGATGTAAATTAGTATACCCTGACTGCCTCTGCCAGGACAGCCAGCTCCCACATGTCCTACTCACCCCAGGTCGGTGCAGTGGAAGGGAGTGACCACATAGGCCCCACTCTGAGTTGAGGAGGAGATGAGGCCGCCCTCCCGGGCCTCCCGGACAGGGTCCACCATGGTCCGGGGCATCATATACAGCTCCTTGGAATGGTCAAAGCACCCCCTGACCTTCACTGGCCTATACTCCAGATTTTTCAGTTCCATTGGGCTGCATGGAGATAAGAACAGTGGCCGAGCAAGGTTTGGCTGGAAAACGAATCCCCTGAGGGTGGCAGACTACACAGCCCACCAGGGCCAGACAAGTGAAGGAGAAAGGCAAAGGGCGTGCTCTTCAAAGGGGAACTTTGATGCCATGTGGGAATGTGGATCTGCACTGCCAGAGTCCAACTTTACAAGAGAGGCTAAAAATCTGGACTCCTCAATGAATATTTTATGTGAAATTTTAAAAAATATGTGGGCCAAAACCCCATCTGCAAGCCAAATCTGGCATACTGTTTGCTACCCTGAATGGAAAATGTGGCTGAATATACCTATCTCTGTAGGGCATATTCTAGGGAGAGAGCAGACAAATCATTCAGGGCACTTTTTCAAACGACCACCCTCACGGTGAGACCTACATTATCTGTCCTCAGCCACAGGGCCTTGGGCCCTGTGGAGGATAAGTTTACTATACCTGAAAAAAGGGTGACACCCAGGACTCAAAATAAGACTTTCCTCCATATGTCAGGAGGCGGTCTCAGGTAGCTTCACAAGGGCAGTCAGGTGTCAACAGCAAGCCCAACAGATGACTGATAATGAGAGCTCCCACCTGAGGTCAAGGCAGTGACTAAAAGTCCCACCAAAAGGGGCAAGCTGGCCAGCAGAAGCCAGGGCTCTGCTGTTGAACTCAAGTAAAACAGGCCCTAGGGGGGCAGCCATGCACTCACTCGGCTGGCAGAGGGACAGGCTCAGCCAGAACTCTGGACTCCAACTCTGCAATCAGGTTCAGCTTCCACTTCCGACGCTGGACCTACAGTGACAGAGCATAAGGCCAAGCAGATGGCAGCAAGGTCAAGGGCCCAGAGTTACGCACACCAGATGCCGGTCTTTACCTGCCATGTCCCCAAGCCAAAGGCAGTCACAGGGATGAGGAGCAGGACCCACTGAAGAAAGGAGTCATCTTCCGCTTTTGTGGCAGATGCTTCTGCTGCAGAACTGCCACATCTGCTTGGCCTCCAGGCCACCCCTGGAGAGTTTCACAACACTGACATGGAGCCAGAAGCCCTCGAACACAGACCTGGAGCAGCCCGTTCCAAGACAGACTCCAGTACTGCCAATCAAAACCTGCTGCCTAGAGCCAACTAGCAGCACCTGTATCCAGCCCAGCTCCTAACCCGGTGCCCAGAACAAGGCACACACAGTACGTCTGCCAAGTGAGTAAGTGGGATCTAGGGCTCAGTGCCGGTTTGACCACCAACCACGACCCTGAGTAACTCATGCCTTTTTACTCAAGAATCTAGATGTATTCCACTGCACTAAGATGCACCATTCATCCATTCAAAATGCATTTAATAAGCAGCTACAGTTGGCCGGGCACGGTGGCTCACGCCTGTAATCCCAGCACTTTGGGAGGCCAAGGCGGGCGGATCACGAGATCAGGAGTTCGAGACCAGCCTGACCAACATGCAGAAACCCCATCTCTACAAAAAAATGCAAAAATTAGCTGAGCACGATGGTGCTTCTGTAATCCCAGCTACTCGGGAGGCTGAGGCAGGAGAATCGCTTGAACCTGGGAGGAGGTGGTTGCTGTAAGCCGAGATTGCGCCACTGCACTCCAGCCTGGGCAACAAGAGCGAAACTGTCTCAAAAAATAAAAAATAAGCAGCTACAGTTACTAAGTAGCTTAGTCAGGCACTAGTGGTTGTTGTGTTATGTAGAAAAATATATCAATTCAGTAATGGCTCACAGAGCTCTCTTAACAGCTTTCCATTTTTACAACTCATCGTAAATGTAAAGAGGGAAGAATGTACACAGAAAGTGCCTTTAAGCTCTCAGAGGATGAGTTCCATCCGCTGAAAAGCACCAGGGGCCTTGCGGATACTATTTTTTTTTTTTTTTTTATAAAAAGGCAGGCCTGGGGCAGGCTTGCACAGCACTCTACACACGGCAAAACAGCCCTGTGCTGCACACTGAGAGGAACACGTAAGCCGCGGTGGTTAGATACGCTTTACTTTCAGAGCCCTGGGCTTTCAGCCTGGGCTGGCCACCCATTAGCTGGATGGGACGTTCGGAAGTAACTCTCGAGCCTTCTCTGTAACAGGGGAACGACCAAGGAGCTACCTCTCGCGTTGTGAGGACAAAGCGCTCGCTACATGCCCGGCACACGACCACAATTCCACTGAAAGCATTTTAATACGGAACTTGTCACTCCCAGGGAGCCTCCGCTCAGCCGGCAGTTGGTTCATTTCAATCCCCACGACAACCCTTCAAAGTGCAGGGCAGACAGCAGGTGGCTCTGCCCAGGCGCCTGGATCACAGCCCGGCCTGCAGCCCTCACCTGGGCGCGGGGAGACCCTGAGGACGCTCCTCCAGGCGGCGCTGGCCGGGGCCTGCGGACACGGACGGGCGGGCTGAGCTCCGGGACCCCTCCCCGCGCCCCGCACCCCGCACCCCGCACCCGGCGCTCACCCGTCCCAGCCCCGCCGCCCGCAGCCCCAGCTGCAACGCAGCCACCGCCGCCATCGCACCCGGCCCCGCGGGCGCTTCCGGGACGCAGGAAGCATCTGCATCCGGGGCGCCGCTGAGTCCCGCCCAGAGCCCCGCCCCCGGCTCCAGGTTCTGCGAGCGGCTTCCGCCGGGCTGCTCCGCGGGCGCGTCGGCCATGAGCGAGTTGCCGGGCGACGTGCGGGCGTTTCTGCGGGAGCACCCGAGCCTGCGGCTCCAGACGGACGCCCGCAAGGTTCGCAGCGCGGGAGGGGAACGGAGTGGCGGAGAAGGGCGCAGTTGGGATGAGGGGCTGAGGGGAGGGCAGGGGAGAGGAGAGGGCAGGGGAGAGGGGAGAGGGGAGAGCAGGAGAGAGGGGAGGGCAGGGGAGAGGGCGCGGCGGGATCAGGGGAGGAGAGGGAAGGGGGCGCGGCAGGAGGGGGCACCAGGGAGCGGAGCCCTGGCCCTCCTGACGTCCTGCCCGCCCACGCGTCCGCAGGTGAGGTGCATCCTGACAGGTCACGAGCTGCCCTGCCGCCTGCCGGAGCTCCAGGTCTACACCCGCGGCAAAAAGTACCAGCGGCTGGTCCGCGCCTCCCCGGCCTTCGACTATGCAGAGTTCGAGCCGCACATCGTGCCCAGCACCAAGAACCCGTAGGTGGTCCGCGGCGGCGCGGGGAGGCCCAGGGCAATTAGGACAGCCCCTCCGCTGGACTCCGCCAGTGCTGCAGCCCCTACTCTTTCAGAGTTGGGAGCCCTGGGACCCAGGTGGGCGCCCGGGTGCTGGAATCACCTGCGGTCCCAGCGGCGAGGCCTCTTGGTGAGCTCGTTTGCTCACCTGAGGTTTGTCCTGTGGGGTGTGGCTGCTTCCCAGATGAGTAGAGGCTTGTGATTTGTCACCTGAGGTTGTGAACAGCGTTGGGTTCTTCCCTTAACCCCAGAAGGGGTCTTTGATTTAGCTGGGAGCTAGGCTTTGTAATAATCGTCAAAACAGAGATAGGATGTTTCCATTCATTGAGCCCTTGCTCCAGGTGGAGCCATCCTCTTGCATGAACTCATCCTGGAGCAGTCAGTGAGGCTGCCATGCGTGCTTTTCCGGTAAACATTAAGAGGCTGCAGTCGGCCTGGGTCAGACGGTTCCCCACCCAGCTTCAGAGTGGAATTGCTCCGGGAGCCTTTAAAAGCCCGATGTCCAAGCCGCATGGTAGACTGTCCAGGGATGAGTCCAAGACACAGCCACCAGTCTGAATCCTTGCTGTGAACTGTCCCTACAAATTTGGTCTCTCTGCTCTGTAGGCACCAGTTGTTCTGCAAACTCACCCTGCGGCACATCAACAAGTGCCCAGAACACGTGCTGAGGCACACCCAGGGCCGGCGGTACCAGCGAGCTCTGTGTAAATGTAAGTCCCAGTGGACCCCCATCAGTGCATCGCCATCTGAGTGCATGCCCGCCTTGCCCCAGATGGAGCGTGCTTGAAGGCAGGTCGTCCTTCAGCGATCCGTGTTGATGCATCAGGCCTGTTTTTTGGCACAGTGAAGAGAGGGATGATGGCCCCTGACCCCACAGCTTTTAGTGCAGGCAGGCACAGAGCCAGAAGCAGGCTCGGGAGTGAGTGAGTGTGCGTGGCAATGCGAGGTGTGAAAGAAACTGGGCGAGGGATGTGGGGTGGGCTTGCGGAGACAGGAGGGCTGGGGAGACTCGCTGAGGGATTCGCTCGAGGCTGAGGCTGGAGGGATGTGGTGGCAGTGGGGTCGGGGGAACAGCACCCCAGGGAGAAGCCAGGGTCCATGGAAGTCTGAGGCAAAAATGTGTTGGCTGAGGTAGGCTCCAAAGGACTGGCTGGGCTAGTGTGCACAGCCCGGATGACCCAGAGACCAGGCCAGGAGCACTGCAGTGGGTGTGTGGAGAGGGTTGGGTGGGGGCTGCATGGACAGTGTGCATGGTTGAGAAGGGAGGACTCCTTGACTGCGGTCATCCAGGAAAAGACGGTGGGTTTTGGGGGGAGAATTCAGAGTCCCTTTGAAGGTTTTAAGCTTGAGCTGTATTAGGAAAGGTGTGTATTAGGGAAGTATCGGGCTTTTGAAACAGGGACACCCGTGCTGGATGAAGGAGATGGTTGCACCGTGGATCTGGGTGAGCACCCGGCGAGAGTTTAGAGAAGGGAGAGAGGCCTGGTCCTGAGCCCCAGGAAGAGGCTGGAAGTCCTCCCGTGGTACTGAAGGGAAGATGAGGACAGAAAAATGATAGATTTGATAACACAGAGGCCCCTGGCAACCTTGGTGAGGCACCTGAAGCTTGGCAGGGACACCTGGCTAGAGTGGAGCGTAGGCTGCAGCCCATGAGGGCAGTGTCCGGCCTTAGGCAGGTGCTGGGTCACCAGAAAGCCTTTCTGGAGTCCAGCTAAGGAGGGAAATGGACAGAGGCTGGAGCGGACAGATTCAGGTTGGTTTGCGGATGGGAAGATGCGTCTACGGGCTTCTGATGAGTGCGGAGAGGCAGTCCAGCCCTCCCGAAGCATGAGTGTGGATTGAGAAGGCAGGACCAGGGTTTCTCAAGTAGAAGGCGGGCACCTTGCAGAGGCCTTGCAGGCACAAGGGCTGCCAGCCTGAGGCTTGGACTTTTTCCAGCCAGTGTGTTAGCTGCTCAGGGGTGGGCAGGAAGGCTCTAAGTGCAGGGGGCCACGGGGTTCCCATGAAGAATGGTTATGATGGTGGACTGTGGAGCTGAGATGGGACTGGGGCGCCGAGGTCACTGCAAGGCAGTGGTCCAGGGAAGTCCAAACGTGGCTGTAAGGGGGCTCTGCCTTCACGTTCTGGTGGTGACAAGGCTGCTGCATGGCCATGGGGGTGGGTGGCAGAGACAAGGAGGGAAACAGCCCTGGAGATGGGCCGCCACATCAATGGCCAGGGCCCAGCAGGGCTCATGCAGCCCATGAGGGATGATGATGGTAGCTGCGCTGGGCTGGAGGGCAAGCCCCAGCAGACCCTCCAATATACAAGGGGACAACGGTGGTGACTCCAGTGAGGTCTTTCCATGGAAGCCTTGTCCCAACTCCCTTCTCACCCACTAAGGGGCAGCAAAGGCCAGGCAGCCAACCTCCACTGAGCCCCGCCCTCCGGGACGGGGTCTCCCATGTGCTGAGGGAGGACTTCAGGCTGCTGGGGAGAGGGTGGCATCACTGCCAGCCCGAGTTGCCTTTGAGAGGCCATGCCAAGCTCACTGGGGCACAGTTGGCCTTGGGCCTGGTCAGTGCCCTCCTAGCCGTGGCTTCCTAGGCCTGGCTAGATCGGGGATGAGTGGTAAAGGCCCCGTAGACCTCTACCATCTTCTTGCCTCCTGGCTGCAGCCCTGGCCCACCACCCTCCCTGCACACCTGGTAGGAACAGAGCTGAGGCACCCAGCAGCTGCTCTGGTTTTTGTCCAGGGCGGTGGGGCTGTGGGGCCCTGGCCGAGTGCAGTCCTCATAAGTTAGCTGTGGCCCAGAGGACCGTGGGGGGTGTGGAGGTACCCAGCACGTGCTGGCTTATCTCCCAGATGAAGAATGTCAGAAGCAAGGGGTGGAGTACGTGCCTGCCTGCCTGGTGCACCGGAGGAGGAGGAGGGAGGACCAGATGGACGGTGACGGGCCTCGCCCGCGGGAAGCCTTCTGGGAGCCCACATCCAGTGATGAGGGGGGAGCTGCAAGTGATGACAGCATGACAGACCTGTACCCACGTAAGCAGAACAGGCCCTGCTTCTCCCTGACCCTCTACTGTCAGCAGGGAGCAGACTGTGGTGCTGCCTCCCCTGCAAAGGTGGCAGCGAACTCAGCCTAAAATAACTGTCAGCCAATCCCTGTGTTCCTCCCAGCTGAGCTATTCACCAGAAAGGACCTTGGAAGCACGGAGGATGGGGATGGCACTGATGACTTTTTGACAGACAAAGAGGATGAGAAGGCAAAGCCCCCAAGAGAGAAGGCCACTGATGAGGGCAGGAGAGAGACGACCGTGTACCGAGGGCTGGTCCAGAAGCGCGGGAAGGTGAGCTGTCACCTCCTCTGTTAGTGTGGCAGTGGCTTCCCCTAGTGATGGTTTTCCATTTGTTTAAAAAAAGAAAACTGAACCTTTTTCACAAGTGAAATCCCAAGCCAACAACACACAAGAACCATAGAAGCCGAGGCCGCTGGCTGGCGGAAGGCCGTGAGTGCCTACCATTGCTTCCCAGCCAGCCCCTTGTGGAAGCCAGGCTCTGTGGACCACGGTCAAGACCACTGGTTTGTGAGGACACCCTCCTACCTCAGACTATGAGCTGTGGCGTGTTTGTCCTTACCCCTGGGCACAGGGACCTGATTACTAGCCACCACCTTTGCCTTTGCCATCAGGGCAGGAGTGGAGACTTCCCCGCCTTTGGTAGATAAGCAGGACCAAGGCCAAAAGAGGACAAGGTCCTAATGAGTGTGTGGCATTGCACTGTACTCCTCTGAGGCCCTGCTGAGCGGGGTCTAATCCTGCAGCTGTTAAGGAAACGGGGGTGGAGAAAGCCTCTGTGGGTATTTGACCGACACCTCTGAGGCTGTGTGGGTGGGGAGAGCCCTGCACTCCAGGGCCCCTTCTCCATGGGATCAGAAAGGCTCAGTAATCAGAATTTTGTTTATCCCACAGAAGCAGTTGGGCTCGTTGAAAAAGAAGTTCAAGAGTCATCACCGCAAACCCAAGAGCTTCAGCTCCTGTAAACAGCCAGGTTAATAAAAGCACATGCCGTGAAGTTTCGAGAAAGCCTTCAGATATTTCCCCCGCTCCTGATCAAACCGTGTGTCCTCTGAATGATCGGCTGTCCCCAGTGTCTTCTCTACCCACTTATCCTTGTCTCATGACATCTGCTGCCCTCTAAGGCAGGGCTGAGGGAGTCTGTCCCCCACACCCAGGAAGCAGCAGGGACTCTGAGGGACTAATTCTCTCTGGACATGGCTTCTGAGTGGTCTTCAGAGAAGCCTAGAGAAGTAACCTCGCTCACTGGCATCCTGAGGGGAGCCCCATTCAGGCTGGGCAACGCTATAGGATCACACTGCATACAACAAACGCCATTATTTATTTTGATGTGTTTCCAAAAATCAAAACGTTTTCAAACACAACTAAGATATAAAATACAGCATAAAATGAGATTTAGATCTGTTTCCCACATAAAGCAAAAAAATCTTAGAAATTGTTTTGCCAGAATCAATTGGTAGATCCCACTTATCCTCCCCTCCCTGCAAAGGCATCTTCCCGAATCAGGCCCTAGCCCACCCAGGGCCAGGAGAAACAGGAACACCCACTAGGACGGAGGCGCTGCTGGTGCAGAACTGGTGCTGACTGCTCACGTGGCCTCCTTTGGTCCACCCTACTTTCCACCAATCAGCCAACCAACCTTGACCACAGAGAAACCGTGACTTGGCCAAGGTCATTTGATGGGGGCTGTCATACGGCACTAACAGGGAGCGAGGTGTGGACCAAGAGACAGCCCTGGTGAGGTTGAAACACTGAGACAAGCCAGTCTTCATGCAGTGAGCACTTGAATGATCACAGGAGAAGAGAACCCATGTCCTGAAGCCATTGCTCGATCTTACCAATATTCGGGGGTAAGGAAGTAGGCTACCAGGGGAATATTTGCAAACGCGTTGGGACTAGTTCGGCTGTGTTAAAAAGGTAGGTGACTTCCAAAAGCACTTATGAGCAGAAACCTGCCTCACCCCTGCCCTGCAGAGCCAATGGATGAGAGGCCAAGAGGGAGGCAGGCTCGGGGCTGGGCCGCAGCAGCCCTGGAGACAGGCTGAGCCAGCCTGTCCCCAGATAGGTCTAGGGGCCAGAGAGGTGTTCGACTACCCTTGTGGCATTTACTATGGTGCAGACGACAGGGAGCAACAAGCAGTTAAGCTCCCCCAAAAAGAGAAACACAGTATAAGGCAGTGTTAGAAAACTTTAAATACAGGATTAAGATCAAATCGGTAAGGCATCACAAATTGTAAAAAGGAATTTTGGCTGCATTCGGCATAGCAAACGGACAATCTGAGTGAGCGACAGCCTCAGGAAAGTGGTGTGTCGGGGCTGTCCACAGGGCGAGTGCAGCTGGGAAAGGGCGGTGCTGCTCAGCCAGGGCGGCCTGCGCTTTCGAGACCTTGCTCAGAAAAGGCCCCATGTGAGGTAACTGGGTTGAGTCCGTGGGTCTCCAGTGCTGGGAGCTCCTGCCACACCCCCTGCCCACAGCGGCTGCGGCTCTGCAAGCTGGTCTGAGCAGCTGGCCAGGCTGGCTTGCAGGGTGCTGCTGCTGGGGCTACCCCTGTGTGGTCTCACTAGCCCTTCCCACTGCCAGCTTGGAGGCCAGCAGCACCCAGACCAGCAGCTTCCCCAAGGACTTCTTGCCCCTCCACCTTGCCTCAAGCTACTAAAACTCCCAGGGTGTTACCCAATAAAACACTTGGCACCAATCCAAGCTGATTTTCTGACCGATGACTTTTATCATAAACAGCAGCTTCTACCACCCCTTTAATACTGCATCATTCTTTGGGTGTCCCTAAATGTTTTCACTATTCCTATAAAATACAATGCGGGGCAGAAACAACATCAAAGCCACTGGTGTGATTTTAAACCAGGGAGATTAACTGTTTTGAGGTTTGGCTGAACCACCCAAAATAATTTAGTAGTTTCCGCTAAAAATGTAAACTTACAAATAAGAGGGAGACTGCTTTGAATGATAATACCAATGCGTCTGCTCACAGTACAGCTTGAAGGCCCCCTCCTGTACCCCCACAAAAAAACTCAAAAATAGGACTGAGATGCCACAGCCAAGCGGGCTGTTCACTCCAAAGCCTCGGCGTGGGGGAGGCTTCCAGCTGCCAGGCTGGCCTGCACTGAAGGGTCAGACGCCAGACTGTGGCTCCAGAGCAGACTGAGCCATCGATTCTCAGGTGTCTCTGCAAATAAAGTTCTCAAAACATCTGTGCCTTTACCAAGGGAGGGGAAGGGAAGAGGATACATAAAAGCTGGCAGTTTTGTTGAATCCACCCCGAACCAGTCCTTGACGGCCACGGGTCTTAGCCAGGCAGGTAGGGATCTGTGACTGTTACCACTCCTTCTTCTTCTCATCCATGGAGACACCCCCAGGGCCCAGGGCCACCACCAGGAGCAAGCCCCCAATCACCGACATGGTCTGGAAGAAGTCGTATTTCAGGAAGTCATGCATGGGCTTGTAGACTGGAATGGTCCAGAAGGCGTTGAAATATACGTTGATGGCAAAGAGCCACACAACAAGAGTCAAAGCAGCCAGCTTGGTTTTAAAACCAATGGCCACTAAAATCATCAGAGCTGTGCCCACGATGTTCTGGACAATCTGCATAGGTTGAAACGTAAGAAATTCAAAATAAATGTGAGGAAAAGAGATGCTTTATAAACAAAAGTTCCAGCTGCTGCACGTCATGAAGTCTCTATCCATCAGGCTGATGTAGCTACTGCTGAGACGGCTGCTGGTGCAAGTAGGGAGATAAAAGCCAAAGGGAGGCAGGAGGCAATAAAGCACCAGCTTTGAAATGTGGAAGGTTTGGGGAAGACTGAAGTTCCCAACTAGTAACAGGCTGTGATTTACCAAGATGAATCTCTAATCCATAACTAAATTCCCAAGTGCTTCTTGGCCCACCCAGCCATCCAGGCCAGAAACATCCTCTCTCCTCTCTCCATGGCGCCAGGAGCTCTTCCTGGACACTACCCGGCCAGGGCTCTCAGTCAGCTCCGGAGGTGTGCTCTGGAAGCTCCTGGAGGCCTGCCCCTGACACCTGACACACAGGAATTACTTGAGAAAGATACGAACAGTGAGGAAAGAAAGAAGAGTAAGGGGAGCCCGGGTGGAGAGCCTTGGCCAACCAAGGGCCAAGCACACTCCACCAAGGTCAGAGGTTCTGGCCTTCATTTGCTGGAAAGAAGGCTTGACACACAAGAGATTGACGATGTTTTGGTCTGTTTTAATGGGATCAAAAAGTTTGCTCCGCCGAGCACGGTGGCTCACGCCTGTAATCCCAGCAATTTGGGAGGCTGAGACAGGCAGATCACGAGGGGTCAGGAGATCGAGACCATCCTGGCTAACACGGTGAAACCCTGTCTCTACTAAAAATACAAAAAATTAGCCAGGCGTGTTGGCAGGCGCCTGTAGTCCCAGCTGCTCGGGAGGCTGAGGCAGGAGAATGGCGTGAACCCGGGAGGCGGAACTTGCGGTGAGCCGAGATCACGCACTGCACTCCAGCCTGGGGGACAGAGCGAGACTCCGTCTCAAAAAAAAAAAAAAAAAAGTTTGCTCCATTTCAGCAGCTCCCCCAGGCTGTGGTTAATACCCAACCAGGGAGGGGTGAGCAGGGAGGGGGTGGGGGAGGGACAGCATTCACAGGAAACCAGACCGGTTCAGGCAAGTAGGAATACTTACAGAAAAGAAGCTGGCGTCAAAGTGAAGGAGGGTCATGAACATCAGAACCAGCAAGACCCTGCCTCCGAGCTGCATGTACTGTTTGGGGGAGCTCTCACGCATGGTGGGGACGCCCGCAAACATGCTCTTCCCTTCAGAACGGGATTCTGCTAGGAGCAGCAACAGGCCTCCTCCCAGGGCCAGGTTCCTGAGGAACAGATATGTGGGCTGGAAGCTAAGCCTCACCAGGATCTGGCCTGTCTGTGAGACCAGGTGCAGGGAGACCTTGCTGCCAGTATAAGAAGGCCCTTACTTCCCTTTCTCCAAACCCAGTGATCTGCCAAGCAGGACCAGGCAGGCATGCGCACAGGACCTCAGACTCGAGTTACACCCATGTAAAACCTTACATAGCTCAGGAGACAGAGGTATCTTTACAACTCGACAGTGACAGGCTACCTGAACACACACACAACCGAGTCCTAGTCACAGCTTCAGTGTTGACCAGCTGGGTCCCCGTGGTCAGGTCTGTCCTCCACTCAGACCCGGAGTCCCCACACCCGTGAAATAAGGGTCAGAAGAGACGGCTTCAGTCTCTACTATTCTAGGGGCTCTGCAACATCCTCTTCAGAACCTGTTTCTAAGAGGCACAATTTAGACAGGGGGGTCCAATCTTTTGGCTTCCCTGGGCTACCCTGGAAGAACTGTCTTGGCCACACATAAAATACACTAATGCTAATGATAGGTGATGAGCTAAAAAATAAAACTTAAAAATCACAAAAAAAACTCTCAATGTTTTAAGAAAGTTTTTGAGTTTGTGTTGGGCCATGTTCACCCCGTGGACCACAGGCTGGACAAGCTTGGTTTAGACCCAGAGAAGTCTACTCAAACCAATAGTTAACTGAGTTTAGAAATACAGATTGAGTATCCCTAACCTGAAATGCTTAGGACCCAAAGTGTTTCAGATTTTGGTATATTTGCATTATATACTTATTGGCTGAGCATCCCAAATCTGAAAATCCAAAACCTGAAATGCTCCAATGAGCACTTCCTTTGAGCGTCATGTTGGTGCCCAAGATTTTTCCCATTTTGGAGCATTTCAGACTTTGGATTTGCAATGCTCAACCTGTAGAAGGAGCGTATACTAAAACCAACCAGAATGCACATACCTCATCAAAAACTTCAAGTCCCATAAAATGCTGTAGGCAATCGTCTGAGGGGAAAGAAGAGAGAGATACTTGAGTCTCAGCCTTTCCAAAGGCATTTCCACAGACTTCATAATACATTAGGCCGTCTCTCCAATGTCAGCTGGAGTCTAAAACACACAAAACCATTGTAGGAGACCGAGGACAGATCTAAGCTCAAAAATGTGGTTCTGTATTTCTCAAGAAATGTGCTATGATGTTCCAGAGAACAAAGTGATTCTGAGACCACTGATGTGGATTCAGATATTCTGTTCCCAGCATTTCATTCTGAATAACCAAGTATTCTTCTTTATGAAGCAACGTGATAACAAGACAGCATCCTGGCTGCAGCCAAGCTCGAGACTTCCCTTGTCACGGTAATCATAGAAATGGGACAAAAGATGGCCCAGTACCGAATGACCTGCCTCTACAGCCCTGCTTGGGCTCACGACTTCCCCAGAAGAGAAAGGAGCTCCAGGCAGTCAGAGACATGCAGGGGGCTGAAGGGGGAGTGACACTGAACCCTCAAGGATGTCTTTTCAGAAGCTCTGCTCCACCAGAGCAAAGAGAAGGGAGCCCCGACCACGCGGCCCGTGTACCTGCAGAGCTATGATTCCAAAGAGCCCGAAGCAGGCGTACTGCACGAAGTTCCTGCTCAACACCAGGACGCAGCCAGCTGGAGAGAAGGACAAGGGTTAGGGGGCCTGAGGGTGGGTGCCGGCGGGGAGCACTGTCTTGATACACTGCTACCTCACCTGGCCCTTAGGTCCAGAGGCAGCCAAACCACCTACCCAAGCAAAAGACAACTTCTGGAAGAATTAATGATAGGCAAGGACCACACATGGTAAGCTGACTAGACTTATCACAAACACCAGAAAGTGGAGCCCTTGCCGTCATAAAGAATGGGCTGTTTCCCACAATCAGCTCCCAAGTCAGCCACCCACCTGAGGTAGGCAATTAACTGCTCTACTGTGGACTGCCAGCCAGACTCCAGCATCTCCTGCTTTGGGTCCCTGACAGGGACCATGTCCTATTTCCTTAGCAAGCTCTAAAGCAGTGAGCTCAGGGCTAGAGACTAAGCGTCCCCACCAAGGCTTGCAGAACCGGACTCCTGGCCTGGCACAGCTGAGCTGGAGAAGAGGGGAATGGAGGGGGGACAGCAGTCCAGGAGACCCCCGAGTTCACACACAGCCTCCCAACTGCTAACGATCATGGAACAAGACGCCCAGTGAATCCTGACCACCCGCAGAGCCACTCACTCAGCTGTCCCAGCAAGTTGAGGAAGACGAAGGACGAGGCCAGCAGGTAGCCGCAGTTCCAGGTGGTGTCGATGTAGTCGCGCTGCTCGCTCCACTGGAACCACATACGGATGCCGTCCTCCAGGAAGGTGCTGATCAGACAGAGGCGCGCCACGTGGGGCAGGTACTGCTTTGTGACACGGAGGAACTGCAGGGCCACAGAAACCCAAGGGTGAGGTGGCTGCGGCGGGGAGCACCAGGCCGCTGCCAGGCACGTCCTTGGGCGGGGTGTGTGAGGAACAGACGCTGTGGAAGGCAAGAGCTCTTGTCAGCCCCGGTGCCTTCCCAGGGCAGACTAGGGGGCTCTCAGTGCTTGCTCCTGAGCGCTACCCTGTGAGTCTGGACACATGCAACAATCCAAGGATCAGTCCCGGAGATGCATGACTTGACGTTAGGCCCTCTGGGGCAGATCCTATAGGGCAGCAGCCCTAACACTCTGCTACCGTGATTTCCCCCAGTGCCTCGGCAGGCAACTACAGTCTTCCAAGGTGGCACTGCCACAAGACACAGAGCTGCTCTTTTCGGTCAAAGGCATTTACAAGTTGGAATCACAGAATGACATCTGAAAAGGCACTTAGAGGTCATCTATCCAACGTTTCTGCACCTCAGCACTACTGGCATCTGAGGCCAGGCCACTCTTTGCCGTGGGTCATCCTGGGTGCTGCAGGCTATGACGCACGACATGTCTGCCCACGACATGCCAGCAGCAGCCTCCCTCCTGAGGCACCGCTGCACTTTGCCAGGCATCTCCGCTGCTCTGGTCCAACCCCTCACCTTACAAATGGCTATATTAAACCCAGCGGGAAGGGGTTCCCCTAGGCTTCGCAGACCTGATGGTGCAATGCCAAGACTTGACCCCAGCCTGCAGGTCACACATGGCTGAGGTGCCAAGGGCCTGGACCTCCCAGCCTGCCCAGTGACGCCCAGAGTACCCTGACAGAACAAGGGTTGGCTTAGGTGACAGCCAGGGTGCCACACCTAGAGGGCCACATGGTTGACTGAATAGTAAGATCACGTTTACAGTTATCCGAAAATCTCCAGAGCAGCAGGAGGAGGCCCCAGGCTCTGGACAGCGCATGTGTGCTGTTGCAAACCAGGGCTGGCGCTTCCCAGCCCGACGGAGCTCTCCCCTGCAAGCTCAGGATCTGACGTGGGGACTGTGTGTGCAGCAACCGTCAGCGCAGCATGAAGCTGGTACCGCTAATGGCTAGAAAGCGCTGGGATTTTGTCAAAGCCTGCATAATCTCGAGCAAATTAAAACACACTAACAAATGGGATGGACAGCTGTTTCAACAGCAATGAAACGCAAGTGTGTGAAATCACTGTCAAATGTCAAAGGGAAAGAAAACATTTATGACTTCCTGCTGTGCTGTGAGTCAGGTCATTTATGACGGCTGGGTTAGGTAGCCAACATGCACTATCGGATGCCAGGTACAAATGTCACGCAGGTTCACCCCATGCACTTTTCTCTTATCACCCATGCAAAACTGAGATATAAAGTGAAAGAAATACTGTAACACAGCAAGTCCTTCGGAGAAAGATCAGGGGACCCATCCACCAACGCATGTTGGGAAGCCAGAGTCTAAAGAGCACCCGAGAGGCTGACCCCCACGGGAGGCGAGCGAACGTCAGCTGCACAGGCCTCCTAGGGCTGACTAAACCTACTGTTGGAACAAAGGAAGATATGCGTGTTTCTTATTTTTCAGCATTTTTAAAAGTTGCTTCAAAGTCCTAGACACTGCTGAAGCTGCCCATCTCAGTTACCACGCCCCTGGGTGTTCAGGTCACCCTCCAGCCTGTCAGGTGGGGCCCTGACTAGGTCAGCACTGCAGATTGGCTCCCATGTGGCAGAGAACGGAGGCAGAGATTACAAAGCCAGGTGGCCATTCTCCCCAAACCCACTGCGCCCTGCAGTGTCAGTTCTGCACACATTTACTCAGCCTTTGACTCCACGGAAGTGATGGGAGAAATCACAGTGACCGACAGATACCCAGAGAATCACCAAGTGGGTTTGGGAGATGAAGTGCAGGTGGAGGTTCTGAGGCCCTGTGATCTCATCCTGCCCTGGTACCATCCAGCCAGCACACCGTGTGACCTGGACACGCCCAGTTACTTTTTTGAGAGTGTCTCTACTATCCTGCAGTAGAGTGAGGCCACCTGAACTAATGGTTGGTAAGATGCTTTCCAACTTTACTAGGAGGAAGACCTTGTTTCACTTTTTATTTTTAAAAAGGCCCCAAATACTCCCCTGTGAATTTTAGGGCCAATGCAGAGAACCAGCACAAGATGCCCATGTGCACAGTGTGACGCAACCTGCATCACACTGGGTGGTGGGAAAGGTGACGCCACACACCCTCCCCAGGTTCTGCCTCATGGCCCCGTTGCTCTCTAAATGCCCAGCAACAGTGTAATCACCCATATTCCATGGAAGAGAGAAAGCACACCACCGTGGCACACGATGTGCCACTGCTCTCAAGGAATGGCCTCACATCGTGGCCCAGCTGGGAAGCCCCAGCAAGGACACAAGCCTTTATCTCATCTGAACCTGGGGAAAAGCAACCACTGGGAAGGAAGAGCTCAACAGGAGGCTGTCCAGACCTCTGAGATGAGACGGAGCCGTGGTGGGACTCCCAGGGCAGGGTGTGGGTGTGGGGCGTGGACCCCAACAGCAGCAGAGAGGTAGACTGCAATCCATACCCAAGACAGACACCAGAGGTGTTCTGACTTGCTTCTAAAATGAGAGCTGTGAGCCACTCACTGGCCTGAGATGAGCAAACCAGCCCAGCCATGGGCTGCGGTCTAAGCCTCCCCCAGTTGCAGGACCTGCATTTAACATGCTCATCTACGTGCACAGCCCACGAGATTGAGGCAGTGTTTAAAAGTCTCTTTGAATGAGTCTGCGACTCTTAATTTGAGTGTCTGGGTCAAGAGGATTAAAGAGCAAAAAAGAGAGAGAAGGTGGGACAGGCAATTCACACCTCCTTCCCTGCGCAAACATGGTGACGAAACAGACACAGCTCTTGGCTTTGGGGAAAAATATGCAAAAATCTAGGTACTGCCTTCTGAACTGAGCACACCTACTGCTTGGCTGTCCTGGTTTTCAAAGGCAAGCCTGGTCCACACTGAAGGCTGAAGTCAGGCTGATGCAGTCTCCTCTAAACTGGCCACCATTTAATGAGCATCTGTTTGGACTGAACACTGAAAAAGCCACGTTTAAAGACAAGGCCCAACATTAACCTTATTTCCTACATGCATGTTGGTCACAACTACTTCAACTTGGCCACTGGAACCATGTCATGCCACTCTAGAACACGTCCCAGAGCCAGTGTCCCCTCAGCACAGCAGAGAAGAGCCCTCAACACAGGCAGGACACACAGCACCCCAGGACAGACAAGAGCAGCCGCACTGCAGGCACTAAGGCCATTGCTGGTAGCCAGCACACAGGTGACCTGTGTAAACACGGCGAGCACATAAAACTTGTGACAGTCCCCCTCCCCCCCATTAGAGAACTGCGACAGCAGAGCCAGAGGTGGCTGTTGACCTGGCAGGCTGCAGGAAGAAGATGACAGTTAGCTCACCTCTGTGGCCAAGCTTCTCATTAAGTCTCTCCGAGAACCGCGCCATCAAGCAGGATATGGTTCATAAGCAGTGACAGCATCTGAGGGGCTTAACAGGAAGACTGATATTTCTCTCAAAGGGGTGGTTATTTTAGACGACTGAAGGGGATTTTAGAAACGTAATTAATTATATCCACCCTGAGATGACTTCCTGGGCATCCAGTGATCACTGTCACAGCCACCTGCAGCTCCCACGCCACACAGAAAACTCCACTTTCTCTTCACACTCAGGACAGAAAGAAATTGAGGAAAGCAGCTTGCAAATTCGTGGTGAATGTGAACATCGACGAAAAAGGCAGGTCAGATTTCCTTGATCACCAAGGACTGGGGCTGCCTTGTTCAAAGCCCAACTCAGGTCCCACACATCCTAGAAACAAGCACCTGCGGCCCAGCGGCTTCCCTCACATCAGCCTGTCAGAGCTGGCTCGAGCTCACTGGCTCACTGCAGCTCCAGAACTTCCCCGAGCCCCGCTCCCATGCTGCTCTATAGGTTCACACTGCACCCTGCAGGGCCAGAAAGGATGTCGCCAGCCCAATGTGGGAGATGATGGCCTGGCTTTACTAAAAAACTGTGTGATCAAAATCCCAACTATAGGAAAGACGTAACTGAGAACGACTGGGCCCCATGTTCTGGGAGGAGCCCCGCTAACCACAACCTCCTCTGCTCCTCGCCCGCACTCCCCTGAAGAGTGAGTTTTAACCTCCCGTTAAGATCATCACACAAAGAAAAGTGAGTCAGCTCCTCTTTGCCTTCTCTCCCCACTCCTTCATGATATAGGGCAGGGTATGACAGAGCCTGCCACTGTCACCAGGACTTTGCCACACCAGTCACCAGCATGGTGTTCATCGGGACCCTCACAGTGCCTGTGCCACCTGCAAGTTCAGGGGTCCTCAGGCCTATCCTTGCTTCCCCAGCACTTCAACTAGGGCCGAGGCCAGCTCCTAGGGCCCAGGACTAGCTCTGCCACTCTTGAGGACAGGTTAAAAACACCAAAGGTCACACTGGAGAGGAAGGCCCCATGCAGCTTTTCTGTCACCTTGGTGATGAGCCACCAGGCAGAACCCATTAAGTGCTAATATTGCTGTTTATGGGTATAAACTGCTTAGAAGCTACATTTTACAGAGTGTCTAATAGGCAATGAGGAGCAGCTGCAGGCATGGACATTAGTTTGGATTGCTGAGTTCATTAGTTTCTGGACCCTTCCCATGGCTTCCAAATGCCAAGCTCCTGCATAGAGCACGTCTCAGCAGTTTCTACAGAGCATGGCTCCTGGGAGCAAGAGGACACTGTCCCTGGCTGCCAGAGCAAGCAGCTTGATGCCAGAGGCAGAGAGACAAGAGATGCAACTGTGGGGAGCCTGCCAGCAGAAACTAACCAGACTGCTCGTCCCCGTGGACCAGCCTCTGCAGGCCAGAAGGAAAGATCAGTCAACCAAGCAGTGAGGAACCCAGCCTTTGGGGTAACAGGATGCGGACTCAGTCTCCAGGCCACCACAAGCCAGTGCGGCCAGCCAACCTCCCTCTGCCCATCTGAAGATGGTGACGCTCTGGCCAACCTCCTACAGTCAAGAAGTTCACAAAAGGAATGTCTATCATGGACCCGGCCCAGTGAAAGACTTAATGTCATTGTCATAATACTGGAAGACACTGGGCCTGGGAAACTAAGCTTACTTAGGTCTTGCTTTCAGCAGCCCACACTTTCTGGTCAAATCTTGTCACTTCAGTTTTGCTCTTGTTTTCTGAAGATGTGAAAAAATGGATGTGTCACTTTATCTGATCAGTGACTTCCATGGTAATCCTCTATCGGCTTCAAATTAGGTCATTTTCATGTAAAAGCCTGGTCTGGCAGCTTTAAGTACTATGTGAATAAAGAGAAACAAAGCCCCACCTGGGCTTGGTCAGATTCTGTCCACAAGAAGCCATATTTTGACTTCGAACCCTGTTTACTTGCCTGCATCTGTCTGATTGGGGTTTGGGCGAGTACAAGTAGCTGCCCTCCCAAGCTGCCCACAAAAGGGCATGGAAGCTCCCACAGCCATGCTCTGCCACCACCTAGACGGACTCTTAAGGAGATCATCTGACGGCGGCAGCCTGCGCTGCCTTACAGATATGGTGCCTTACAGATATGGTCCTAACCCACTTGGGTTTTGTATGTGAGCAGCCCCTTCACCCGCTAGTGCTCTTCCCTTGACTTGTGCCAGAAGAGCAACACCAGGGGCTGGGGGCGCTGGGGACCAAGACCCGGCTTTTCTTGGTCTTGGTCACAGGCAAGTCTAGGAGCCTGAGCAGGTTTGGCCTCCCCTCAGTAACCTGGGAGAGGTCGACTCTGTGCCCCCTCAAGAGCCTTTCCAGTTCCAAGCTACTGCTTCTTTCATTTAAAACATAACAGAATACATGATGAAGGCTGGGCGCGGTGGCTCAGGCATGTAATCCCAGAACTTTAGGAGGCCAAGGCGGATCACCTAAGGTCAGGTGTTTGAGACCAGCCTGGACAACATGACAACATGGCAAAATGCTGTCTCTACTAAAAACACAAAAATTAGCGGGGCGTGGTGGCGTGGGCCTGTCATCTCAGCTACTGAGGAGGCTGAGGCAGGAGAATAGCTTGAACCCGGGAGGCGGAGGTTGCAGTGAGATGAGATTGCGCCACTGCACTCCAGCCTGGGTGACAAAGTAAGACTCTGTCTCCAAAAAAAACATAATAACAAAACATGAAGAAAAGGCAGGGCAGGGTGGCTCACGCCTGTAATCCCAGCACTTTGGGAGGCTAAGGCAGGCGGACCACCTGAGGTCGGGAGTTCGAAACCAGCCTGGCCAACATGGGGAAACCCCGTCTCAACTAAAAATACAAAAAAATTAGCTGGGCGTGGTGGCAGGCGCCTGTAATCCCAGCTACTTCGGGCTGAGGCAGGAGAATTGCTTGAATCCGGGAGGCGGGGGTTGCAGTGAGCCGAGATCGCACCATTACACTCCAGCCTGAGCGAAATTCTGTCTCAAAAAAAAAAAAAAAAAAAAAAAAAAGAAGAAGAAAACAGTATGTGAAGACACTGGGAACTTTTTTTTGTCAATAGGGGAGTCTGTCATTTGCTAGTGGGCAGCAGCTTGACTGGAGACATTTGATCTAGATTTGGTTATGAAATTCACTTGCAAATCCAGGTTTTCCAGGACAAAGAGCGAGTGTATGTAGCTCTCATCCTTCCCTCAGCTATGAGGAGCCATCTTCTTAGGGAGCTGCGACTTGGAGAAATATAAATGGGTCACTATAAATTATGTCAATGAAAACTGACAAACCTAAAAGGTCTACCTGGTTCTTGAGAGCTTTTGATATGAATTGTTTTTAAAATTGTGTCTTTAAAGGCTGGGTGCCGTGGCTCACGCCTGTAATCCCAGCACTTTGGGAGGCTGAGGTGGGCAGACCACCTGAGGTCGGGAGTTCGAGACCAGCCTGACCAACATGGAGAAACCCTGTTTCTACTAAAAAAAAAAAAAATACAAAATTGGCTGGGTGTGACGGTGCATGCCTGTAATCCCAGCTACTCGGGAGGCTGAGGCAGGAGAATCGCTTGAACCCAGGAGTTGGAGGTTGTGGTGTGCTGAGATCACACCATTGCACTCCAGCCTGGGCAACAAGGTCAAAACACCATCTCAAAGAAAAAATAAATAAATAAAAATAAATAAACAAATAAAATTGTGTCTTTAAGCACAAAATCAGAATCTTAGGGAAAAAATGCTTCGTCAAGTTGATTACTTTTTCCCTCCAAATTTAAAATATTGGCTCACAGAAAGTGTTGCAATGAGAACCGATGGTGAGGTCACACTAGAAAGAGATCACCCCCCAGGAGGAACGGAAGAGTTCAATAGCTGATCAGAAAACGGTCACTTACTCTTTTCTTTTTTTTTTAAACCACACATATACAAGCCTTCCGATAAGTCTAGGCCTCAGAGTTTGATGACTCACTACCACCTCCAGAAAAATTTAAAAATTTAACCATCACTACTTAAAACTCTAGCAAAGCCACACGAACACATTAAGTAAACCGAGGAAAAAACGGCAAGTGGGCCACACAAGGCTCTCCCTGCGGGGATAAGGCTGTTAATTTGTCGACATAACGGGATTCTTTTAGAAGTAAAAGGCATAAATCTGCGTAACCACCACCACCTTTTGTTTTTGTTTTTTTGTTCTGTCAAGCTTAATCAAGAAAGAGGGAAGGGAGTTGTGTCCCTTCACTTTGTAGGATCGGATCCTGTCCACCCAGTTCCCGAATGCTCTCAACAGTTACCCAACCGCCTGTTTCAAAGGCTTCCCTGTTGCTCAGAATGCCACCTGGACACTTCTGGAAGGAGACTATCAGGGAGATAGGCTTCCCCTCCTCCCAGGCTGTGTACAGGTCCCCACTCAATCCAGCCCAGGGCAGAGTCCAAACGGGGAGGGAGACGCAGACAGGGTCAAAGGGACCCCAAGAGTCCAGCACATCTGGGAAAGAGAAAAGGAAAAGGTGCTGTGGCTTCCTGTAGCTGGGGCGCACGCCAGCGCGCCCCCTTTCCTCTGGGAGGACCCCCGGCCCCCGTTCGTCCCCGAGCTCCCAGCCCGCCTCCGGGAGCCCCAGTGAGAGGAAAAACGTGCGGGGACCCCCCAGCAGCTCCAAACGCCGAGGCGCTCCCCGCGAGCCTCAGACCCGACCCAACGCCAGGACTCGCGCCGCCGGCCCGGGAAGAAACCCCCACAGCCCGCGCCCCGGGCTGGCTGGAGGGTGGGGGCGGCTAGCCAGGCAGGGCGCCGAGGCCCGGGCTCCGGGAGCGGCCCAGCGGGCAGGGGAGACTGGGCCCGGAGGCCGGGTTTGGGGCTGTCCAGCCGGGACAGAGGGCCCGGGCGGGGGGGTCCCCCTGTGGGAACAAGGAGTCAGGGGGCGGCCCGGGCCTGGCGCCCTGCGCTGGGAGGCCGACTCCGGAGCGGCCCGGGCGGCCTGGGTCGGGACCGGGGCCGGGGGAGGAGCCCGCAGGCCGCACCTGGTCGGCGAAGTCCTCGGCCGTGCCCATCAGGTCGTTCTGGCCCATGGCGACGGCGGGAGGCTCGGCTCGGCTCGCTCGCTCGCTCGCTGGCTCTCGCCCGTCGGCGCCCGCACCCGCTGCGGCCTCCACAGGAAGTGCCCGGCGGCCGGCCTCGCTCCGCGTCGGCTGCGGCTCCAGCGGCTGCCACGTAGGCCAAGCCTTAAAGGGGCCGCGCGCCGCCCGGGCCCGCCCCGGTGCGTCTTAAAGGGGCCACGCGCCATCCCCAGCCTCCCGACCCATCCGCTCGAAGCCACGCCCGCCGCGCTCGACGCCACGCCTCTCACGCTGGAGGCCCCGCCCGCCGCGCGCAGGCCCTGCGGTCCCTCCCGGCCCGGCGGAACGCGTCCCTTTTAAGGGGGCGGGGACCTGGGGGTCTGGGGCCAGCGCGCGGGAGGGACGCCTGAGTGCCTCGAGGGCGCCGTTCGGGCGGGGAGGATCCCGCGGGTCCCACTGACCCACGCGGGGTGGGGCCAGGGGTGGACGCTCGCCCGTACGCGGTCGCTACTGATCATGCTTGGGCCAGGGTCCAATCGCAGGCGCCCCACGCAGGGGGAGCGAGGCCCAGGGTCCCCCGGAGAGCCCATGGAGAAGTACCAGGTGCCGAGTGTTCCCTGCGGGGAGGCGGGAGCTCCGTGGGGTAACGGTCGCAACCCTGGAGCTACGGCCGGCGGTTCCGACCGAGGGCGGCGAGGGGCCCGCGCCCTGGCCAGTGTCGGCCTGCAGCTCCTAGGTTGAACCCGGGGGGCCTCCAACGGTGACCTCCTGGGTGCCCTTTGCCACTCAGTTTCCCCCTTTGTGAATTGACTAAGGATTCTCCAGCCCTGGCTGAGTATTTGAGGGCGTGGGGCAGCTCCTCTATCCTTCGTGCCTGGGGTCTGTGCGCTTGGGTCCACCGAGGCAGGACCCCCGGGAACATCCCGAGTACATAATTGGGAGCCCCCAGTCCCCTAAAAACACCCCTGCAGCGTGGGTCTGTGAAAATGTTTGAGACCTAAAAAATTCACAAAACACAAAAGGAAAGCTGCAAAATAAAAGTAAATGTTTAATTAAATGCTTCTATACATGATATATACACTTTATTAAATGTTAGATTCAGCATTTGTGAAAAATGCATTCGCTTGGAAACAGTTTGCGGGTTAGATTTTTGTCACTTTGGAAGAATTGTCTTTGTGTGAGAGGACTATAGGGCGTTGCCAGAGGTGAAGCAGATGAGCTTCTGGTGGCCAGATAATTTTTAAAGTAAAGTTGTTTTTCAGATTAAAAAAAAATAGACGTTTCAGGAATATACCTGCTTTTGGAAAAAAAAATAGACTTGATTCGAGATACGGCTCCATTTTACTGTTTAATTTGCTGCCTAAGCTTGAACGCTCTCACACCAGCTCTGCCCTCAGCCCGCTGTGGCTTAGAACAGCAGTCCCTGGCCGGGCTCGGTGGCTCACGCCTGTAATCCCCAACACTTTGGGAGGCCAAGGCGGGCGGATCACCTGAGATCGGGAGTTCAAGACCAGCCTGACCAACATGGAGAAACTGTCTCTACTAAAAATACAAAATTAGCCAGGTGTGGTGGCGCATGCCTGTAATCACAGCTACTCGGGAGGCTGAGGCTGGAGAATCGCTTGAACCCAGGAGGCAGAGGTTGTGGTGAGCCAAGATAGCGCCATTGGACTCCAGCCTGGGCAACAAGAGCAAAACTCTGTCTCAGAAAGAAAAAAAAAAATAGCAGTCCCCAACCTTTTTGGCACAAGGGACCAGTTTTGTGGAAGACAATTTTTCCACAGATGGAGGCGGGAGGATGGTTTTGGGATGATTCAAGCACATTACACTTAGTGTGCAGTTCATTTCTATTATTATGTTGTAATACATAATGAAATAATTACACAACTCACCATAATGTAGAATCAGTGGGAGCCCTGAGCTTGTTTTCTTGCAACTAGACCATCCTCTCGGGATGATGGGAGACAGTGACGGATCATCAGGCATTTGTTTCTCATAAGGAGCATGCAACCTGGATCCCTCACATGCACTGTTCACAATAGGGTTCACACTCCCATGAGAATCTAATGCTGCTGCTGAGCTGACAGGAGGTGGAGCTTGGGTGGTAATGCGAGCCATGGGGAGCGGCTGTAAATACAGATGAAGCTTTGCTCCACTGCCTGCTGCTCACCTCCTGCTGTGCAGCCTGGTTCCTAACAGGCCACGGACTAGGTTGGGGACCCCTGGCTTAGAATATCCAGTGTCATGAGCAGGCTGCTCACAAGGCTGGATTACAGACTCCTAAGACTTTTATGGGCTCCGAGAGTCCCTAGGCTCAGGCTTCCATCCTCATATCTCCTCCTCTGGGTCCTGCCCTCCCTCCCCCAATCCTCTGATGAATGTCAGCCTCCAGCAATCCCCGGCCCAGCCCCCTGCCCCATAGCACTTGGTCTCTGCACAGAGTTCTGGCTTGGTGGCCATCTCTCCAGATTTGGCTCAAATCACAGGCTCTAAGATCAGACCCCCAGAGTTACCCCAGGCAGTGTCCTGCTTTCTAGTGACATAGCCTCAGGCAAGGACCTAGCTCCTTGTGCCTCAGTTTTCCCCAATGTAAACACAGAGGTAGCAATGGTGTCAACTGCAAAGGGTGGCTGTGAAGTGCTTGGCACCATGCCAGGCACACAATGGCTTCCTGATTGTACCAGTCACAAGATTGGTTACTTTCTTGTTGGAAACCAGTTGGGAGGTGGATGCTGGAAGTTGAGGTCACAGAGGTCTATAGAGAGTGAATAAGCCCTTTTTCTCTGGGAGGTTCTTGCACTTGAGTGCCCAGCTGGTCCTCATTGCAGGTTGGGGGAGGGATACAGGGTTGTAGAAGAGCTCCAGAATCGGCCCCAAATAGGTGAGATCAGAGTTCTGCCATTGAAAGGCTTCTTGCCCTCCTTGGGCCATTTCCTCTATTGCAAGATGGGGTGGAGCCACTTGCTCTGCCAGCCTGACAGGGGAGTTAGCAGGGCCAGAAAAGGAGTTGGAGCTGGGCTTTTGGAAAGGGAAAAGTTGTGTGCATTTCCTGAAAGCTTCTCTCTTCCTTGCTGATAGGTTTTGTACCAGCTGAATCCTGGGGCCTTGGGGGTGAACCTGGTGGTGGAGGAAATGGAAACCAAAGTCAAGCATGTGATAAAGCAGGTAAGAGGCCAAGCCTGTGCATCCCATGCCGGGTGGTTCTGTGACTGTGATTTTCCCCAATACAAGCTCTTCCCATGTTGGAGAAGCTTCCTGATGCGGCAGCTGGATTCCTCGCTGCTGACACTTGCGGAGACTAATCTGGTTGGGGTAGATGTGGGGGTGCGTGAAGCTCTGTCACCTTGATGGGGAAGCAATGCTAATTTTTACTCCAACACCACCACCTCCCACCATTTACGCATCACGTGCTGTATGCCAGGCACTGACTCACTTCATCTCCCGTCAACCCTGTAAAGCAGAAACAATGACCCTGTTTATAGCCAAAGACAGTGAGGCTCAATGCAGCGCCAGACTAGGCAAGGTCACACAATTTCCAAGAGGATTTGAATTCAGGCCACCTCACTGGGGGACACCGTGCTACCCAGTGCTGGGTCACCAGTTTTACCAAAAGGGAGCCAGGCCCAGAGAGGATGGGGACTGGCTCAAGGTCACACAGGGCTAAGGTCACACACCAGGCCCTGAGCCCTTCCACCACACTCCTCACCAGGGCTAGCAGGGCATGGGGAGGTGTAGGCCTGCAGGAAGACAGCCCTTTGTGTGTCCGAGACAGGGAGGTCCAGATCAACAGAGGGACTAGGGTGAGAAAGCTGCTGCAAGAGTCCCTGGCATGCCCTCCTCTCTGTGGTGGTGGCAGGGACCCAGCAGGTTCAGGGCTGGCCATACAGCGGGAGGAGCCTTGTCAGCAGCTGCTACTGGGCCAGGCCTCAGTCCGTACAGCTCCGCAGTCTCACCCTGTATGGCTGGGCCTGGAGTCCTTGCCCCTGCCCTGCTCCCTTGCTGGCTGGCTGTGGGGTTGGCCCCCTTGTCTCACAAGCCACTGGGGCAGTGTGGCTGACTGCCCTCTGAGCAGTTAAGGAGCTTTTTTTTTTGTTTGGAGATGGAGTCTTGCTCTGTCGCCAAGGCTAGAGTGCAGTGGTGTGATCTCAGCTCACTGCAACCTCTGCCTCCTGGGTTCAAGCAATTTTCCTGCCTCAGCCTCCCAAGTAGCTGGGACTACAGGCACACGCTGCCACGCCCGGCTAATTTTTTGTATTTTAGTAGAGACAGGGTTTCACCGTGTTGCCCAGGCTGGTCTCGAACTCCTGGAACTCCTGAGCTCAGGCAGTCCGCCCGCCTCGGCCTCCCAAAGTGCTGGGATTACAGGCATGAGCCACCGCGTCCGGCCTGAGGAGCTTTTAAAAATGTCAGCCATGACTAGGCATGGTGGCTCATCCCTGTAATCGCAGCATTTTGGGAGGCCGAGGCAGGCAGATCCCTTGAGGTCAGAAGTTTGAGAGCAGCCTGGCCAACATGGTGAAACCCCATCTCTACTAAAAATACAAAAATTAGCTGAGCATGGTGGTGGGTGCCTATAGTCCCAGCTACTTGGGAGCTGACGCGGGAGAATTGCTTGAACCCGGGCGGCGGAGGTTGCAGTGAGTCGAGATTGCGCCACTGCACTCCAGCCTGGGTGACACAGCGAGACTCTGTCTAAATTAATTAATTAATTAATTAAATTAAAAATAAAAATATCACCCAATTATTTCTAAATAAAAATTGGGGAAAGAGAGTGTAGGTAGGAGTTTATGGGTTCTTCCAGTCTTTTTTCCTAAGCGTTTGTAAACTTTTTTGGATTCAGGAGAATGGTATCGTTAAAGTTGATAGCATCCTTTTTATATTGCAAACATAGTTTCATGTCATTCCCACAGCCTCCTCCTCTCTTGGCTCTGGCAACTGTGTGGCCTCCCGTCTTGCTTGATGTGCTGTAACTAACCCAAGCCATCCCTATCACATGGGCTGAGCATTGAGCTTGTTCTCAATTTTTCACTTTGTGTAAACAGCTCTGATAAAGATGCTTATGGCATTATGGTTTTGTTTGTTTTTTTGTTTTGTTTTGTTTTGTTTTGTTTAGCATCCATGATTTCCTTAGGAAAAATTCCTAGGAGTGAGATTTCTGGGTCATACGATGTAACTTTTTTTTTTTTTTTTTTTTTTTTGAGATGGAGTTTTGCTCTTGTTGCCCAGGCTGGAGTACAGTGGTGTGATCTCAGCTCACTGTAACCTCTGCCTCCCGGATTCAAGCGATTTTCCTGCCTCAGCCTTCCTGAGTGGCTGGGATTACAGGCACGTGCCACCACATCCAGCTAATTTTGTATTTTTAGTAGACGGGGTTTCTCCATCAACATGGAGAGGATGGTCAGGCTGGTCTCGAACTCCCGACCTCAGATGATCCGCCTGCCTCGGCCTCCCAAAGTGCTGGGATTACAGGCGTGAGCCACCCCACCCAGCCGCTTTTTTTTTTTTTTTTTGAGACGGAGTCTCACTCTTGTTGCCCAGGCTGGAGTACAATGGCGTGATCTCGGCACACTGCAACCCCCTTCTCCCAGGTTCAAGTGATTCTCCTGCCTCAGCCTCCGAAGTAGCTGGGATTACAGGCATGTGCCACCACGCCCGGCTAATTTTGTATTTTTAGTAGAGACAGGGTTTCTCCATATTGGTCAGGCTGGTCTCGAACTCCCAACCTCAGGTGATCCGCCTGCCTCGGCCTCCCTAAGTGCTGGGATTTCAGGCGTGAGCCACTGTGCCCGGCCACAATGTAACATTTTCAAGTCTTTCCATGTTTTGGCCAACTTCACCTCCTCATATGCCCCCTAGGACAGGAGGAAAGGAAGACAGGAAGGCTCACTCAGTGTCTTTGCCCTGGATTCCACGGGACAGTGCCACTGGCATCTCAGGTCTCTCCATAGATCTGGGAACAATTCACTAACTTTACATGATGGTCTGCATTCACCCCATTATAAGAGTACTTCATTCATAAGTCTTTTGAGCAAAATTCTGGGTGAGGATCTGGTATTAGAGCCAGTGGTAGTATATACCTAGGGCCTGTGCCACCAAGCGTGCTGCAGACTCAAAGCTCCGTGCTGCCCTTGCCACCACCCTTCCCTTTCCATGCCCTCCCCACCTCCACCCGGAGAGGGCACAGGAGAGAAGAGCACTGTACATTCCATGCGTGGAGACAACCTTCCCCATGTGGGTAAGGAATGAAGTGGTGAGATTGATGCTTTCCCAACCAGAACAAGATGTTCCTGTTTAAAGACGGTCTGAAAATGGATCCTTTACTGAGTTCTTGGAGCGTATATTATGCTGTCCTAAACTTATCTTTGCAAAAGGAGCAAAGATGTTCTCATTGCTCTAAGTATTTTTAGATCTCTGCCTTAGGAATATCTTCCATTTGTGCCATATGGTGGGGGCAGGAATGGTGGGAGCCTGTCACTCCTGCTAAATAGTGATGATGGTGGTGATGATGGAGGTGGCAATGATGGTGGTAGTGGTGGTGATGGTGGTGGCAGTGATGATGGTGATGATGATGGTGATGATAATGGTGATGGTGGTGATGGTGTGATGATGGTGATGGTGGTCATGGTGATGGTGTGATGATGGTGATGGTGGTCATGGTGATTATGGTCGTGGTGATGATGTGATGATGGTGGTGGTGGTGTGATGGTGATGATAGTAATGGTGATGGTGGTGATGGTGATGATAATAGTGGGGATGGTGACAGTGGTGTTGATGGTGTGATGGTGGTAATGATGATGGTAATGATGGTGATGATGGTGGTGATGATGGTAATGATGGTGATGATAGTGACGATGGTGACAGTGGCATTGATGGTTTGATGGTGGTGATGGTGTGATGATGGTGGTGGTGTGATGGTGATGGTGGTAATGATGGTGATGATGTTGGTGATGGTGGTGATGATGGGGATAATAGTGGTGGTGGTGACAGTGGTGTTGATGGTGTGATGGTGGTGATGGTGTGATGATGATGGTGGTCGTGGTGTGATGGTGATGGTGGTAATGATGGTGATGAGGTTGGTGATGATGGGGATAATAGTGGTGATGGTGACGGTGGTGTTGATGGTGTGATGGTGGTAATGATAGTGGTGGTGGTGGTGATGGTGTGATGATGGTTAAGGTGGTGATGGTAATGATTTTGATGATGGTGATGATTGTGTGATGATGGTGATGATGGTGTGATGGTGATTTTGGTAATGATGGTGGTGATGGTGATGATAGTGATGATGGTGATGGTGGTGGTGTTGGAGTGATGGTGGTAATGGTGGTGGTGTGATGATGTGATGGTGGTAATGGTGGTGGTGTGATGATGGTGGTGATGGTGATGGTGATGATGGTAATGATGGTGATGGCAGTGATGATGGTAATGATGGTAATGATGGTGATGATATATGATGATGATGGTAATGATGGTGATGATAGTGGTGATGGTGGTGGTGATGGAGTGATGGTGGTAATGGTGGTGGTGTGATGGTGATGATGGTGGTGATGGTGATGATGGTGATGATGGCAGTGATGGTGATGGTGGTGATGAAGGTGGTAATGATGATGTTAATGATGGTGATGATAGTGTTGATGGTGGTGGTGATGGAGTGATGGTGGTAATGGTAGTGGTGGTGGTGTGATGATGGTGATGATGGCAGTGATGGTGATGATGGTGATGGTGATGATGGTGACAGTGATGGTGGTGTTGGTTGTGGTTGTGGTAATGATGGTGATGGTTGTGGTGGAGGTGGTGGCTGTGCAGATGATGGTAATGGTCGTTGTGGTGGTGGTGATGGCGGTGATAACGGAGATGATTTGCTACATGTTTATTAAGCTCATGCTCTTGTGCCCTTGCAGGTGGAATGCATGGATGACCATTACGCCAGTCAGGCCCTGGAGGAGGTAACTCTCAGGGTAGTTTTCCCTCTGGAAGAGCTCAATGGAGCATACACAGACTGTGTTCTGTACCTTCTTGTTGAGTGCCTGGATGAAGAGAAGGCTGGAGGGAGGGATAGAGCATCAGCACCAGTTTTGCCTCAGCTGTGAAGCCAGCAGCCCCAGGTCATGAAGGGAGTCCATGCCCCAAACACTCACTGCTAAATGCAGGTGCCGACAACTTAGAACATATGTTCCCAGAGAACATAAAATTTAAATATTGGGCTGGGCACGGTGGCTCACATTTGTAATCCCACCACTTTGGGAGGCCGAGGCGGGTGGATCACTTGAGGTCAGGAGTTCAAGACCAGCCTAGCCAACATGGGGAAACCCTGTCTCAACCAAAAATACAAAAAAATTAGCTGGGCATGGTGGTGGGCACCTGTAATCCCAGCTACTTCGAGAGGTTGAGGCGGGAGAATCACTTGAACCTGGGAGGCGGAGATTGCAATGAGCCGAGATTGCACCATTGCATTCCACCCTGGGTGACAGAGCAAAACTTTGTCTCAAAAATAAATAAATATTGGCCGGGTCCCTAGGTTAATCTACCAATAACTTCTTTAAATATTTTTTCTTCAATATAAAATTATTAATTACAGCAGAAAATTTTAAAAATACAGAATTGGGTTTTCTTTTGTTTTTACCTTTTTTTTTTTTTCTTTAATAGCAATGGGGTCTCACCATTTTGCCCAGGCTAGTCTGAATTTCTGGGCTCAAGCAATCGTCCCACCTCGGCCTCCAAAGTGCTGGGGTACAGGCATGTACCACCACACCCATACCAGAACTGTTTAACAAAACAAATATAAATTACCCTTAATTCTACCATTGAGAGCTGCCCAGCAGTAACATACTCGTTTACAATAATAGCGATAACAGCTGCACTTCGGTTTGATTGGCAAAGCCTCCGAGTAGCCTTTCTTTGTGTTTCTTGAATTTCCCACGAGCTTGAAGGTGTCCCCTCTTATCTCATGGTCACTTGTTTGTCTTCTGGAATTGCTGGCTCTGGAGCTTGGCCAGCAAACATTATTGGGTGTATAGTGTGACCGAAGCACAGTGGTGGGCCCAGGCTACTCGGTAACAAATGGGAAGAAAGAGCATGGGGCCTGCCCAGAGCCGCACGCCGCCGTGGCTTTTCACGTTGCCGATTCCCATCCACAGCCCACTAGGTAGGCCACCTGCTTTCATGCCCAACCTTCCACCCCAAGCAGTTGTCTGTCTGGCTCCATGTCTCTAAGGCAGCCCTATCTGCTCCTGTTTGGGCATGTTTCAAAGCACTTTCCGCCAGGGCAGGGGCACCGGGACCTCTCCGTGTGCCCACCTCCCGGTGTCTGCACCACCTCCTCCAGCCAGCCCTGGCTGTGGCTGATCCCCACCTTCCTGGCACTGCCTGCCACAGCTCACTCACCCCCCATGGTATCCCTGTGAGGCAGATTCCACTAGGACCCCCATTTTCAGATGACTATATGAGGCCCAGTCACCCAGCACAGCCAGCTCATGCTGGAGACAGGACCCACATCGGACTGCCTGGCTCCCAACCACCGTGCAGCTTCCCTGAGCCCACTCCCTGGCCCAGCTCAGAGCCCGAGGCTTGCATGTTTGTTGGGATGTGTGACAGAGAAGCCCGAGCTGAGAAAGGCGTGGAGAGGCACTGACTTCTCCGTTTCCTCTGCTCTATCCTGGCAGCTGATGCCACTGCTGAAGCTGCGGCACGCCCACATCTCTGTGTACCAGGAGCTGTTCATCACGTGGAATGGGGAGGTGGGTCAGAGCTGACACCTACGGGCTCAGCCGCCACGCAGTGGGCTGCAGGACCAAGCAGACTGAGCCCAGAGCACGCCCACCCCCCACTGTCAGAATAGCTCGTGTGGCAATGGCAGTGACTGTAAACGTGGCCACCCCTGACCTAACACTCACTGGGGCCAGGTACCATGCTGGGGGCTTTCGGTGCATAGTCTCATAGGAGCCCCAAAAACCTCATCGTCAGGAGAGTTTTTTTTTTTTTTGGACAAAGTCTCGCTCTTGTCCCCCAGGCTGGAGTGTAATGGTGTGATCTTGGCTCACTGCAACCTCTGCCTCCCGGGTTCAAGAGATTTTCTTGCCTCAGCCTCCCGAGTAGCCAGGATTACAGGCGCGTGCCATGATGCCCGGCTAATTTTTGTATTTTTAGTAGAGACGGGGTTTCACCATGTTGGCTGGGCTGGTGTTGAACTCCTGACCTTAAGTGATCCGCCCGCCTCGGCCTCCCAAAGTGCTGGGATTAGAGGCGTGAGCCACCACGCCTGACCAGGAGGGGTTCTTAACCCATTTGACAGAAGAAGAAACAGAGGCTAACAGAAACAAGTTGCTCCAGGTTACCCAGCTAGTACGTGGCCAAGCCAGAGGGCCAGGCCAGATGGGCCTGACTCCCGGGCTCTGCACGCAGCCAACGAGCTTGTCCTGGTGAGCCTGTGCCTCTGATGACAGAGTTTTTACTTTCATGGAAGGAGCTAGTTGACCTCCGTCTCCACAGCCACCCGACACCGGTGCCGTCCTGGGCCTGTGCGCCCCTTACTCCTGCAGCCCCTGTGCAGCTTACTGACCAGCACCACATCCGTCATCACGTGCCAGGAGGGCTGCAGGGCAGGAAGTACTGTCCCTGTGCTCCTGATGGGGCCTAGGGCTCCGGTTCAGGAGCTCTCCAAGGCCACACAGCTAGTAAACAGCTGACTGGGGACGGAGACTCAGGTCCAGCAGCCGGGTCCTGTAGGCTGGATGACTTCTTGTCTTTACAAGGAGCCAGGAGCTTTCCAGTCACTTCTGATGGGACTGAGGCAGACAGCGGGAGGCTGAGCAGGCACAAGGGGTGCTGGAGGTAAAGAGAGGCTGAGAAGCCTTCTGCCAGGCGCCAGCCTGCATGAGATGTCCACACTGGTGTTCCCACCTGGGGCCAACAATCCCGGGTCCGAGCAGGAAAGGCCCCTCACACGCTCCCTCTGCTCCAGCGGGTCTTGGGGAGGGGACCTCACTGCATGCACTCCCAAAGATTTTCTGAGCACCCCCTAATGCTCTCAAGGAGGGTGCAGAGAAGCCAAGAGGACATTTCCCTATGGGAGGGAGCACAGAATTGGGGGCCCTGACCTGGTCTGCTGGGGCTCTGGCCAGGGCAGGGTCCTCAGAGGAAATGGGTCTGAGCTGAGCCCTAAAGGGTGCATAGTTATCCCTATGAAGGGGGTGGGTAGTGGTCCAAGCAGAGGGGTCCATGTGTGCAGTGGCCAGGGGACAAGTGCAGCTTTTGGGAAAGTCCAAGTAGCTTGGTGTGGATGGAGTGTGGAGTGGAGGTGGAGCCTGGGAATGGGGAGAGGAGAGAGAGGAAGCTGAAGGTGGGGCAGGAGGGGCTTGTAGCCCCCTCCAGTGGGCAGTGCTCCCACGGCCACTGCAAATGGCAGCTGAGCGCAGGGAGGCCCTGGAGCAGGTGAGCCTGCAGAAGCACCGGGGCCTGGGCGTCCTTTGGCTAAGGGCCTCCTGTCCCAGCAGATCTCTTCTCTGTACCTCTGCCTGGTGATGGAGTTCAATGAGCTCAGCTTCCAGGAGGTCATTGAGGATAAGAGGAAGGCAAAGAAAATCATTGACTCTGAGGTGAGGTCCTTTGGGGCACCAGGCCTGGGGGCCACCTAGACCTGTGACACAGGCCCTGCGGTGCAGGGCAAAGTAACAGCGGGAGGGCAGGCACCATGGAGTCCAGCCTTGTTTTTTTCTTAAATGTGTGCCTCGAGGCATTGCACTCTAGGTAATGTGTGCAGATCTTAAGTGCACAGTTTGATGCACTCACACAACTTCCACCCAGATCAAGACAGAAGGCGTTCCTAACACTAGAAGGTTCCCAGTCGGTGACCATGATTCCAGATTGTTCTGCCGGTCCCTGAAGTTCCTGTAAATGGACTCGTCCGGCATGCTGCCACTCCTGTCTGGTCTCCTTCCCTCAGCCTGCTGTTGTGAGCCCCGCGGTGCTGCTGCATGCACCAGCAAATCATGTGTTCATTGCTTGCTGCCACTCTGCTGCCTGATTGCGCTGCAGGCTGTTTACCTAGTCTCATTTGGGCTGCTTCCAGTTTGGGGCTATTGTGAATAAGGCTGCTATGAGCATTGCTGGAAGACACTCACTTTTCTGGGATGAATACCTAGGAGTGGAATTATTGGGTCGTAGAGTACATGTGTGTAGCTTCAGTGGATGCTCCAAACAGATTTCCGACTTGGTTTGGTTGGCCCCATGTTTACTCTCACAAGTTGTGAGCATTCCCGATCCACATGGAGGCCAGCACTTCATTGTGTCAGTCTTGTTGTTGTTGTTGTTGTTGAGATGGAGTCTCACTCTGTCGCCCAGGCTGGAGTGCAGTGGCACGACCTTGGCTCACTGCAACCTTCGCCTCCCTGTTCAAGCGATTCTCCTGCCTCAGCCTCCCAAGTAGCTGGGACTACAGGTGCCCACCACCACACCCACTAATTTTTGTATTATTAATAGAGACAAGGTTTTGCTATGTTGCCCAGGCTGGTCTCGAACTCCTGACCTCAAGTGATCCACCCGCCTCGGCCTCCCAGAGTGCTGGGATTACAGATGTGAGCCGCCGCGCCTAGCCAGTTCACTTTCTTAATGATGTCTTTTGATGATGGAAAGTCCTAACTGTAATGGAGTTCGCTTTCCCAATGCTGACTCTTATGGTTAGTGCCTTTGGAGTTTAAGAAGCATTTCCTGCTCCAAGATCATGAAGATACTCTCCTCTGTCTTATGGAAGCTTGGTTATTTTTGCCTTCACATTTAGATCTTTCATCTACCCCAGATGAATGCTACCTGCTTTTACCCTGAGAACTGTGTTTGGGGGGACCATGTACCCCTGAGGGGCTCTTCGGGGCACACAGCTCTTCTCTTACCATGGGCCTCAGAGGCAGGCCCGGAGTGAGTTTCAGACTTTGTGAGTGAAGCCCTTCAAAACACGAAATATTCCCAGAAACCCAGTAAGTGCAGCAGACCTACTCTAACTGGGGGCAGTGGGAGGACGCCCACATCCTGCCCCCTCAGCCCCTCTCTGACACCCCAGGGTGGCCCTGAATCCAGGGGCCCTAGGAGCCCAGCTTTAGAATCACCGCGCTGGGTACTCGATGGAGCTTGTCTCTGATGCAGAACACTCCTAGCATTCTCTCTCAGGGCTCTTTTCATTTGAATGACCTAGAGGATTGAGCTCATGTAGGCACTGAAGGCTTCCACCTCTCCCATACCCGCAAGGCCGATCTGCCTTCAGCTCCCAGCAAGTGTGGGGCAGCGCGGGCCACAGAGTAGGGTGCAGGGATGGGGCCCCTGCAGCACCCAGGGTCTCTGGTATGGAGACAGCAGTGTGGAGTCTGGAAACTCAGAGTCCTTCTGGCTGCCGCCGCGGCTTTACCATCTGGAGAGCCACCACGCTGAAGCCTCCTCCACCCTGAGCGCTTGGCTGGCTTCAGGCCTGTCTCAAGATGCAAGGAGAGGATACACCACCATCCTGCTGGCTGCTCTGAGTGTCACCCCCCTGAAAGCAGCACAGGGTGCCCCTCCCATCCTGGCACCCCCTACTTCTCCCCCAGTGGATGCAGAATGTGCTGGGCCAGGTGCTGGACGCGCTGGAATACCTGCACCATTTGGACATCATCCACAGGTAAGTGGGGCCCCTGACCTCTGCGGACTGGCTGGCTGCTTCGGGAGAAAAGGCACTGAGGCCACTCGGGTGCCAGTGCCCGTGGGCAGGATCTGGGGAGAAAGGTGCACCGGGCCAGTGCAGCCAGGATAGGATGGGACCTTACAGAGCTCCTCCCGGGCTTGAAAGAGGCTCTTCCAAGTGGTCTCAAGCCATGTGCACACGCACAGCTGCATGGGGTGTGCGCTAGCCAGGCGGGCTGCTCTAGAGTTCGTGGAAAGGAAGGAGGCAAAAGCCCTGCCAAGAAGAGAGACCGGGTTGCCTGCCGTGGGGCCAGTGTGGGCTGAGTGGGCCCTGCTGAGCCTTTGACCCCCAGCGGCACAACTTTCAGGCTGGAGAATCCATGGTCTGAAGGGGCTGGGAGATGGCTCCAATTCTGAACACCAATATCTTATTTAAAGAGGAAGAGGGAAACTATGCAGCTGGGCGTGGTGGTGCACGCCTGTGGTCCTAGCAACATGGAGGCTGAGATGGGAGGATTGCTTGAAGCCAGGAGCTTGAGGCTGCAGTGAGCTATGATCGTGCCACTGCACTTCAGCCTGGGCAACCCTGACTTAAAACACACACACACACACACACACACACACACACACACACACACACACACACACACACACCACGCAGACCATACGTACAAAGGGAATGCTCACATTCCACATCCAGTGTTCATGTCACTAGACGTCGCACAATGGCCAAAAATCAATCCCCAGGCAAACGTGTAGCTGAGATATCTAAGGAGGTGAATGTGTCAATTAAGGGGCCTCTTCGGAGTGCTGGGTGTGTTCCTACTTGTGGTTGAGGATTTTTCCCCCGATTTAAAATAATTGAGTATATTTCTGTACATAGGAAACAACTGCTTAAAAAGTAGGCTGAGATGGGGCATTTTGTGGAGGAGAGGAGGATGTGGGCTGCTGCTGCAGAACCAGGTGGGGCAGGGAGCAGAGAGTCAGGCTCAGCACACACACTGGTCCCACCTGGGGTTGTGGGTGGTGGCTGCCCAGGTGGCCCCTTGGCATCCAGAGGCAAACCCACCTCTTGGTTTCAGGAATCTCAAACCCTCCAACATCATCCTCATCAGCAGTGACCACTGCAAACTGCAGGACCTGAGTTCCAATGTGCTAATGACAGACAAAGCCAAATGGAATATTCGTGCGGAGGAAGGTGGCAGGGGCTCCCCCAGGTTGTGGGAGAGGGGGTTGGCGCCTAGAATCCAGGCGGCGTTGGCCACTCTGGGTGCTGGAGTGAGGCAACATCAAACAGCTGTTTGCTCAGAAGGTCCCCACAAAGCCCTGGCCTTGTGTAAACTCCAAAGAGACCTCCTTTGGGTTGCAACTGAGCAGGCGTGCCACCACCAGGGCAGAGGCAGGGCCCCACAGACACCCAACATTTGAGAGAAACAAAGTCGTGGTTGTTTGTGGTACCCCAGAAAATGTTGCCTCTCATGGAGGGAAAAGAAAGTGTCAGAAGGAAGGATATGAAAATGCCCAGGACGGAGGGAGGTGGGGGGGGTCAGCCCCCCGCCCGGCCAGCCGCCCCGTCCGGGAGGGAGGTGGGGGGCTCAGCCCCCCCGCCCAGACAGCCGCCCTGTCCGGGAGGGAGGTGGGGGGGTCAGCCCCCCGCCCGGCCAGCCGCCCCGTCAGGGAGGGAGGTGAGGGGCGCCTCTGCCCGGCCGCCCCTACTGGGAAGTGAGGAGCCCCTCTGCCCGGCCGCCACCCCGTCTGGGAGGTGTGCCCAGCAGCTCATTGAGAACGGGCCATGATGGCAATGGCGGTTTTGTGGAATAGAAAAGGGGGAAAGGTGGGGAAAAGATTGAGAAATCGGATGGTTGCTGTGTCTGTGTAGAAAGAAGTAGACATGGGAGACTTTTCATTTTGTTCTGTACTAAGAAAAATTCTTCTGCCTTGGGATCCTGTTGATCTATGACCTTACCCCCAACCCTGTGCTCTCTGAAACATGTGCTGTGTCCACTCAGGGTTAAATGGATTAGGGCGGTGCAAGATGTGCTTTGTTTAACAGATGCTTGAAGGCAGCATGCTCGTTAAGAGTCATCACCACTCCCTAATCTCAAGTACCCAGGGACACAAACACTCTGCCTAGGAAAACCAGAGACCTTTGTTCACTTGTTTATCTGCTGACCTTCCCTCTACTATTGTCCTATGACCCTGCCAAATCCCCCTCTGCGAGAAACACCCAAGAATGATCAATTAAAAAAAAAAAAAAGAAAGAAAATGCCCAGGACGGAGGGTCTGTGGGTGCCAGGCACTGGCTGCGTGTACATCACTGAGTCCTACAACAACCCAGGAGATGAAGGGGTGGGTGGCAAGGGGAGACGAGTTCTCGTTCCTTTGAAAAGATGGCCAGAGAAAGGGGGCTGGAGAGATCAACCACAGAGGAGGAGTCCAGAGTCCCAGGATGGCAGTTGCTGGTTGCACTCTGTCCTTTTTTTTTTTTTTTTTTTTGAGGCGGAGTCTCGCTCTGTCGCCCAGGCTGGAATGCAGTAGCGCAATCTCGGCTCACTGCAAGCTCCGCCTACCGGGTTCACGCCATTCTCCTGCCTCAGCCTCCCGAGTAGCTGGGACTACAGGCGCCTGCCACTGGGCCCAGCTAATTTTTTGTATTTTTTTTAGTAGAGACCGGGTTTCACCATGGTCTCGATCTCCTGACCTCATGATCTGCCCACCTTGGCCTCCCAAAGTGCTGGGATTACAGGCGTGAACCACCGCACCCGGCCACACTCAGTCCTTGGTAGACAGAAGATGAATGAGTAGATGGGTGGGTGTGTGGTTTGGTGGGTGGTAGGATGGATAGGTGGGTGGGTAAGTGGATGGATGATGGGTGGGTGAGTGGATGGATGGATAGGTGGGTGGATAGATGGATGAATAGGTGGGTGGGTGGGTGAGTGGATGGATGGATGGATGAGTGGATGGATGAATGGATGGATGGATGAGTGGATGGATGGATGGATGGGTGGATGGATGGATGGATGGATGGATGGATGGATGGATAGGTGGGTGGGTGAGTGGATGGGTGGGTGGGTGAGTGGATGGGTGAGTAGGTGAGTGGATGAGTGGATGGATGGATGAGTGGATGGATGGATGGATGGATGGATGGATAGGAGGGTGGGTGAGTGGATGGGTGGGTGGGCAGGTGGGTGGGTGAGTGGATGGATGGATGGATGAGTGGATGGATGGATGGATAGGAGGGTGGGTGAGTGGATGGGTGGGTGGGCAGGTGGGTGGGTTAGTGGATTGGATGGATGGATAGGTGGGTGGGTGGGTGGGTCAGTGGATGGATGGATGGATGGATAGATGGGTGGATGAGTGGATGGGTGGGTAGGTGAGTAGATGGATGGATGGGTGGATGGGTGTGTGGTTGCATGGGTGGGTGTATGGGCAGATGGGTGAGTGCATGGGTTGTAGATGGATGGGTGGGTGGGTAGATGGGTGGGTGGGTGCATGTGTGGATGGATGTGTGGGTGGGTGGGCATATGGATGGGTGGGTGGATGAATGAGTGAATGAGTGGGTAGGTGGGTGAGTGGATGGATTGGATGAGTGCATGGATGGATGGATGGATGGATGGATGGATGGATGGTTGGACGGATGGATGAATGGGAGGGTAGGTAAGTGGATGGGTGGGCGGGTGGATGGATAGGTGGGTGGGTCAGTGGATGGATAGATGGGTGGGTGAGTGGATGGATAGGTGGGTGGGTGGGTGGGTCAGTGGATATATGGATGGATAGATGGGTAGGTGAGTAGATGGATGGATGGGTGTGTGGTTAGAGGGATGGGTGTGTGGGTGGATGGGTGAGTGCATGGGTTGTGGATGGATGGTTGGGTGGGTAGATGGATGGGTGGGTGGGTGCATGTGGATGGATGTGTGGGTGGGTAGGTGTATGGATGAATGGATGGATGGGTGAGTGTGTGGGTAGATGGGTGGGTATGTGGATGGATGGGTGGGTGAGTGAGTGAATGGGTGAGTGAGTGAATGAGTGTGTAGGTGGGTGAGTGGATGGGTGGGTGGGTGGATGGATGGATGGATGGGGTGTGCGTGGATGGATGGGTGGACAGACGGGCAGATGGTTGGTTCTATTGGAGGTGTAGATGGCATGCGTCCTTGGAGTCCAGCCCTTTACTGTTGGGCTGGGGAATGGAGGTCCAGAGAAGGAGGGGCTGCCTGAAGCCAACCAGGGACTGATGGACTCAGAGGAGTCTGCTCTTTTGCCTCCCTGTCTGGGGTTCCAGTTGAGAAAGTAGGGCAGAGCAACTGTAACTTTGCCCCCAAGGTCCTGACATTTAGAAGGGGCAAGAAGTTTAGAGGGGTGCACAGTTTCTTGGCACGTGCCTCTTCCAACTCCTTCTACAGCCATCCAGGGCACACAGACACACCACCTATATGGGCCAGCCTGGTGGGCACCCACCAAGATGGACAGCTTCAGTGGCTCCAGATCAACACAAAGCTCCCGCTGATTGGGGCCTCTTCCTCCCCACAGTTAATATTCTCCACCTCTTCTGAGAAGAGGACCTGCAGGGCTTGTGTTTCAAGCTGCTTGCGGGGGGCCACCAAAGGGGATACAGTGCTGGGCAGGGTGACTCTGTCAAGCCCCTGCCCCCAGGGAGCAAAGGACTCAGGGATCCCACCTTGCTTTTACCAACAGACCCCTTTCGTAAGTCCTGGATGGCCCCTGAAGCCCTCAACTTCTCCTTCAGCCAGAAATCAGACATCTGGTCCCTGGGCTGCATCATTCTGGACATGACCAGCTGCTCCTTCATGGATGTGAGCCGCCCTCCCTCCCCCACACCCCACATGCTGTTCCCCACGCGCCCAGGCCTGGGGAAAAGGCTTGGCCTCACCCTGCCTCCCCTCTGCATCCCTTCCCCTGGCTCTCTGCAGGCTGCACAGAGCCCTCTTCTCCACCTGCGAGGGGCCTGCCCTCCTCAGAACCCCTCAGCTTGCAGCACCTGCTGGGCTCTAGCAGGATAATGACAGCAGTGGTAATATTCAGACCATCCCACGCGACCCTCGCAGCAGCCCTCCAGGTGGTGTCACTGACTCTTGATGGAGAAAAGCCAAGTTCAGGTGCCCTTGTGAGCATGAAGGCTGCACGGAGTTGCAAGCAACGGGAACCCAGTGTGGGCCTGAACACACCTGGCTGTCTCATGCACAAGCCCCAGGCTGGTGTGGAGGTGCCTTCTCTCCTCCTGCACATCCTTAGCATGCAGCTCTTTCTCTCATCCCTGCTGGGGCCCCTGCACCATGGCCACAGCCTGTGGGCAGGAAGGAGGGGAGGCAGAGGGCCCCACTGGCCCCGCGAGCACTCCAAGGTCACTCTGGCTGCAGGGAGGCAGGGAAGTCCAGCCTGTCGCTTCCTATCCTCTATATGCAGAAGAGAAAAGTGGGGAAGGCCTGCCATGCCCAAAACAAGGAAGCTCCCCTTCTCCGCAGCACCACCTGCAGGCACCGAGGTCCCCAGAAAGGACAGACACCTGGCTGGACCCAGGTTCCCCATGGTCTCCCAGACCCCCAGACTCCACCTCTGAGAAGCACCTTGCCACTCCCTTCCTTTGAAAGACTCCCAGGGAAATGAGAGCCTTCCCACTTCGGAGGCTGTGTGACATCCTGGAAATTAGCCTGAGCTCCAGCCCCAGCCCAGGCAGTGTGACCCTGGGCATGCTCACACTCTGTGAAATGGGCATGCTGTCTTACTGGCTGGGTCTAGATCAGGGGGCTTTCTTGGCAGGACTCCACCCCGGGAGACAACCCGCTGGCTTCTCTGAAACTCCATTTCTTCTTATGGAAGAGCTTGGGGCCCCTGGGGTCTCTGGGCATTCTTGTAGACGGTGGCCACACCTGGCTCTCCCTGGTCTCCTCCTGGATTTCTTGGTCCCTGGTCGTCCCCTGCCCATGCTGGGACCTAGTTTTCATTTACTTAAGGGAATACACAGAGCTGTCCTCTCTCCGTGCAGGGCACAGAAGCCATGCATCTGCGGAAGTCCCTCCGCCAGAGCCCAGGCAGCCTGAAGGCCGTCCTGAAGACAATGGAGGAGAAGCAGATCCCGGATGTGGAAACCTTCAGGAATCTTCTGCCCTTGATGCTCCAGATCGACCCCTCGGATCGAATAACGATAAAGTGAGCTCAGGGTCGGGGTTTATTTTAACCTGTGGATTTATCTTTCAACATCTCTCCACCCTAATACAAGCACAGCTAGTTGGCTTTGTAACGCCTCAAAGAACTCCATCACAGATGCCCTGATTATCCCTGCACAGCTGGGCTTTGCCCAGTTCTGGCTCTCCCAAACCGTGCTGCGGCGAGTAATCCCGAATGTACGGTGGAGTGAGCAGACTGACCCCCAGGAGGCACAGGAGGCGTAGCCCCCAGGACCCACGACACTTTTAGGGTTCCAGAAAAAAGTTTTCATTCTACATAAAAAAAAAAATTCCTAAAGACAATGGTCACCTTTAAATTTTTCATTCTAACTTACTTTAAAATCAGAAGACAAAAGTAAATACATAACACTGGCCGGGGCGGTGGCTCATGCCTATAATCCCAGCACTTTGGGGGGCTGAGGCGGGTAGATCACTTGAGCTCAGGAGTTCTAGTCTAGCCTGGGTAACATGGCGAAACCCCTGTCTCTACGAAAAATACAAAAAATTAGCTGGGTGTAGTGGTGCATGCCTGTGTTCCCAGCTACTGGGGAGGCTGAGGCAGGAGGATCGCTCGAGCCCGGGAGGCAGAGGTTGTTGCAGTGAGCTGAGATCTCGCCACTGCACTTCAGCCTGGGTGACAGAGTGAGACCCTGTCTCAAAAACAAAACAAAAACATATAACAAAGAATCCAGGCCGGACACGGTGGTTCACACCTGTAATCCCAGCAGTTTGGGAGGCTGAGGTGGGTGGATCACTTGAAGTCAGGTGTTCGAGACCAGCCTGGCCAACAGAGCGAAACCCCGTCTCTACTAAAAATAGAAAAAAAATTAGCTGGGCATGGTGGGGTGCGCCTGTAGTCCCAGCTACTCAGGAGGCTGAGACAGAAGAAATGCTGGAACCCGGGAGGTGGAGGTTGCAGTGAGCCGAGATTGTGCCACTGCACTCCAGCCTAGGTGACAAGAGTGAAACTCCATCTAAAAAAAAACCCAAACAAAACAAAACAAAAAACCCAACATATAGCAAGGAATCCAGCCTGGGTCATATTCATCTTTATACCAACGCAGTTGTAAAATCTGGGTTTTCATGTTTCTATGGAGGCAGGGGACAAGAGCAAAAGTGCCAGGGCCCCGGACTGTCCCCCAGCTCTGTGAGCTGAGGCCCTGCCTCCATGGAGTACGTCCCTGGGTGTGGAATTGCTGGGGTGCTTGCCGGACACACTGGGGACACTATGAGAGACCCTGCCAAATGAATCCCAAAACAGGGAGTTCAGTGTCCAGTGTCCGCACCAATGGGCAGCCCGGAGCCAGAGGCAGAGGGAGAGCCCCACGGGGAGGTGGCAGGGGGCGCTGCTGGGTTACTCAGCCCTCTCTGCTCCTCTGCTAGGGACGTGGTGCACATCACCTTCTTGAGAGGCTCCTTCAAGTCCTCGTGCGTCTCTCTGACCCTGCACCGGCAGATGGTGCCTGCGTCCATCACCGACATGCTGTTAGAAGGCAACGTGGCCAGCATTTTAGGTGATGCTGGGGACACAAAGGGGGAGCGTGCCCTGAAGCTCCTGTCCATGGCCTTGGCATCCTATTGTTTAGTTCCAGAGGGTTCATTATTTATGCCCCTGGCCTTGCTCCACATGCACGACCAGTGGGTAGGAACAGTTTCCCTCCATCCATCCCTACACACTGCCCAGGACACCGCTCTGCTCAAATATCCTCCATAGCTCCCAACTACCTATAACACAAAGTTCCTCTCCATAGCCTGGCCCCCACCTGTTTTCCCTCCGCTCCTGCTACACAAATCCTCTATGTAGCTCAATGGCCTAGTCACTGCCCACGCCTCCCACAACCCTCTGCTTTTGCTTCCACAGCCTGGGTGGCACACAGTGGTCCCAGGACATCTTCCTCACACAGCACCACTTCCTTCCTGCGTGCTTCTATGTGCCCAGGATGAGCAGAAGTGCGCTCCATCATCTGTGTGCTCCAAGACAGAGACTTGGGTTCTATTAAGGAAAAGTTGCTTGGTCTCAGTGGCCTCATCTGTAAAGTGGGGATGGTAACAGCCCCTCCCTCTCATCCTGAACCTGTGGATCTGAGGAGGGGATGCACACACAGCAGCCAGCCCAGTGTGGTGCCGAGAAACAGAGCCCCGAGGCCCTGGTCCTCAGAAAGGTCCCTCCCCTGCCTTCCTGTCCCTGCAGAGGTCATGCAGAAATTCTCTGGCTGGCCCGAAGTCCAGCTCAGGGCCATGAAGAGGCTTCTGAAAATGCCTGCAGATCAGCTAGGTAGGCCCCACCCTGCACCCCTTTCCCAGCTGCTCCCCTAGGGGCAGAAGCTATGGTCCGGCCTGTGGGGAGCTGAGGCTGGCCCTCACCCCGGGCTCTCCTCGCCAGTGCTTTATTGCAGCGTGGAGGCGTGCATGTGTCCCCAGAAGAGTCCCGTGTCTCTGCTATCTGCCTGGGGAAGACAGCAGAGAAGGGGAATGGGTGGTGTGGCAGCCCTCACATGATTTTAATGGAGCCACAGACATCCCATCTTCCCCACTGTCCCTATGAGGGGTATCTGAGTTGTTTCTCAGTTTCCACTATTATGAATGATACTAGAACGGACACCCTGGTGTGTATGTATCTGTGCACTTGTTTCCGTAGCACAGATTCCTAGATGTTCAAGAGTGTGAATACTTTAACTTTTCACAGATACAACTTGCCCACCTATTAAGAATGCATGGCCTGGCGCAGTAGCTCACGCCTGTAATCCTAGCACCTTGAGAAGCCAAGGCGGGAGGACTGCTTGAGCCCAGGGATTTGAGACCAGCCTGGGCAACAAAGGGAGAGCCCATTTCTACAAAAAATAAAAAAATTAGCCAGGTGTGGTGACACATGTCTGTTATCCTAGCTACTCAGGAGGCTGAGGCAGGAGGATTGCTTGAGCCCAGGGAATTGAGGCTATAGTGAGCTACGCTTGCACCACCGCACTCCAGCCTAGAAGACCCTGTCTCAGAAAACAAAACCAAACCCAAAAAGATTGTTACTGCTCATTCATGGAGAGTGTTGGGAAAAGCAGTTTTTTTTTGTTTTTGTTTGTTTGTTTGTTTGTTTTTGAGACAGGGTCTCGCTCTGTCCCCCAGGCTGGAGTGCAGTGGTGCGATCTTGGCTCACTGCAACCTCCGCCTCCTGGGTTCAAGTGATTCTCCTGCTTCAGCCTCCCAAGTAGCTGGGACTACAGGTGTGTGCCACCACACCCAGCTAATTTTTCGTATTTTTATTAGAGAGGGGGTTTCACCATGTTGGCCAGGCTGGTCTCAAACGCCTGATCTCAAGTGATCTGCCTGTCTTGGCTTTCCAAAGTGTTGGGATTACAGGCGTGAGACACCGTGCTCGGCCAATTTTTAAAACATTTGTGCCAAAACATGCTTTCATAAAATCTTTCCATTCAACCTTTTTCACCTGCCTGAACATTACCTTCACATATCCATCCATCCACCCATCCACCCATCCATCCGTCTGTCTATCCATCAGACCTGGATTAGGAATCCACTGAGGTTTGTTGCAGTGGCTCGGGCCTCAGAGGTGACAAGGCCCAGCCCTGGCCTTTGAGTAGGTAGCAGAGGCCTCATATGGGCCTAATTTACCATTCCCTCCCTCCCCTCCTCCTCTTCGACCCCTTTTGTAGCTCAGCTGTGACCAGGACAGAGTCCCTGGGAAGAGAGACTTTGCCTCCCTGGGGAAACTAGGGAAGCTGTTGGGCCCCATCCCAAAGGGTAGGTCTTTCCCACCACCCGGAGCCACACCTCCCTCCACGCCTTGCTTAGAAATGGGCTTGCAGCCCAGCGCAGTGGCTCATGCCTGTAATCCCAGCACTTTGGGAGGGGCTGAGGTGGGCAGATCACTTGAGATCAGGAGTTCAAGACCAGCCTGGCCAGACATGGTGAAACCCTGTCTCTACTAAAAATACAAAAATTAGCCAGACGTGGTGGCGCATGCCTGTAATCTCAGCTACGCAGGAGGCTGAGGCAGGAGAATCGCTTGAACCCAGGAGGCGGAGGTTGCAGTGAGCTGAGATGATGCCACTGCACAACGGCCTAGGCGACAGAGTGAGACTCTGTTTCAAAAAAAAAAAAAAAAGAGGGGGGGGTCTTGCTTCGCTCCACACTCCAGGTGCCAGGACTTCATCCTTGTTGCTCTCATGAGCCTAGAGTGGAGGGATGGCTGCCTGGCCACTGCCCCTCACCCAGTCCCCAGCCCACAACAGTTTCTGGCACAGTGGCAGGGTGGATGGAGCCCACCCACCCATGTCCACCCTCAGGGCAGTTGCAGCCAAGGGCTCTGGAATAGACTGGCTAGGTTCAAACTGCTGAAGAGCAGGTGCTTTCATCCTGCTGACCCCAGGTTCCTCATCTGCATATGGAGGGCAGCCTTGGGAGGGGCCACTTCACAGGGCTGTGGGCAGCACAGAGCAGGACACCCGTGGCAGACATGGCATGCACTCCATGGACCTAGCGCTAATCCTCATTGTCCTTCCCCCTTCTATTCACCCACCTAGGGCCCTGCAGGCTCCTACCAGCCTCTGGGGGCCCTGGTCGGGTCTATATGCCCCCGATCTGGCCCAAAATGAGTCTCCCCTGTGCCGCCCGCCCTGCCAGGTCTGCCGTGGCCCCCGGAGCTGGTGGAGGTGGTGGTCACGACCATGGAGCTACATGACAGGGTCCTCGATGTCCAGCTGTGTGCCTGCTCCCTGCTGCTGCACCTCCTGGGCCAAGGTGGGTGCCAAACCAGGCCAGATGGGGTCGGGGAGGCTGTGCGCTGCTTCCTGCAGCTGTGCCTCCTGGGCCAAGGTGGGCACCGGGCCGGGTGGGTTAGGGGAAGCCATGCCCTGCTCCCTGCTGCTGCACCTTCTAGGCCATCTTCTAGGCCAAGGTGGATGCCAGGGCCAGGCCAGGAGACACTCCTGGTGGCCTAGCTCTGCCCCCACCACCTGGTTGGCATCTAACCACTGGAGAGTCCATGCCATCCTGTGCCCATCAGACCCCATCCTGGATGGCAGAGAGGGCACAGGCCAGGAGCTTGGAGACGCGGATCCCACCCAGGCCTGCCTTTTGCCTGCTCCGTGGCCCTGGACAAGTTCCTGATGATCCTGCCAGTTTTCCCAGCTATGAAGCGAGGAGCTGGACACGAGGTCCTCTGGAGTGACCCTCAGGGAGGATGGGTTGTGTCCTCTGAAGAGGGCTGGTAGGAGGGCAGTGCTGAGTTCATTTCACTGTCCTGATGGAAGAGGTTGGAGCTGAGAGATTGAGCCTCCTATGAGAGACATGGGTTGTTAAAAGAGTTGAATTAGCTTTGATGATTTTTTTTGAAACAAAAAGTATTTAGTTACTTTTTTTTTTTTTTTTGAGATGGAGTTTTGCTCGTCACCCAGGCGAGTGCAGTGGCGCACTCTCGGCTCAATGCAACCTCCACCTCCCAGGTTCAAGCGATTCTCCTGCCTCAGCCTCCTGAATAGCTGGGACTACAGGCACCCACCACCACGCCTGGCTAATTTTTGTATTTTTAGTAGAGACGGGTTTCACCATGTTAGTCAGGCTGGTCTTGAACTCCTGACATCGTGATCCACCCGCCTCAGCCTCCCAAAGTGCTGGGATTATAGGCATGAGCCACCGCGCGCGGCCACCTTTCTAGTTTCACTGTTGGAAGTTTGGAGTTCCATGCAATGTTGAAATTGTGTTCAGTGCTGCCTGACTGGCTCCCAGGGACCAGGATGCGTGGCCTGGCCGGGCAGGGCTCCCTTCCGGTCCTTCACTCCATTAGGCCACAGGGATTCATGGAGGCCTGCTCTGGGTCAGAACAAGGCAGACCTCGGTTTCCTTCATGCAAAGTGGAGATGCTATCCCCCAGCCTGTGAGCCTTGTGTGTCTGGCCCCATGCCTGAGCTGTGGGGCTAACCCCAGGCGTCTTCCTCTGGCTTGAGCAGCGCTGGTGCACCACCCGGAAGCCAAGGCTCCCTGCAACCAAGCCATCACCTCCACCCTGCTGAGTGCTCTTCAGAGCCACCCCGAGGAGGAGCCACTTCTTGTCATGGTCTACAGCCTGCTAGCCATCACCACAACCCAGGGTGTGTCTGCCAGCCACCTCCTGCCCCACCCACGCTCCAGGACAGCCCTTCCCAGGGGTCTTGGAAGGGTTGGTTTGGGGTATAGGTGGGTTGGACAGGACAGTGCTGGGCCTCCTCCTGAGATACATGGTGGCATTTGGCCGTCTTCATTTGGCCACCCCAAATGCTGGTCGCATCCTTTTCCATCTTGATGACAAGCTTCCACTCTTGAAGTCACTGGTTCCCTCTACAGACATGCTAGGCGCAGCTGTGGGCTTCACACCAATGACATCTCTTTCCCACACTTCCTGCCCCTTCTGGGAGGCTGGGGCTCAAATGCCCTGTGTGTCTCCATTCCATAGGGCCCAGTGGGCTTCCGAAGCCTCCAGCCAGGACTGTGGGAAGGAGAGGGCCATACAGAGCGCTCACACCTTCACCCACAAATCGGGTGGGCACTGTTCTCCCCAACAGGAAGCTGGGCCTCGAGAGAGCCTAAGGACAGTTGCCAGGAGTCCATGCAGCAGGGTTCAGGGCTGGGGTCTGGGCCCCAGCACCCTCTTTACTGCACAGACTGGATAACTGATGATACATGGCTGATCTCACTTTGGGGAGTGAAAGGAGGCACTAGGAATAGATGTCAACTGGAACCCTCAGGCAAAATGGATGTCAGTTCATCCTACCGGGATAGGGCCCCGTCATGGTTCCATCCTGGAAGGCACAGGCTGGCTCTGTGAGCCCAGGAGGCAGGGTCAGGCCCCCTGGATGGGAAGCTACAGAGGTCAGACCCAGCCTGGTAGTGGGATGGCAGCTATTGGGACTGGTGGCCCACGAGATGGACAGACTCCTCTGGGGCCAGTCCCACATCCTCCTGTTCAGGGCTCCATTGAGTGCACACGACTTGGCCCAGAGCAGGCACCTAGGATTGCAGGTCAAATGGGACTGCAGTGCCCAAGGACAACAGAGGCAGGAAGGCTTCCTGGAGGGAGGGGCCCTGGGGCCCTCATTCTGGCTCACCCACAGAGTCAGAGTCACTGTCAGAGGAGCTGCAGAATGCTGGGCTGCTGGAGCACATCCTGGAGCACCTCAACAGCTCCCTCGAAAGCAGGGACGTCTGCGCCAGCGGCCTGGGCCTGCTCTGGGCCCTCCTGCTGGACGGTGAGGGGCCCTCCTCCTGCTGTCCCACCGGGGCTGGCAGCCCTCCCCCAGCCCCTCCCTAACTGCCCCTGAGAGCCTTCGAGGACCTCCATGTCCTGTCCCTAAAACACAACAGCCATAGTCCGGGAAAGGCTCTTCTGAGAGCTTCCAACTCCAACAGAAGAAAATCAAGGAGCAGAGAGAGAAAAGGCAGGGGAGAAAGGCCTTCTGGCAGAGGCCGGGTTTCAGGACTTCTTGCCCAGTGGGCAGACCCCTCAGTTTTAAGTGCCTCCTGCCCAGGGAAATGTCCTGGGATTTTCCGGGCAGTCCTGGTTCCAGAGGGCAGCGGTGGTGTGGTGCTGGATGCCCTGTTTGTTTTGATTTTTGATTCACAGTAGGGGGCCCCCTGGCCTGTGCTGCTTCCTCTCCTCTAGACCCCATCTTGGCACTCCAGCGCCCCAGGAAAAAGAGAGCTCCAAACCACGGAAAGCCCGGGAAACCCAAGAACCCTGCCAGCACCCAAAGTGTGGGATTCTCCAAGCCTCTCCTGGGCTAACCCCTGCACCCGTCTCTGAGGACAGTTGACCTTTCCCACCCCATTTCTGCTGTTGTCGTTAGCTGGAGGAAGGCAGCAGATGGGGGATGGGAAGGCCCCCCTGCACACACCCAAGGCCTGGGTGTCCCCTTCCATCCCTGTCCTCGTTCCAGGTATCATTGTGAACAAGGCCCCCTTGGAGAAGGTCCCGGACCTCATCAGCCAGGTGTTGGCCACCTACCCTGCGGATGGGGAAATGGCAGAAGCCAGCTGCGGAGTCTTCTGGCTGCTGTCCCTGCTGGGTGAGCTGGGTGGGCGCCCTGGGCCCCTGGGGCTGGGAGGGGTGGGCCTCATGGCACAGCAGGCACAAGGCAGCCCGGCCCCTTTCTGCAGGCTGCATCAAGGAGCAGCAGTTTGAACAAGTGGTGGCGCTGCTCCTGCAAAGCATCCGGCTGTGCCAGGACAGAGCCCTGCTGGTGAACAATGCCTACCGGGGACTGGCCAGCCTGGTGAAGGTGTCAGGTGAGCCTGGGGACAGGACGAGGCTGCCACCTAGAGGTGGGGGCAAGAATCAGCCCCCATCAGTTACATCTGCCAGGTGCCACAAACCAAAAAACAGAAGCAACAAATCAAAAAGGAAAAGAAATTAAAAACGATCTGAAGTCCAGTCATCCAGAAATCACCATCAAGACTTTCACGCACACTTGATAAACTCTTGTCTCTGCGTTATGCTACCCTGTGACCCTCTCTCTGTCCATAAACACATCACATCTGCACAGGTTTCCTAACATGCAGGCACACCGTGACTGATCAAAACAGCTCTGCAAACAGTGTCTCCAATTCCCCACAACACAAACCCTGCCTGTTACTCAGCTAGACAGGCTGGGCCCAGCGCTGAGCACAGCACAACCGACGCTCGGCCCACAGCACAGTCCTTCAGAGAGCATCCTGGGCCTGGCCAAGACACTAGCTGGTGCCTGGCAACTCCGGGCTCATGGTCTTGACCTCTGTACTACCTAATCTTCCCCAGAGTGACAACGACCCCTTTGGCTCTGGGGGGGCTGCCTCCTCTGTTCTTGCATGGTCCTGTTCAGGTCATGCCAGCCTACTGGTCCGCCCAAGCTGATGGGGCCTCCTGGGTCCCGTCTCTTGTCCTGTCCCAGGCCCCTGTGTGAGCTCTGGGGTCCCATCCCGTCCTGGGCAGAAGGCTCTTCCCTTTCAGGGGAAAGCAGGGAATGAACCCACTCCCACCCATCCCCCAGAGCTGGCGGCCTTCAAGGTGGTGGTGCAGGAGGAGGGCGGCAGTGGCCTCAGCCTCATCAAGGAGACCTACCAGCTCCACAGGGACGACCCGGAGGTGGTGGAGAACGTGGGCATGCTGCTGGTCCACCTGGCTTCCTATGGTGAGAACCCCTTCTCACCTCACACTCCCTAGAGCCCAGCGGTCAGGGGTGCCCCGCTCCCCCTATAACTGACAGGGAAGGAGCACATGGAAGGTGGGCTCAACCCCACTTCTCGGCCCACTTAAACTTCCCACTCATTTGGCATCTTCTGAGCACCAGGGGTTGTCCTGGCTGAGGGTGACGCTTGGGGCTCCGGAACTGCAAGGTGGCTCTGTGCATGCCAAGCCCAAGGGGGAATGTGACCCACTCTCATCCTTCTGGGGCTTCTGGCAAGGGGCACAGGAAGGACTCTGGCCTCAGGACCTTCCTGCTCCACCTGCAGAGGAGATCCTGCCGGAGCTGGTGTCCAGTAGTATGAAGGCCCTGCTCCAGGAGATCAAGGAGCGCTTCACCTCCAGCCTGGTGAGTGACAGCAGCGCCTTCAGCAAACCAGGCCTCCCTCCAGGTGGAAGCCCCCAGCTGGGGTGCACCACGTCTGGGGGACTGGAATAGATGTTTGTATGGAACTGACCTTGATCTCCACGTGTATAGTTTTCAAGACTGCTCTCCTGCCTGCCTATTATCCCATCTCTATGACTGGGCCAAAATCAATCTTAAACGGGAGGGGTAATCAGACCTCTCCAAAGAGTTTCCTGTCCATGACTGCTGGATTGAGTCACATGAGTAACTGCTCCTGGACCCGGGGACTGTCCACGAAAACTGACTTGCCTGCTTCCTCCTTCCAGGAACTGGTTTCTTGCGCGGAAAAAGTGCTCTTGAGGCTGGAGGCAGCCACCTCTCCCAGCCCACTGGGTGGGGAAGCAGCTCAGCCCTGATGCGGGGGAGAAGACAGATACCCCACAGGCCCCTCCCTCCACGTGTGCCCTCTCCCTGTCCTTCCTTTCCATGGGCCACTGTTTCCCTTGGGGTGGGGGGAAGGGTCATCCAGCACCAGAATGCGCATCTCACACTCCTCTTAGGTGACTAATAAAGAGGCCCAAGGCCAGTTTCTGCCTTAATCATTTCTGGCAAGAGGCTGTGACTGGCCAGTGGGATACTTAATTCTGCAGTCTCTATAGACCTCGCCCCTGGACAGAGCAGTCCTTCCAGACCATTCTAGATGAGAGTCAACACTGAGCCTCCACAGGCTCCATTCCAAGTAAACATCTGCATTTATTTTAAATCGCATCCTCGGTGTGTCTGCCCCTTTTCTGTCCAGCTGTCAGGTGGCCCAATAACGCCTTGGACTCCGTCCCCTTGTCAGTGCCACTGGCTGTTCCTGGCTCTAGTTCCCAGGGGAGCCTCAAACTGGGGCCTAGCCCAGAAAGCCACCGGCTAGCATCACATAGCTTCTCCAGCTCAAATAGCCCAAGGTTGGCATGTCTGCCGACCTCCAGGAATAACCGCAGTCACCGTGCCCAGGCAACACATCCTCGTGCTATGGGGAGAAGCCTCTGCTGGGTGACCCACCAGCCAACCCTGGGCCAATTTAATTTAGATAAATGCTCAAAGTTCAAACGGCCACAGGAAACCCCTGATGTAACACCTGTTGTGCCGGCCAGCTGTGTCTCAGGAGCTGACTGCAGACACCTGGTCTGGGTCCCTCAAGCCCAGCAGAGCTTGTTATGTCCCCTAACACAAAGGAGGAAAATGTGGCTCCTCGAGAGGAAGGTGCTGAGCACCTCACCCCAGGGTGTCACCGAAGATGGGCAGTGACAGCACCGTATGGACTGGCGGCCCACAGGCCCCAACCTCACCTGGCCCAGGGGGTCAGCAGTCGGTAAAGCGTGGCCAGGCGTGCCCATGGCCGTCCCTGCTCCCCACCCTGACCATCCGGGCCCAAACACACATGGACAGTAAGACCAGGTTTCAGACCACAAAGTCAAGAGGAAGGAGGACCTTCTCAGTAGCACCACGCCACGCCCCTCTGCCATGATTCTGAAAAGGTTTCACCAGAGTTGCCACTCTGGGGAGATGTGATCTGTCCCTGTGACTGGTCACATTGCCTCTGTAGCGGGGCGGCAGCAGCAGCAGGGCAGGACTGCTAGGCGTCGTCACTGCAGTGGTCTGGAGCAGTCAGCAGGGGGCGCCTGTCTCGGGCCATGCTCTCCCACTCCTTCTTCACCATGACGTACAGCCTCATTGCTGCCTGGGCATCCTGAATCTAGACGACATGAAACATCCCAGCAGGTGACGAGGCATAGCCGCAGCCCACAGTCAACCCCACAATGACTGAGCCCTCCCACTAGCCACTCTGCTACAGATGTACTGAGTGAGACATGGACCTGGCCACGAGATGTCACCAGGACGGGGAGGGAGGACACAAGAGAAGCAGAGGGAGCAACGACCTGATGGTCCCCACACTTCTGTGACTCAGACACCCCTCCCAGGAGAAGAAAGGGAAACCCAAAGAGGAGAAGCAACAAACACGCTGCCTTTTTAGGTCTCTGAGTGCAGGGTGATGGCAGGTTGGGTGCTGGGCACAGGGGCACAAGGACCAAGCAGATGGGCAAAAAGGGCCCAAAGCACTGAGGCCACGTTGGCAGGGGGTGACTGCTCCACAGAGGCAGAGCCAGCTGCTCAGCAGGGCCGGGCAGGGCAGGGCTGGAGGGCTGCGGGGGTGGGGGGACCCTTTGTAATTATTTGGCAACTTTTTCTCCAAATAACGAGAATGCAGTACTTTTGTGTTAAGTGTTAAATTCGTTAAATGTGCATATTTAGAATTTAACCAAAATTCCGTAACTCCGCTCTACCATTTTTTTTTTTTGACCAATAGCCTCGTAGGATAAGTAGGTGCCCAAGCCCCACCTCCCCCATGTCTGTGTCAGGTGACTCATGTCTGGTTCCAGGTGGGAAACCGCCCCAAACCCCATGAACTACCCCACAGGACACACTTACTGAACAGTGCTCCGCCTGCTGGACCTGGAGCCCAAGGATCTTCTCTGAAAGTAGTCTCAGAGACGGCCTTCCACTCTGCAAAGGGGGAAGAGGCGGGTGGGGGCCTCTGCAGGCTCGGCCCAAAGAGGGTCACCCCACCAAGCAGGGAGCGGTTGGCTACTGAACCTCACCCAAGCGACCTACAGTTTGCCTCTCAGTGGAGAGGTGCTCATGGCACTTAGGGTGGTAGCCACCAGCTGCCATTTATAGCATGATGGGCTGGTGATACACCCCTATCAGCCAATAAAAGGAGAGGGCCAGGGGAGGAGTCAGCATCCCCATCTCCCATCTTGAGGCCTCCCTGCTTATTTCAAGAGGGACAGCTCTGGCCAGGCATGGTGGTTCACACCTGTAATCTCAGCACTTAGGAGGCCAACGAGGGCAGATCACTTGAACCCAGGAGTTTGAGAATAGCCAGGGCAACACAGCAAGACCCTATCTCTAAAAAAATAAAAATAAAAAAATTAGCCAGGGGTGGTGGCATATGCCTGCAGTCCCAGCTACTTCAGAGGCTAAGGTGGAAGGATTGCCTGAGCCTGGGAGGTGGCAGTTACAGTGAGCCAAGATTATGCCATTGCACTCCAGCCTGGGTGACAGAGCAAGACCCTGTCTAAAAAAAAAAAAAAGGATGAAGAACGGCTCTGCCCTTGGCACCCTCTAGAGCAGATACGACAGTGGTACCAGGCCCTTAGTCAGTGACCCTGTTTCAGAGGTTAGAGTGGAAATAACTTGCCCTCCGTTGCAATCATTTTTAAGGTCAGCAATTAGCAGAACTCTATTTTTAAACATTCCTTCTAGTTTTAAAGGTTAAAAGAAAAAACAAAAACCCTTTAACCAACAAGTCAGCCACCAGTGACCAGAAACAATGAAGTGACCAGCAAAACAGAAATACAGTATCTTGAGTCACACTCATTCTAAGTACCTTTACTTGACTCTTGAAAGGTTTATATTTCTGTGTGTCCCGAATCTTCTTTTTTGGATGATCAAGAAATAGTACCTAGAAAAATAAAATATAATGATAATCATTTTCATTTTTGGTTTGTAGTAGCAGAACCCCCTCCCCCCGCCACCTTTTGCAAGTAACATCTTTGTGTGTGTGTGTGTGTGTGTGTGTGTGTGTGTGTGTGTGTGTGTGTGTGTGACGGAGTCTTGCTCTGTCACCCAGGCTGGAATGCAGTGGCTCAATCTTTGCTGACTGCAACCTCCGACCCCAGGTTTCAAGTGATTCTCCTGCCTCAGCCTCCCGAGTAGCTGGGATTACAAGTGCCCGCCACCATGCCTGGCTAATTTTTGTATTTTTTAGTAGAGACAGGGTTTTGCCATGTTGGCCAGGCTGGTCTCGAACTCCTGACCTCAGGTGATCCACCCGCCTCGGCCTCCCAAAGTGCTGGGATTACAGGTGTGAGCCAACGCGGCTGCCCTGCAAGTAACATCTTGTAGGGAATCCAAGTGTGTCACACACACATGGAAACAAGGCACTGATATGAATTTCAACTCCAGAAGGAAATTTATTGCACTGACTTAAGCTGATGCCCAACAGTCAGAGACAATAAAAACAAAATCTTGAAATCAAGGAAGTAGGAGAAAAACAGTCAACAGTTAACCAGCAACCAACTTATTCCTATATTATACTTGTATTTTGAGTTGGTTCTACACATCAGGAAGTTGCAAATAACACATTTTAACAGCTCATCTTGCAATCTTAGCATGCAATTTTTTGTTTTGTTTTGTTTTTTGATAGGATCTCACTCTGTCACCTGGGCTGCAGTGCTATAGGGTAATCATGGCTCACTGCAGCCTTAACCTCCTGGGCTCAACTGATCCTCCTACCCCAGTCTCCTGAGTAGCTGGGACAACAGGCACACGCCACCACACCTGGCTAATTTTAAAATTTTTTATAGAGATGGGGTCTCCCCTATGTTACTCAGGCTGGTCTCTAACTCCCGGCCTCAAGCAATCCTCCAGCCTCAGCCTCCCAAAAAGCTGCGATTACAGGCATAAGCCACTGTGTCTGGTCCTTAGCATCATCTTCAAGAAAGACTTGAACATGTGCTGCGCAAGGTGCCAGGGATGGAGTCAGAGTCAGGAGGGAAGGACGAGTCCCCACGGCAGCAGTCTCTGAGGGGGTACAGCAGGAGCACACAGAAGACCTTTCTGTGAGGACACTGCCCGGGGGGTTCTCACCTCAGTTTCACCCTCTGTAAACAAGCATGAACACCTCCAGCATCTTCAATGGATTCAAGGGATCTCTACAGTGCCGTCACGGGAGCACCATAGCAAAGGCTGCTGCCTGAACATTAGCATCTCTGTCACTTCCTTCTGAACGGCTTCAAGTTCCTCACCACACCCAAGTGCTTCAAGCCGGTGGGCAGAGGTGACAACTTAAGTGTCTCTCCCATCTAGCAGACTGGCCTCCCCGCTGTTCCCACTGTGTCCTTTAAACCAACATCCAGGCATTTGCCCATAAACTCAAAGTGACCCCCACCCTGTTCTCCTGTAAATACACACGTACTCGCTCTGCCTGACTCTTCATTCCTGCCTCGGGTGACCAGGAGATGGCAGGCTGCCCTCCCCACCCATGACGCCTTCCCTGCCCAGGGTCTGTATATGTCTTTGAACTTGTTTCCCACGGTGGTGGTGTCTGAATTTGCACTTTCCATCTGAAGAACCAGGGGCTGCCCCAGGCGGGATTTTCCTCGGGACGCCAGAAAGAAGGCAAAGGCAAGCTCCCAGGGCCAGGGTGATGGTTAGGCAAGCGTAACCTGAACATGGGCCACAGGGCATCTGCCAGGATAAACTTGTTTCCTGTGGAGGGACCCTGGTCACGGATGGGACAACTGGACATTAGGCCTTCCTCCAGGTAAAAGGGGTATCAGCACCTTCATTTCTCATTAGGGCGGGGTTGCCAGCTGCTCTGGTATGGGTACCCCAGTTTCGCTGGGGGCTCTCAAAACAAGAGCCTGGCATGGCTCCTAAAACACAGTAAGAACTCAGCACGCGGTATCTGATATTATTACCAAAGTATTCCCAACATAGAGCACAAACCCACACATTGTTAAAACTCCCCAACACAGCAAGGGCGTGAGTGTAACACCCACGGAGCAGGGGCAGGCTGAGTCCCCAGGAGAGAGCCCAGTACCTTTAGGTCATTATGCAGAGCGTGCCCCACTAGAATTCTGCCCTTCAGCATCTCTGCCACTTCCTTCTGAACAACTTCAAGCTCTTCTCCTGGAAAATCAACACAAAGAAGCGGTTTTTTGCAACACACACATCACCATCATTCTGTGAGGAGGCAGCCCCGCTCCTACCCCTGGTCAGACCTAAGACAAATGGTCAGGCCTGCAATGCCACTACGGAGGGTGACTCGAAGCCACCACATCCACCCACCCCCCTGGGAGAAGTGCCTTGTGGGCCCCTGGCAGGGGTGGCTGCGAGAACCACCTCTGAGGAGAGGAATAAAGTGCTCCACACAGTCTGCAAAGTCGGCTCATGGCTGGAGGAGAGCATATGTTGAGTGTAGGCACTGAGAAACTTTTAGAGCCGCCTGGCAGCGTGGTTCTGCCTATTCAACCTCATGATTTACTTGACAATTTCCCAAATGGAAATAAAAACAAAACTGCCCCCACAAAAATGGGTAGAGATGTGTTGCCCTAGGCCCTGGGCTCCAGAGGCAGCCTTGCCTGCTTCTGGGGACCACCCCACCACCAACCCCACTTGTACCCCCCGAACAGGGGTGATTAGACCAAGGGTGGCCCGAGCCAAGTGGGACCAGCTAATTTTTTAAAAATATTTTTTAGAAGGCCAGGTGCAGTGGGTCATGCCTGTAATTCCAGCACTTTGGGAGGCGGAGGCAGGCGGATCACCTGAGTTCGGGAGTTCAAGACCAGCCTGACCAATGTGGAGAAACCCTGTCTCTACTTAAAATACAAAATTAGTCGGGTGTGGTGGCATATGCCTGTAATCCCAGCTACTCGGGAGGCTGAGGCAGGAGAATCGCTTGAACCCAGGAGGCGGAGGTTGCAGTGAGCCCAGATTGTGCCATTGCACTTCAGCCTGGGCAACAAGAGCAAAACTCCATCTCAAAAAAAAATAATAATTTTTTTTAGAAATGAGGTCTCGCTATGTTGTCCAGGCTGGACTTGAACTCCTGGGTTCAAGCAATCCTCCCTCCTCAGCCTCCTGAGTAGCTGGGACTACAGGCATGAGCCACCGTGCCCAGCTACTGGCCTGGTCTTGAAGTCAGCGGACAGGAGGCAATGAAGTGCAAGGCATAAATGGGTGTAAAGCCGTCTAAGGATGCCTTTTGTATTTTAAAACCCATCGCCCCAAAAGGAGACAAGACGCATCAAAACCAGCTGCAGTGAGTGGTCTCAGACAGAAAAGGGAACAAAAGGGAGAAAACGAATCCAGTTACTACTTTCCCTTCTAAGTTCCTGAGCTGTGGATGACATACCCTGCTTGAGGTTCTCAGGCCGAATCCCACTGACCGCTGTCCTATAGTCCGTCACGGGCTCGGTTGGTTTGACGTACTTGTCATAAACGCACTTCCCATACTGGTTCACGATGGACACACGGGCGGCCATGCTCTCCTCCCCCTTAGGGCCCACGCCCACCATCTCACAGTCCAAGGCTAAGGCTCTTGTCAGGCTGAAGGGTAACCAAAGGCTGTAGTTTAATAAACACGGCAGGCCACAGGGCTCCAGGTCAGAGCCCCAGGGATCCATGGACTAAGTGTCAGCAGAGAAAAGCTCTCTGCCCCTCACTCATTTGCACCCACGTGACAAGCTCTGTGTGGTCCTGGTTCTTAGCAGGACCCTGGGAGGTGCTTGCCTCATTCACCTCAGGGAGAGGAAAGCATCCTCTTCCTTGAAGAAGCCCCGCCCTCCACGGCTAAGCATCCCCAGCAGACCCCACTCCCTGAGACCAGCGTACCCGCCGAAGGCCTGCTCTTTCACGAGGCTGAGGCTGACGCTGCCCTCGCTCTGACCCAACTGTTTCCTCGCTATCTTGGCCGCCTCTGGACCTATGGCAGCTTCGATATCCGCTGGGTCCACGTCGTCAAACCAGATGTCTTCCCTAAAAGGCAAAGATAACAGGCTGATCACCAGAAGACCCTAGTGCAACTGGTGGGGTGGGGCTGTGGGGCTGACTGTGCAGGTGAGTGGAGCGATGGCACAGCCTGCCTCTCCCACAGGCTGGCCCCAGACACCCCGACTGCTGGCCCTGCTGCTTCTGCTATTTTGATCATCTTGGCATTTTCCTTTTTTTTTTGAGATGGAGTCTCACTGGGTCACCCAACCTGGAGTGCAGTGGCATGATCTTGGCTCACTGCAACCTTTGCCTCCCAGGTTCAAGTGATTCTCTTGTCTCAGCCTCCCTAGTAGCTGGGATTTTACAGGCGCCCACTGCCACGCCTGGCTAATTTTTTGTATTTTCAGTAGATACGGGGTTTCGTCATGTTGGCCAGGCTGGTCTTGAACTCCTGACCTCAAGTGATCCACCTGCCTCGGCCTCCCAAAGAGCTGGGATTACAGGTGTGAGTCACAGCACCTGGCCTCATCTCTTTTCTTTTTAATTAGAAAATACACTCATTATTCAAGATTTAGGAACACAGACAAACACAAAGAATATAAAACAGAAACACATAACCCACCACCCAAGTGTAATGAGTGCTAACATTTTAATTATGAAGGTAACACGTTCATTATTGAACACTTAGGAAACAGACAGACAGAATGCCTGTAAGATGGAAACACAGAACCCCTTGCCCTCCGTACTAGGAAGCTCACACAGGCACGTAACACCTGCCTGGGGAATCTGTCTCTTGGGCTAAGGTTAAATGTCATTTCCTTAGAAAAGCCATTCCTGGCCCCACTGAATGGACACGTCCCTCTTGTTCCAGGCGCCCAATACCTTCTCCTCACTAGATTTATCCTGACCACACTTAATCAACAGCTGCAGTTTACAGTCTGTCTACTGCACTTGACAATAAGCCTCAAGAGGGAGGAGCAGGCCCACCTCACTGAACTCTATCCCAGACAGCCTGCCTAGCACAACACAGGGAGGCCCCCAAATGGCTCATTCCTCAGCCATCAGCGACTGTGTCCTGAACACCCAGGCAACATGAAGCCAGCTGTAACTTATGAACACGTCACCTCCAGCTGAACCATTCAGAGAAGGCCACTGACTCCCGGTCCACCCCACGTGGGTGGCCAGCACAGGGTTTATTCTTTTCACTTGTTTTTTTGAGAGTCTTGCTCCGTCACCCAGGCTGGAGGCAGTAGTGCAATCACAGCTCACTGCAGCCTCAACCTCCTGGGATCAAGTGATCCTCCCACCTTGGCCTCCCAAGGAGCTGGGATCACAGGCAACAGCCACCACACCTGGCTCCATCACAGGGTTGAAGTAATCACCAGGCACTGAGCCAAGAGTGCCAACCTCACAATCTCCTTATGATGCCACCATGACTACCACAAGGCACAGAGGACGTCAGAAACTTGCCCCAAACCACCCAACTGGCGAGAAGCAGGGACAGGCCTCATACTTGGGTCTTTCTGGCTTCAGCACGCTTTCCTTCCACACACGTGTACTGGCACCCACTAAATGCTGAGCTCTGCTCAACGCTCGGAAGAAGCAGGCCCTGCCTTATCATGCGCACACTCTAGGGGAAAACAAGTAACAGCGAGTAAACAAAGGAACAGACGACATCAGGGTAAAGTGATGGAGAGACTGCGGTGAGGCCACCAGCCTCCATAAGGAGACAGGCCTTGGTGAAGTCGCTGTGCCTCGGTTCTCAGTGGTGAGGTGGCCCATACTTACTCGGTGGGTGGGGCTGGGGCTGCCTCCTTAGCTTTCCGCTTCTTATGCTCGATGTCCCCTCGTTCTGGAACAATATCACCATTTGTCCTTTCCTTGGTTCCTTTCTTATTGTGCTCTGTTCCACTGGCCTTGGTGCGAGGTACTGGCGCCCTCCTGTCCATCTTGGAACCTGAAGGAACAGAGCCCCTGCTGGCCTCCTGGTCTTTTCCTGCCGGCATCTCCTCTCCCTTCACTTGAGGCGAGGTCTCTTTTTTGTTTTGCTGGATAATTTTGGGCTTCTTTTTGGAACCCATCTGAGAGATGACAAGAGGCTTTTCTGGGGCCTGAGATTTTTGTTTCAGCAGCCACTGGGACCCAAAATAAAATACATGCTGCATTTGAATTTGGAAATTACACACAGCAGATTGAAAAAACTTACGTGTGTATGTATATACACACATATACACCAAACACATCTATACAATTCCCATCCGCATCACTGAAATTCATTTTCAAACGGTTTGGAAAAAGCTCTTTTTCATTCTCATGGGTCACTTGTGGTGAAATGCTGTTTCTTTGCTTATCTTATTATAATGCATTTTGCACCTGCTCCTTCATGCATACAAAATGTCAAACTCATTCTACACCTTGGGTACCTGTTGAGTGGCTGGACACCACAGACCACTTCCCTTTTCAGCTTATCTAGAAAGAATTTTGGAGTTAACTTCCCTCACAGCTTGGGCCAACATCCTGCTACACAGAAATCGCTTTTTTTTTTTTTACAAGATTCCCTGGTTTGCTACTGCTGTGAAGATCTCAGGAAGGTGGGGGGTGTCATAAATGAAAAGAAAAGCTTCTGTCAAACTGGAGTGGCTGAAGAACTGCTAGCAGCCACACACCTTGGCTGTCACCCAAGCAGAGGCTCCTGTAGTCTTAGAGCCCAGCTTCCTCCCTGTGTTCAAATCCCCAGTGGGAGTGGGCGCCACCACAGTGCGATGATGAGGCGGGTGCTACTTACCTGTTCTGTGATAGGTAAAGAACTGAAGGGCTGACTTTCTTGGATGAATTAGAAAACACTCCAAAGTTTCCCTATAGCACACATCCCTTCCATTCACTTATTTTGCTTTTCTTTCTTGGGAGAAGGAAGAAGAGTTGGTGTTCAAGAAATCCCACAGAACCCTGGGGCTGCCCACGGGAATTTGACTGGTCCTGTGTGTTAAGACAGGAATGTCTGCACTGAGATACTGTGCAGAGTATTAGGAGGTTCAAGAAGCGCTCGGGGAGGCTGAGGTGGGAGGATTGCTTGAGGTCAGGAGTTGAAGACCAGCCTGGGCAACAAAGTGAAACCCCATCTGTATTAGTTCATTGTGCACTGCTATAAAGGAATACCTGTGTTTGGTAATTTATAAAGAAAAAACGTTTATGTAGCTCATGGTTTTGCAGGTTGTACAAGAAGCATGGTGCCAGCATCTGCTTCTGGTGAGGCCGAAGGAAGCTTCCCATCATGGTGTAAGGTGAAGGGGGAGCAGGTGTGTTGCGTGGTGAGAGAGCAAGCAAAAAAGGTGCTAGGCTCTTTTTAAACAACCAGCTCTCAAATGAACCAGCAGAGTGAGAACTTACTCGTTACTGAGGGGAGGGCACCAAGTCATTCATGAGGGATCTACCCCCATGACCCAATACCTCCTATGGGCCCCATCTCCACCACTGGGGATCACATTTCTTTTTTAAAAAAACTACTTTTTACTTTTATTTAGAGATGGAATCTCACCATGTTGCCCAGGCTGGACTTGAACTCCTGAGCTCAAGTGATCCTCCTGCCTGGGCCTCCCAAAGTGCTGGGATTACACGTGTGGGCTACTCGGGAGGCTGAGGCAGGAGAATCACTGGAGCCCAGGCAGCAGTGAGCTATGATCCTAACAGGAGGTAGCTCCAAGGGAGCTCCAAGGGATGTGGTAAGAATGTATGAGTGACGCACGTGGAAGAGTGTCTAGGAGAGAGCAGGCAACCTCTACAGAAGTGCAGGTCACTAGGGAGACAGCAGGTACAACACAGCCTTAAAAGCATGGACTCCAGAGTCAGCCACCTGGTTCCCAGCCGCAATCTTAGATGATCTATTTAAACTTTTCCAGCCTATTTCCTCATCTGTACAATAGCGATGATGGAAGTGTCCACCTCACAGTCTTATTGTGGGGATTGCAACACGCATGGCATAGAGCACATGGCAGAGTGCACATTTTTAGGAGCTCAATTAGTATTTACTTCAAGACCGTAAGTGTCGCTAGAACCCCATCACATGTCTGCTATCTGCTTTTCACTTCTACACAGGAATCTTCTTTCTCCCTGTCTTGCTACACAGACCAGTGTGTTCTTTCGTTGTTGTTGTTTGAGATGGAGTCTCGCTCTGTCGCCCAGGCTGGAGTGCAGTGGCGCGATTTCGGCTTACTACTGCCTCTGCCTCCCGGGTTCAAGCGATTCTTCTGCCTCAGGCTCCCCGAGTAGCTGCGACTACCGGCGCGCGCCATCACGCCCGGCTAATATTTTTTGTACTTTTTTAGTAGACACGGGGTTTCACCATGTTGGCCGGGCTGGTCTTGAACTCTTGACCTCAGGGGATCTGCCCGCCTCGGCCTCCCAAAGTGCTGGGATCACAGGCGTGAGGCCCCGCGCCCGGCCTGGTTTCGGGATTTTAAGCTAAATTTCTCTTTGTAAAATCCATTCTAGTTAGTTCATTATGCAAAAGGTACAAGGGTTTATCTTTGCTTTTTTGTACTTGAAATAATTCTTTCATCAATTTCTTTCAAGCAAACAAGTTCGAGACCTCCCTCAACAGGCCACCTTTCTTGTGAAAAGCTGTTTACAAGATTTCGATTCAAATCTGCCTTTACAGGTCTTTTGGGGCTACCCAAGTCTTTCCCTCCGTCGCGTTCTGCGGGAATGAGCTGCGCAGCGCTCCGCCCGGGCCCCCTCAAGCCTCACCTCTTGCAGCGCCTTCCAGTTTTGAGAAAAGTCTTCTGGTGCCTTTGGAGGTCGCACCACAGCACCGGGGCCGCTTGCTGGCTTCTTGCTTACTTCCCGCGCCTTGCTTTTCCAAAACCTTTTTTTCTTCTTGTTTTTCTTCCGAGTGAGCGTCTTGACAGGACCCGGCTTAGCCACGGGGCTGCTCGGGGCGCGCTTGGAGGCGGGGACCTTCGCCTTCCCCATCCTGCTGCCGTCCAGCGCCTGGGCCGGCGGCCACCCGAGACCCCGGCCTCCCCGGGCCCGGCGCCCTGGCAGCACAAGCGCCTGCCCAGGCCAGGCCGAAACACACCCACCGCAGGGACCCCGTCCAGGAAAAGACTCCGGAAGAGACCCCGCACGCGTTGCGCATACCTCAGCACGCACGCTCCAGTCCCCGGAAGCGCTCGTCTCTCCACAACCGGCTGGAAACCGGATCCCTGCCTCTGGTTCCGCGCAGCCTGGGCGGTTCACCCGCACGGGACTTGGGCCGCCGCCTTAGCCAGCGGCATCCGGGGTCATCGACCTCGAGTTTGACTGGGGCAAGCCGAGGACCTCCCCAAGATCCGGGATGGGGATGAGAGATGCGAACGCCGGAAGGGAACTGGGGGGCCGCTGTGTGTGTAGCACCTGGTAGGGCAGCTGAGCTGGGGGCACTGGGCGGTGGGGCTAGTGAGAGCCGGGCTAGGTCGCTCGCCTGCGTCCTGGACTCTCGAGCCTTTCCCGCCTTGGGCTGCTCCTTGCTCAGCCTCACAGCGGCTCATCTTCCACGTACAGTGGGGAAACTGAGGCCCAGGCACCGGGAGGAGTTCCTGCCAGTTCACTCTGTAGCAGGACGAGCCGCAGACAAGAACCCCTCAGACACCGAATTGTAGAAGGAAAGGGCTTTATTTAGTGGGGAGCATCGGCAGACTCACGTCTCCAAAAACCGAGCTCTCTGAGTGAGCAATTCCTGTCCCTTTTAAGGGCTTACAACCCTAAGGGGGTCTGTGTGAGAGGGTCGTGATCGATTGAGCAAGCAGGGGGTACGTGACTGGGGGCTGCATGCACCGGTAATCAGAACGCAACAGAACAGGACAGGGATTTTCACAATGCTTTTCCATACAATGTCTGAAATCTATAGATAACATAACCGGTTAGGTCAAGGATTGATCTTTAACCAGGCCCAGGGCGCGGCGCCGGGCTGTCTGCCTGTGGATTTTATTTCTGCCTTTTAGTTTTTACTTCTTTATTTGGAAGCAGAAATTGGGCATAAGACAATATGAGGGGTGGTCTCCTCCCTTACTTCTGCCGCCTGGGTTCAAGCGATTCTCCTGCCTCAGCCTCCTGAGTAGCTGGGACTATAGGTGCACGCCACCACTCTCTGCCAATTTTTGTATTTTTAGTAGACCTGGGGTTTCGCCACGTTGGCCAGGCTGTCTTGAACTCCTGACCTCCAGTGATCCATCCGCCTCGGCCTCCCAAAGCGCTGGGATTACAGGTGTGAGCCACCGTGCCCGGCCGGGAGTGGGTAGATTTGATGTGCGTGTGTAACAGGCAGAGGTTGATGGAGTAACAGGGAAGTGAGGCTCCTAGGATTTTGGTCTGAGCAATTGGGTGTGGCCATTTATCATCTCAATAAATGTCTGCGGGGAGCAGGGTGAAGTATGGGGGTGGAGCCATGAGCTCCTTTTCACACTTGCTGAGTTTGAACGGGCCGTCAGTCACCAAGGAGAGACGTCTAATCAGCAGCAGGATATAAGATTCCTAAGCTTAGGGAAGGGTCAGTGCTGGAGATGTAATTTGGAAATCGTCAGCACATAATTAGTGTTGAAACATGAACCTGGGTTAGTTCATCCAAAGAGAGAGTACCAATATAGGGAGTGAAGGGTTAAGACCAGATAGCAGGTGCTGGGGGCTCTCCAGGGGCGAAGCAGCAGAGGAGGCTGAGGGGGAGCAGTCAGTGCAGTGGGAGGAGAAGCGGATGTGAGTGGCATCAGAGAATCCAGGGGGAGAATAAACCACATCAGATGCTGCTGAGAGGCTGAGAAGGACGAGGACAGAGAGATGGGAACCAGATATGGCACTGAGATTGTCAGCAAGTCCACCGAAAAGGGTTTTCTTTTTTTTTGTTTGTTTTGAGACGGAGTCTTGCTCTGCTGCCCAGGCTGGAGTGCAGTGGCGTGATATCGGCTCACCACAATCTCCACCTCCCGGGTTCAAGCGATTCTCCTGCCTCAGCCTCCTGGGTAGCTGGAACTACAGGTGCACGCCACCATGCCCAGCTAATTTTTTTTTTTTTTTTGAGACGAAGTTATGCTCTTGTCGCCCAGGCTGGAGTGCAATGGCGCAATCTCGGCTCACCGCAACCTCCACCTCCCGGGTTCAAGTGATTCTTCTGCCTCAGCCTCCCGAGTAGCTGGGATTACAGGCATGTGCCACCACGCCCGGCTAATTTTGTACTTTTAGTAGAGATGGGGTTTCTCCATGTTGGCCAGGCTGGTATGGATCTCCAGACATCAGGTGATCCTCTCGCCTCAGCCTCCCAAAGTGTTGGGATTACAGGCGTGAGCCACCGCACCTAGCCTAATTTTTGTATTTTTGAAAAGAGACGGGGTTTCACTATGCTGGCCAGGCTGATCTCGAACTCCTGACCTCATGATCCGCGTGCCTCGTGATCCACCTGCCTCGGCCTCCCAAAGTGCTGGGATTAAAGGCGTGAGCCACCACACCTGGCCCAGGTTTTCTTTTTAAAAAAGGAAAAAAACTTTGTTCCAGCAGTTTGTAAACCAGGGCAATGCAGCCTTCTGTACAAAGGTGCATTCCAGGGAACAAAGAGAACAAAGAAAGAGGTCGTCTTTTGTAGAGAACTTCCTGCCCAGGTTCCCACTTTGGTCCACTTATGCAAATGAGGAAGGCACACTTGCTTAGTTCTGATTGGTTAATACTTGCTGAGTTCAGATTGGTCGATGCAGGTCACAGTCGATGGGTTGATTCTGGCGGCATAAACAGGAACAGATAGCTGTGAAACCATCCCAGAGTTAAGTGAGAGTGGGGGCTTTCCAGGAACGCAGAATGTGTGTGTGACCCTAGTCAGCAAATGGCTGCTAGGTCCTACTTTGAATTTAGGCCCAGTTAGTAACTTGGGATCCATCAAGAAGGATTGGCTCTTTCAGGGTTCACAAAGTTATTGGTGACCTTTTAAAGATCAATTTCAATGGTATGTGGGAATTGAAGGCAAGGAAGTGGAGATAGCCACTGAAAATAATGTTTCTAAGTTCTTAAAGACAGCCAGAAACAGGGCTATGGCAGGAGGACAGTGTGGGTCAAGGGAAGGTTGTTGATTGTAATCAAGAGACACCAGAGTGTCTGGGCTTGGTGGCTCATGCCTGTAATCCCAGCACTTTGGGAGGCCGAGGCAGTCAGCTCACCTGAGGTCAGGAGTTTGAGACCAGCTTGGCCAACATGGCGAAACCCCACCTCTACTAAAAATACAAAAACTAGCCAGGCGTGATGGCGGGTGCCTGTAATCCCAGCCACAAGGGAGGCTGAGGCAGGAGAATCACTTGAACCTGGGTGGCGGAGGTTGCAGTGAGCCGAGATCGTGCCACTGCACTCCAGCCTGGGTGACACAGCAAGACTCTGTCTCAAAAAACAAACAAAAACCAAAAAGAGACAGGAGAGTCATTCATGCTGATGGAGTGAGCCAGGTACCAGGATCTCGATATCTAAGCATGCCCCCTTCTCCAACAGCCTCCTTACCTTCCTGCATGAAAGCACACCCTTCCCTCCAGTCCCCCATTCCTTTATTCTGCTGTATTTTTCTCCATAACACTTACCACCTTTGAACATACTACATATACAACATGTGTCTGTCTAGCAACTTTGCTGTCTGGCTCTCTTCCCTAGAATTTAAGCTGTGAGAGGCCGAGGCTGCTGTCTGCCTGGCTTGGGGCTGCTTTCCTGGTGTCTAGCACAGAGCCTGGCCTGTTTCAGGGGCTCAGTGAAACATTTGTTGGCTGAAGGAATGAATGAATGGCTCTAGCAGAGGGGCAGAAACTAACGATGCAGGAGGAGAGAGCTGGGAAGGGATCCAGAGCCAGGGCCTGGCAGGAAGTGTAGGTGTGTCCTCCCTGATCGCAGAGGAGGAGAGAGGCTGCACTTTGAGGGGTGGAAAGACAAGGTGAATCCCCCTGCTGGTCATCAGCTTGTGCGGCTCTGTGGGTGTAAAAGAGTGGTTTGGAGCATGTGAAGTGAGTCTTCCAGGAGATGAAGGGGATTGCCAGGCCGTTTGTGATGATGCTGAGATCTGGTGCCGTGCAGCCTGCTTCTGCGACTCTCCTCATCAGGCGCAGGCACAGAGTAGGTGGAGAGTTGAGCCAGAACCACGATGTCTTTGGCACAGCCTCTCATCTGTCAGATGGGAGCGGGGACCCCGGAGAGGGAGTCAGCCGAGGTCCTGGCATTCCTTGTGAACCCCCGTCTGTGGGTTTCTGGTCCAGTGTCCCTTCTCCAGATTAGATGGCTTAGGCCTCCTCTAAGGGGGTGGGCGTGCACATCCGGAGAGCTGTCTGGTGTGCAGGACTGGGCTGCAGGTTACCCTGAACTGCAACCATCTTAGAGCAAGGCCCAGCTTGCAGCAGGAGGAGCTGCAGGCCGCCCACCCTAGCCACGGCCCCTGCCCTGGCAGGAAGCTTCCAAGAGTAAACACTGCCTAATCGTCCCGCCCAGTAGTGAGCAGGCCTGTCCCATTCCATACTGACCAGATTCCCAGTCACCAAGGCCCCCTCTCACTCCGCTCCACTCCTCGGGCTGGCTCTCCTGAGGATGCACCAGCGTCACCCCCGGGCAAGATGCCCTCCCCTCTGTGTGGCCGGAATCCTTGCCTGTGGCTTTCTCCTGGGCTGCTGGGGACCCTCCCATTTCCAGCAGGTGGGCTCATTTGCAGGAGCGGGGGTATTCTGGGAGCCTCTGGGTGGGGTATTCTGAGCTACCTGGGGCGAGGGGAGTGCCAAATAGCTGACTACATCAGCTTTGGGGTTTGCGCTGGGCAGGGGAGTCTGTACTTGGGGCTTTGGGGGATGAAGTGTGCTCACTGAAGAGGGAGTTGGTGTCTCAGTACGACCTGCTCATTCGGTGAAGCTGAACAGACAGATACTAGTTTGTCCCAAACTGTGTAGGTTGCTCTTCTCTGCCTCTCCCTTCCTCTCCCTGTCTCTGATTTCCCCCTCTCCTTCTTGGTTGGCCTCACCCACCTCCTGCCTCCTGTCTCCCTCTTCATCCATCTCTTTTTGTTCTTTTTTCTTTCTCTCTCTCTCTTTTTTTTTTTTTTTTTTTTTTTAAGACATGGGGTCTTGTTATGTTGCCCCAGCTGGTCTCAAACTCCTGGACTCAAGTGATCCTCCCACCTCGGTCTCCCCAAGTGTTAGGATTACAGGCCAGAGCCACTATGCCCGGCCCCATCCATCTCTTTTTGTCTTGCAGAGTTGTCTTCAGGCTTTGGAGCCACAGGCCGTGTCTTCTTACTTGAGCCCTGGTGCTCCCTTAAAAGGTACTTGTCCTGGTGTCTTCTCTCCCGGGGGGAGTTTCTCAGGACTTTCAAGGGGTATCTCACCACTGAGTCAGTGGTCTGGGATTTTTGGTGGATCTGGAAGGAGAAGGTCAGAGAAGCTGCTGTCAACCCTGTTAATTAACTCTGTTACTTCCTGCCAAGTTGATATAAGCTGGTCTGGGTGTTCCAGCCAGGCCAGGGTTCTCACCCTAGCTTCTGTTAAATATCACAAGGGAACGGTCACCGATTGGCTGGCCCCTCCTGCCCCATGGCCTCTGCTGAGCTGGCTGATTTTCAGGAGCTCTTGTGGTTTCTGACCGTGGATGTAAATATTTATTCCTTCTGTGGGAAACAAGATAGGTACTGGCTCAGGCTACCTCCTAAGGCCATGGATTTCCTTATGATAAAGGCCTGTCCCCATTGCCCACAGGCCCATGTCTGTGACCTTCTCCGGTGCGAGCCCCCTTCCCAGTAGGGCCATTGGCAACTTGACTAATGGCTGATGGGGGCCAGAGGCAGGTGGGCTAGTGGTCAGGGGCAACAGGAGGGCAAGGCCCACTTTGTGACCTGGTTCTTTGTGGTCTAGGCCAGAGGCACACTGACCAGTGCCTGGGGCCACGCTGGGGGCTGGATGCAGCCGACGCTGTCTGGGTATCCCATAGCCTGGGTCCTTCCAGCGCTGCCGCTCCTGAAAGGCTGGGAGATCATTGCCCAGGGTCCCTGACCCTCTAAGGGCTCCCTTGGGAGAGGACAGTGAGGGCTGGCCTGGGCCCCTGCTTCCCAAGAGACCACTGGGCTCCACTCGTGTTCAGTTTCCTGTCGGGGTCCATGATGTTACTTGTGAAACACCTGTGCCCAGAGCAGGGTCCAGGAGGCAGGGCAGGGGCTTTCCCCTTTGGGCAGAGCCACCAGGGCAGTGGGAATCTTGTCTTGATGGGGTGACCCAAAGCACACAATAGCCCAACAGCTCCTCCTGGGCCCTGCCCTTTGCGTGCCTAGTCACTAATGGGGTCTGGCTCTTGGGGTGGGGGTGACACGCAATGTCTTGACTTCGGAAGGCCATCCTTCCAAGACCTGCCAGCCCCTTTCCTGTTAGCTTTCCACTGCTTGCTCTCTAGAACCATCGCCCTCTGCTCTCCCTCTCCCCCTCCAGGCCGCCCTCCTTCCCCTGGCTTCCAGAGGCAGAGGCAGAGGCAGAGGCGGGCTGCAGGCGGCATCCTACACCTGGAGCTGCTGGTGGCCGTGGGCCCCGATGTCTTCCAGGCTCACCAGGAGGACACAGAGCGCTATGTGCTCACCAACCTCAACATCGTGAGTGCCCCACGCTGGACTGTGCAGGTCCCCACGGCCAGGGCTGGTGACCAATGTCTGTGGGCTGGTGTATCTGGTAGTCTGAATACAGTGGGTTAAACTCAGGTAGAATGGCTCGGGGTTCTTCCTCTTCTCCCTCCCTCCCCTGGGTGGAGGTGGGTGAGGTCCCACACCCTCTCTAGGCTCCATGGCACATGCACACCCTGCAGCCTCTCACTACTCAAGTCCCTTCACCTGGGGCCACCCTCAAGCCTGGCCTCTTCCCCAGTATCCATTTGACCCCCACAAAGCTCAGCTAAAGCAACCCTGGCAAATGGGATACGGGCTGCTCACACTGCCCTCTGCACCCCGACCCTGCCCTCTCTCCATTCTCTTGTCCCCCGCTCAGAGTGGCGAGGACAGGTCACCCGTCTGAAGTCTAAACAGAGACTGCTGGCAAAGGAGATGCCCACCTTCATTTCTTGCTAGCACCTGAATCCCTGCAGCCCCCCTTCACTTGAAAGCTGGGGAAGGGCGGGCAGGGAAGCACTCCCCCACTAGCCGCCGTCTCAGAAAGACAAACAAGGCCAGGCGCGGTGGCTCATGCCTATAATCCCAGCACTTTGGGAGGCCAAGGCGGGTGGATCACCCGAAGTCAGGAGTTCAAGACCAGCCTGGCCAACATGGTGAAACCCCGTAGCTACTAAAAATACAAAACTTAGCTGGGCATGGTGGCAGGCGCCTGTAATCTGAGAGGAGCCTGCGATCTGAGAGGAGCAGCGTTTGACCGGAATATCCGACTCGTGACCATCTGTGTGCTCTCATCCCCTTGCTTTGGAGTTTGTTTTCCTTGCGTTAGTTGGCCTTCCTGAGCCATGAGCTGAGGAGCAACAGAGGCACGGCTGACTGTGCAGCACATTTTAGGAGCCCCCCGCCCCGCCCGGTTCCCACACATGCTGGTGGAGTAGCCTCTCCAGCTCTTCACACTCCGGGGGCCCCTGGGAGTCAGCAGCTGCCTGGGGCTGGCAATGCCCACCCGACGGGTTACCTCTCTCATCTGCCCTTGCACAGGGGGCAGAACTGCTTCGGGACCCGTCCCTGGGGGCTCAGTTTCGGGTGCACCTGGTGAAGATGGTCATTCTGACAGAGCCTGAGGTAGGCATGGAGCTGGAACTCAGCACACCATACAGAGCGGGAAGCCCAAGTCATCGCATCTCCATCCTCTTTAACCTCTTGTCCCGGATGCCCCAAGCAGCATGGATCACAGAATGCATTCAGCCAGACAGACCAGCTGCCCTCCCAGCTCTACCCAGCACTCAGCACAGGCTGCCTGACTACTTCTCTGAGCCTCAGTTGTCTCATCCCTAACACGGGCTAGTCATAGGGTTGTTAGGAGGACTAACTGGGAAACAAACCGACCGCAGTCAGCACCGTGCCTGGTTGGGGTGTCCTAAATGCAGGCTTTGCTGTGGGTCCGCAGGGTGCTCCAAATATCACAGCCAACCTCACCTCGTCCCTGCTGAGCGTCTGTGGGTGGAGCCAGACCATCAACCCTGAGGACGACACGGATCCTGGCCATGCTGACCTGGTCCTCTATATCACTAGGTAGCCGAGCTTTCTGATGGGTGCTGGCCAGCCAGCCTGGGAAGGCTGCTCCCTCAGCCTCCTGCCCTCTGCAAAGGTGACCCCAGGGCAGGCACGTGCCTTGGCACCACCCAAGTGACTGTTTTCTCTCACCGAGGTTTGACCTGGAGTTGCCTGATGGTAACCGGCAGGTGCGGGGCGTCACCCAGCTGGGCGGTGCCTGCTCCCCAACCTGGAGCTGCCTCATTACCGAGGACACTGGCTTCGACCTGGGAGTCACCATTGCCCATGAGATTGGGCACAGGTATGTAGCCCCACCAGCTGTCCCCAGGATCTGGCAAGGAGCTGACCTGGGTACCCAGGGTGGAGGTGGTCTTGGCAAGCAGTGGGTCCTTGTAGAGTTTCTCCAGAGGAGCCTGTACCCCTCACCCCGACAGACTCAGGTGTGAGGACAGGGGAACCTGATACTGTTTGATTAAAAGAACTTTTTTTCCAAAAGACGAGCAAGACACCTTTAGCAGGTAGAAAATAACTTCTGTAGAAAATTCAGGTAAAGAAAGAGCAGGCTGTAAAAATTATCTCAAATCCCACCATTTAGAGATAATGTCTCTTCACATTTTGTATTTAATTTCAGTCTTTTCTTTACATACACACACATATTTCTTATTTGCAAAATTGGGATTTAGTTTGGATCCCTGAAAAAAAGGAAAATTGTGATTATGCTGTGCATTGCTTTGTTACCTGCTATTTCTTTTTCTTTTCTTTTCTTTTTTTTTTTTGAGATGAAGTTTCGCTCTTGTTGCCCAGGCTGGAGGGCAATGACGTGATCTCAGCTCATTGCAACCTCCACCTCCTGGGTGCAAGTGATTCTCCCACCTCAGCCTCCCAAGTAGCTGGGATTACAGGCATGTGCCACCACGCCCAGCTAATTTTGTATTTTTAGTAGAGACAGGGTTTCTCCATGTTGGTCAGGCTGGTCTCGAACTCCCAACCTCAGGTGATCCACCTGCCTCGGTCTCCCACAGTGCTGGGATTACAGGCGTGAGCCACTGCATCCAGCCTTTCTTTTTTCTTCCTAGGGTAAGTGCAGGATTTACCTGTTCTTTATGTAATAATATATCCCAAACATTATCCCAGGTATCTTAGAGGTGTGCACCGTAATTTATTTAATCAGTCCCCTCTTCTTGGATGTCTAGGTTGTCTGAACACGTCTTCCTGTTGTGAATGTTATGCATTCTTGTGGGCAAACCTTCACTCTTACCTATAACCATTTACCTAGAGTGATGGGTTTCTTTTCATTTCTTTAGTTTTTTAAGTATGAAAATAATACCCAATTGTTGTAAAAATTCAAACAGTGCAGAGATTTCTAAAGTAAAAAGTGAATTTCCACATTCCTTGCCCACCAACCCCCACCCGACCCCTTTCAACCCCTCTGAGCCTGGGAGGGTTGAGGCAGGGTTCCTGGGTGTGGGACAAGGCAGGGCTCCTTCTCCCTCAGAGGGAGCATAGTTCCCTTCTGCTCCTGTGATGCAGAAGACGTGAGCCCCCAAACTGGGGCTTAGCCTGGGAGGGTTCTTGGCTTCACCGAGGAAAGAATTCAAGAGGGAGCAGGTGGTGTTAGACAGCAACTTTGATTGATGTGGCAGTGGGCAGAGTGTACAGCCCTGTGACTGTATACAGCACAGCATAGCCCCTTTTGAAGCCAGGCTACCCCATAGACACTGTGCCCAAAAGAGCAGCTCAAAGGCAGGGCTGCAGTCCTAGTTAATACCCACTTCTAATTATATGCAAATTAAGGGGCCAGATTATGCAGAAATTTCTAGAAAAAGGGCAGTAACTTCTAGGTTTTCGTCATGGAAAAGGGGCAGTAACTTCTGGGTTTTGCCATGGCAATGGCAAACTGGTATGGCACACTGGTGGGCGTGTCTTATGGAAAGGGGCTTCCCACCCCTCCCTGTTTTAGCTAGTCCTCTGGTCCAGTGTCCAAGCGGGGCCTCCAGAGTGGAGTCCACCTCCTACCTCACCGGTGCCTGGCCTCTCCCACCCCATTAGGAGTCCTCCATCAGTTCCGCTTTGGGTAAAGCAAGCTCTGTTGTGACAGTTTGGAAACGGTTCACCTTCCTGGCCTAGGAATGCAAACAATGGCCAAGGGCAAGCACGTTTTAACTGAACTTTAAAATCGTGCTTTCCTCACAGTAGGTGAATTTCACGCTCAACACATCCATGTAAACAGTCCCCAGAGCAGCCCTTCAAGGCCCCGGCCAGTCCCCACCTCCCCACAGACTCCTAACACCATGATTTAATGTGGCTTGCACATTTTTAAAGGCTTTTGATATTTATTAGCAAAAGATGCGAGAGCCACCCTGCTGGGCTAGCGCTCCCTTCTGGGGGAAACTGAGGCAGGGCGCACGCGACCCTCTCCACTGCGCCCAGTTAGCAGATGGCGGCGTCAGGGGTCGACCCGGGTCGGAAAACTCGCTGGCGCTGCGGCACTAGGGCGCCGGGCCGCTGACTCGCCGACCCCCGTCCCGCCCCCACCCCCGCCCCCGCCCCTGCCGGCCGCCTTAGCGCAACTCCCCGCCCCCCGACCAGCTTCGGCCTGGAGCACGACGGCGCGCCCGGCAGCGGCTGCGGCCCCAGCGGACACGTGATGGCTTCGGACGGCGCCGCGCCCCGCGCCGGCCTCGCCTGGTCCCCCTGCAGCCGCCGGCAGCTGCTGAGCCTGCTCAGGTAGCGGCCGCCCCGTGGGAGGGGCGCGCGAGCCTCCAGCCAGCCCGCTGGGCCGCCAGCGCCACCTCTCTCTACGTCCGTCCCCACTCCGCATTCAGCCCTCCTTCCTGTCCCACCCCTCCGTCCAACCCACCCCTCCGTCCAACCCCGCGCCCACCGCTCCGTCCGTGGAGGGGCGGGCGCGCGAGCCTCCAGCCAGCCCGCTGGGCCGCCCGCGCCACCCCTCCCTACGTCCGTCCCCACCTCTCCCTACGTCCGTCCCCACTCCGCATTCAGCCCTCCTTCCTGTCCTACCTCTCCATCCTGACCCACTCCTCCGTCCAACCCCGCGCCCACAGCTCCGTCCCATCCCGCTGCGCCCACTCCTGCGCCCACCCCTCCGTCCCAACCCCTGCACCCACCCCCCCGTCCCACCCACCTGCCCCACCCCCTGCACCTCCCCCCGTGCTGTCCCACTCTGCGGCCACCCTTCTGTCCAACCCCTGCGCCCACCGCTCCGTTCCACCCCCTCCCTGCGCCCACCCCTGCGTCCTCCCTCGCCCCCTTGCGCCCACACTTTCGTTCCAGCCAATCTGGGCACGCACCCCTCCGTCCATCCCCATCCCGCCCCTTGACTCCACATACACTCCCTGGTTCTCTCCCACTTGCCTACACCCACCCCTGCATCCTACCCTCCTCCATCCACCCCTCCATCTCAGCCCCCTGCACCCACCCCGTTCCTGGGCCCACCCTGTTCCTGCACCCACCCCCTCACTTCACCCCCTTACCCTTCGTCTGCCTCCACCCGCCCCTACCCCTCCGTCCACTCTCCACGCTCCATCAGTCCCACACCCCTATCTCCCCCACCCGCGTACATGTATCCCTGCGTCCCCTTCCCGCCGACCGCACCGCTCCCGGGCCTAACCTGCATCTGCTCCATCCCACTCAGACCCGTCCCTCCGTCGCCGCTCCCTCTGCTGGCCACCCACCTCTGCGCCGGCAGGAGCCTTAGTCTTGGTCCCAGCCAAGAGCCGGCTCCTGGTGGGGGGCGCGGGCCGAGAACTCCTGTTCCCACTCACAAAAGGCCACGCTTCCAAACGCTTCCATCCTCGTGCCCACTCCTCCGTCCCGCCTCCTCCCGGTGTACACCCCGGGACTGAGCCGGGCCTGAGCCGGGCCTTGTCGCAGCGCAGGACGGGCGCGCTGCGTGTGGGACCCGCCGCGGCCTCAACCCGGGTCCGCGGGGCACCCGCCGGATGCGCAGCCTGGCCTCTACTACAGCGCCAACGAGCAGTGCCGCGTGGCCTTCGGCCCCAAGGCTGTCGCCTGCACCTTCGCCAGGGAGCACCTGGTGAGTCTGCCGGCGGTGGCCTGGGATTGGCTGTGAGGTCCCTCCGCATCACCCAGCTCACGTCCCCCAAAACGTGCATGGTGAGAACCTGCTGGGTGCCGTGCTAGGCTGAGGTACTAAGCCAGGGCGGCTTAGTTTAATGCTGTCTGTGCCCTCTAGAAATTATTTAAAATGTTTGAACAAAAGCTCCAACATTTTTGTTTGACTGGGCCCCACAAATTATGTAGCTAGTCCTGGGAGGGCCCCTGTGCCCAAGGACTCCTGGCTGAGTGAGGACACCAATCTTAAACAGTTACCAAGGACTTCCCCATCTATTGTGGCTGGAGTCAGACTGGAGGGCTTCCTGGAGGAAGTGGCCTCTAAACTGAACCCACAGCAGAAGTGGGGCTGGTAGGGGGAGGGGAGATGAAGGAGAGCAGGCACCCCAAAAGACAGACTTCCTCGCAGGATTGCATAGGACATTCATGGGCTCCAGGCACTTTTGCCTTGATGGGCCCCTTCCTCCACAAAAAAATTGAGAATTATGTTTTAATATTCTTATACAATGTATAAAGTTTTATGTGTTACTATAAATACAAGTCTTTTTTTTTCCTATTTTTTTTTTTTTTTGAGACAGAGTCTCCCTCTCTGCTCACTGCAGGCTCCGCCTGCCAGATTCACACCATTCTCCTGCCTCAGCCTCCCGAGTAGCTGGGACTACAGGCGCCCGCCACCACGCCTGGCTAATTTTTTGTATTTTTAGTAGAGACGGGGTTTCACTGTGTTAGCCAGGATGGTCTCGATCTCCTGACCTCGTGATCCGCCCGCCCTGGCCTCACAAAGTGCTGGGATTACAGGCATGAGCCACAGCGCCCCGCCAAGTCTTTTTTTTTAAATTCTTTTGAGACAGGGCCTCGTTCTGTTGCCCAGGGTGGAGTGCAGTAGCACAATCATAGCTCACTGTTGCCTCAACTTCTTGGGCACAAACGATCCTCCCACCTCGGCCTTGGAGTAGCTGGGACTACAGGCACATGCCACAATGCCCAGCTAATTTTTAAATTTTTTGTAGAGATGGGGTCTCCCTTTGTTACCCAGGCTTGTCTAGGACTCCTGGCTTCAAGCCATCCTCCCACCTTGGCGTCCCAAAGCACTGGGATTACAGACATGAGCCACCACCCACGCCTGATCAGCAAATCTATTAATATTATATATTACAACATTAATTTTGACCTGGAAGTTCATTTTTTCATTTTTTTTTTTTTTTGAGACAGAGTCTCACTCTGTCACCCAGGCTGGAGTGCAGTGGCACAATCTTGGCTTACTGCAACCTCCGCCTCCCAGGTTCAAGTGATTCCCGGGCCTACGCCTCCCGAGTAGCTGGGACTACAGGCATGTGCCACCATGCCCAGCTAAGTTTTGTATTTTTTAGTAGAGACAGGGTTTCATCATGTTGGCCGGGCTGGTCTCGAATTCTGACCTCAGGTGATCCGCCCGCCTTGGCCTCCCAAAGTGCTGGGATTACAGGATAAGCCACCACACCCAGCCTAGTTCATTTTTTTCTTCTGATTTTATTTTATTTATTTATTTATTTTGAGACGGAGTCTCGCTCTGTCACCCAGGCTGGAATGCAGTGGCTCAATCTTGGCTCACTGCAAGCTCTGCCTTCAGGGTTCAAGCCATTCTCCTGCATCAGCCTCCCGAATAGCTGGGACTACAGGTGCCTGCCACCACACCCGGCTAATTTTTTGTATTTTTAGTAGAGATGGGGTTTCACTGTGTTAGCCAGGATGGTCTCGCTCTCCTGACCTCGTGATTTGCCCGCCTCGGCCTTCCAAATTGCTGGGATTACAGGCGTGAGCCACAGTGCCCGGCCTTTTTCCTTCTGATTTTAAAAGAAATTAGGCCAGGTGTGGTGGCTCACGCCTGTAATCCCAGCACTTTGGGAAGCCAAGGCAGGCGGATCACCTGAGGTCGGGAGTTTGAGACCAGCCTGACCAACATGGAGAAATGCCATCTGTGCTAAAAATACAAAAAATTAGCCGGGCGTGGTGGCGCATGCCTGTAATCCCAGCTACTCGGAAGGCTGAGGTAGGAGAATTGCTTGAACCCAGGAGGCAGAGGTTGAGGTGAGCCAAGATCGCGCCATTGCCCTCCAGCCTGGGCAACAAGAGCGAAACTGTCTCAAAAAAAAACAAGAAAGAAAAATAAATTAAAACATTTGCCTCTTGAGCTTCAAGTCAGTGACAAGTTAAGAAGGAAAAAAAGAAAAAAGACACAAAAAACACATTTCCATGGGCCCCCAAAAGTGTGACAGGACCTGGTCATGGTCCCGGTTCCCCATCGATGGGTCAGTCATGCCTTGTCCTCTGAGGGCACCAGTGCCCACGGTGCAGAGTGTTGGCTGTGTCAGTGTGTCCTGCAGTCTGGGAGGGACAGTTAAGGTTGGACACTGGCCTGGAAGGCCCTGGTGGCCCCTGAGCTCGCCACCCACCTGTCCACCCTCCTAGGATATGTGCCAGGCCCTCTCCTGCCACACAGACCCGCTGGACCAAAGCAGCTGCAGCCGCCTCCTCGTTCCTCTCCTGGATGGGACAGAATGTGGCGTGGAGAAGGTCAGAGCCAAGAGTGAATGAGTGGGCTCCTGTGAGCACGTGCACGTGGGTGCCTCCAGCCAGGCCGCCCTATTCCTAGGTCAGGAGGCAGGACCAGTATGGGGCAGAGAGTCTTGGAGTTGGCCTTGGGGACTGTCCTTTGGGTTGGTGGTCTGACCTCTTTCCTTTAGCATTTGCTCCCATGCAGAATGGGAATGTGGGCTGCCTGTTGTATGGGGGGTGCCCATGGGTGTGGGGTTCCTTTGGGTGGGGTCCCTGTGTGAAGGTCCTTGTGGATATGGGGTGTCTCGGGGGGGATCCCTGTGTAAGGGGTCCCTGTGAGTGTAGAGTCCCTGTGGGTGGGGTCCTTATGTGTGTGTTGGAGGATCCCTGTGTGTTGAGGGGTCCCTGGGGGGTTCTGTGTGTATGTTGGGGGGTCTCTGGGTGTTGGAGGATCCCTGTGGGTCTGGGGGATCCATGTGGCTGGGGTACCTGTGTGTTGGGGGGTCTCTGTGTGTGTTGGAGATCCCTGTGTGTTGGGGGATCCCTATGGGTGAGTTCCTTGTGTGTGTTTGGGGGTCGCTGTGGGTGGGGTCCCTGTGTGTGTTGGGGATCCCTGAGGATGTTGGGGGACTCTCTGTGTGTGTTGGGAGTCCTGTGGTGGGGTCACTGTGGGATGGGAGATGAAGCCATCCTTGCCTTGCAGTGGTGCTCCAAGGGTCGCTGCCGCTCCCTGGTGGAGCTGACCCCCATAGCAGCAGTGCATGGGCGCTGGTCTAGCTGGGGTCCCCGAAGTCCTTGCTCCCGCTCCTGCGGAGGAGGTGTGGTCACCAGGAGGCGGCAGTGCAACAACCCCAGGTACCGCAGGGAGGGTGCTTTTCTGTCAGGGAGTGTGGCCATACCATAGTCCCTAGTTGAAGGCAGTGGTCACCCTGCTCTCTCACCCTCCTGTCTGCTGGGCATTTTCAGACCTGCCTTTGGGGGGCGTGCATGTGTTGGTGCTGACCTCCAGGCCGAGATGTGCAACACTCAGGTAGGCCTGCTTCCTGGGGTAGGAGGGGGCAGCTGGTGGCACCGGGCCCTGGGGGAGCCAAAGTGACCATCTGTGGTTCACACCAGGACACATTTGAGAAGGACATTGGGGCCAGGTGAGGTGGCTTATGCCTGTAATCCCAGCACTTTGGGAGGCCAAGGCAGGTGGATCACCTGAGGTCAGGGGTTCAAGACCAGCCTGGCCAACATGGTGAAATCTCGTCTCTACAGAAAATACAAAAATTAGCCGGGCGTGGTGGTGGGCGCCTGTAGTCCCAGCTACTCGGGAAGCTGAGGCAGGAGAATCACTTGAACCCAGGAGGTAGAGCTTGCAGTGAGCCGAGATTGGGCCATTGCACTCCAGCCTGGGCGACAGAGTGAGACTCTGTCTCAAAAAAAAAATAAAAATTAAAAAAGAGAGAGAAGGACATTGGGACCCCAGTTCATAAACCAGGCCAGTCCTGCTGATGCCCACAGAGCCCCTGAAGCGTCCCGCCTCCCTCCCTGAGTGCCACTTTGCCCTCCAGAGCGCATCTCTGCAGGGAGAACCTCCCCACTAGGAATACAGTGCGCTGCTGCATGCCTGCAAAGGAATTTTTTAAATATTATTTTTATTTTTTTAGACAGAGTCTCTCCCTGTCACCCAGACTGGAGTGCAGTGGTGCTATCTCAGCTCACTGCAACCTCTGCCTCCCAGGTTCAAGCGATTCTCCTGCCTCAGTCTCCTGAGTAGCTGGGACTACAGGTGCCCGCCACCACGCCCGGCTAATTTTTTGTATTTTTAGTAGAGGAGGGGTTTCACCGTGTTAGCCAGGATGGCCTTGATCTCCTGACCTCGTGATCCGCCTGCCTCGGCCTCCCAAAGTGCTGGGATTACAGGTGTCACTGCGCCTGGCCGAAGGAGTCTTTTATTTATAAATTGAGGTGACATTCATGTAGCATGAAATCAAGCATTTTAAAGTGGCAACTCAGTGGCCTTTAGTACACTCACAAGGTTGGGCAAGTACTGCCTCTGTCTAGTTTCAGAACGTTTCCAGTACTCTGGAGTACTCTGGAGTGAACCCCATATGGTAGGCTGTCACTCCCCATTTCTCCTCCGCCACTCAGCGGCCATTGGTTTCCCTTCTGTCTCTGTGGATTGACCTGTTCTAGACATGCCACGTACCTGAGGCCAGACAACAGGTGTGCTTCCTGCCTGCCTTCCTCCCCCAGCGGCACGTCCCCAAGGCTCACCTGTGTTGTAGCCTGTGTCAGCGCCTCATTCCTCTTTCTGGCTGAATCATATTCCACTGCAGGGATAGACCACATTTTCATCCAGTCGTCTGCTGATGGACATCTGAGGTGTTTTCACCTTTTGGCTCCTGTGAACAGAGCCGCTGCGAATGTGCTTGTACATGTTTGAATCCCTGTTTTCAATTCTTTTGGCAGTATGCTGAAGAGCGGAGTTACTGGATCGTATGGGAATTGTATGTTTGACTTTTTTTTTTCTTTTTTTTTTTTTTGAGACAGAGTCTTGCTCTGTCGCCAGGCTGGAGTGCAGTGGTGCAATCTCAGCTCCCTGCAACCTTCGCCTCCTGGGTTCAAGCGATTCCCCTGCCTCACCTTCCGGAGTAGCTGGGATTACAGGCACGCGCCACCATGCCTGGCTAATTTTTTGTATTTTTAGTAGAGATGGAGTTTCCACCACGTCAGCCAGGATGGTCTGGATCTCCTGACCTCAGGTGATCTGCCCGCCTTGGCCTCCCAAACTGTTGGGATTACAGGCATGAGCCACCGCTCCCGGCCTATGTTTGACTTTTTTTTTTTCTTATTTTTTTCTTTCTTTCTTTATTTTTTTTTTTTTAGAGATGGAGTCTCGCTCTGTCGCCCAAGCTGGAGTGCGGTGGCGCGATCTCGGCTCACTCTAAGCTCCGCCTCCCAGGTTCACCCCATTCTCCTGCCTCAGCTTCCCGAATAGCTGGGACTACAGACGCCCGCCACCACGCCCGGCTAATTTTTTTTTGTATTTTTAGTAGAGGCGGGGTTTCACCATGTTAGCCGGGATGGTCTTGATCTCCTGACCTCGTGATCTGCCTGCCTCGGCCTCCCAAAGGGCTGAGATCACAGGCGTGAGCCACCGCGCCCAGCATGTTTGGCTTTTAAAGAAACTGCCAAACCGTTTTCCACAGTGCCTGAACTGTTTCACATTCCCACCAGCATTGCGCCAGGGTTCCAGTTTCCCCACATCCGCTGCAGCACTTGCTGTTTTCTGTTGTTGTTTTTTCTTTTCTCTTCTTTTTTTTTTTTTTTTTTTTAATAGAGATGGGGTTTTGTCATGTTGGCCAGGCTGGTCTTGAACTCCGACCCCAGGTGATCCGCCCACCTTAGCCTCCCAAAGTGCTGGGATTACACGCGTGAGCCATGGCGCCCGGCCTGTTTTCTGTTTTTTGATTTTGGCCATCTCGGTGGTATGAAATGGTAGAAAGATTCTTTTTACATTGAGTTAAATTCTATCTCCTGCTTCGATGGCCCTGGGTGTGGGTTTGTCCCTGGCTGTATTACAGTTCTGCATGTGGTGAGACCCTCCCTTTCCTCCTTCTCCAAATGGACCACCAAGACCTCCCCAGACCGTGAGGGGAGGGTCTTTGGCTGGAGCACAGGGTGGTGGGATTTCGTGGAGGCAGTGTGGTCAGTGTGGCTGTCCAGGGAGTCAACTCCGGTTATCTTCTGTCAGCCCATAAAAGTCCAAGACGCCTGCCTGAGTGCAGAGGCTTCGGTGGTGAGGTCTTTGCTCCATGCTTTGGTTACCTGCCTCTAGGTGCACTACCTAAAGAATACACATCCCCGTCCCTGTTTTATTGAGTTCAGGCCTTGGAAGCAGAGGCTCTGAGCGTAATGCTCTTTCCTGGCTTTCTTCTTCGTTGCTGCCCTGTGTTCTTTACGGATTCCCCGGGGTTTTCCCATCAATAGAGAGAGGCAGGCACTTTTGTCACCCCAGTTTACAGAGCAGGGAACCGAGGCACGGCCTGGAGCTGAGGCCACACCCACATCTTGATCCTGTACTGTAGGGTGCCATGTAGTCTCCCAGTGACAACACCCGCCCCCCGCCCCACCGCCATCCCCCTCCTCTGCCTCCTCCTGGCCAGGCCTGCGAGAAGACCCAGCTGGAGTTCATGTCGCAACAGTGCGCCAGGACCGACGGCCAGCCGCTGCGCTCCTCCCCTGGCGGCGCCTCCTTCTACCACTGGGGTGCTGCTGTACCACACAGCCAAGGTGGGGCCTGCGGAGTGTGGGGTTGGGGGAGGAGCCAGCCCTGGAGACCCTCGGACAGGGCAGAGTCATAGGGGGGTTGGCCTACTATCCCTCCAGCACTGGGCAAAGTGGTTCAGGCTCTGGCATCCCACAGACCATGGATGACATAGTGGCCAGGCCTCGCTGGTAGATCAGGCACTGACATCCCATCTCTGAGTCTCAATTTCCCATCTGTGAAATGGAGATAATAGCAGTAGGTCCCTCCCTGGGCGCTACAAGGATTCAGGGAGATAATCGGAAAATGCCAAGTGTGTTCCTTGGTTCATGATACTTTTTTTGTGAGACAGAGTCTTGCTCTGTCGCCCAGGCTGGAGTGCAGGGGCGTAATCTCAGCTCACTGTAACCTCCGCCTCTGGGATTCAAGGGATTCTTGCCCCTCAGCCTCTCGAATAGCTGGGACTACAGGCTTGCACTACCATGCCGGCTAATTTTTTTGTATTTTTAGTAGAGATGGGGTTTCGCCATGTTGGCTAGGCTGGTTTCAAACTCCTGACGTCAGGTGATCCGCCTGCCTCGGCTTCCCAAAGTTCTGGGATTACAGGCATGAACCATTGCGCCCAGCCTTGGTTCCTAATTCAATACCATTAATTATTAGATTAGATTAGGATCGTGATTAGGATTATTGCCTTAGGAGGTGGGATGTGGGGAAGATAGAAACCCTTGCCCCAGATGCAAAGGATGAAGCTGGGTGGGGGCTGGGGGACTTGCCCCTCCTGCTCGGTTCAGGACACCCTTTTTCACTCTGCCCTCCCAGGGGATGCTCTGTGCAGACACATGTGCCGGGCCATTGGCGAGAGCTTCATCATGAAGCGTGGAGACAGCTTCCTCGATGGGACCCGGTGTATGCCAAGTGGCCCCCGGGAGGACGGGACCCTGAGCCTGTGTGTGTCGGGCAGCTGCAGGGTAGGCGTGTGTGGACATTGGCGATGGCCCTGGGGCCTACCTGTCCTATCGGAAGGCTCCTGGGGGCAGGTTGGTGGGTGCTGGCCCTGATGGAGCTGCAGTGCCCTCTGCAGGGGAGTGGTGCTGGGGAAAAGGATCTGGACTTGGAGTCAGCCTGGGTTAAGGGCTGCAGTGTGACCTTGGGCAAGTCACTGAGCCCTCTAAGCTTGCTTCCTGTGTAGATGGTGGGGTGCTATAGAAGTGTTGCTGGTTTTGTGGATCCCAGAATCTCAGAGCTGGCAGGGCTGCAGAGTCATTGAGGCCAGCACCCTCCAGTGACACGGGCCCTCTGTCCTTCCCTTTGCATAGACATTTGGCTGTGATGGTAGGATGGACTCCCAGCAGGTATGGGACAGGTGCCAGGTGTGTGGTGGGGACAACAGCACGTGCAGCCCACGGAAGGGCTCTTTCACAGCTGGCAGAGCGAGAGGTAGGCGGCCTCCCTCGGGGCAGAGGCTGGGCTTCCCCCAGCCTCCAAGATGGCCACAGCCCAGAGCGTTGGTGCAGGGGCTGCTCAGGTCACAGGGCCTGCACACTCACTCAGCCCTGGATGCCTCCTGTGGTGTCAGCGTCTCCCTCTTCCACTTCGCCACCCTTCTGTGGCAGGCTCAGGTTTTGGCCTTGATGCTGCTGGGACTGTGGTGCCTCAGTAATGGTCACTCACTGTAGCCGTGCTGCAAAAAAAACACAGACATTGGCCGGGCGCTGTGCTCACGCCTGTACTCCCGGCACTTTGGGAGGCTGAGGCGGGTGGATCACCTGTAGTCGGGAGATCACCTACAGCCTGGCCAGTATGGTGAAACCCCATCTCTACTAAAAATACAAAAATTAGCTGGGCATGATGGCGGGCGCCTGTAGTCCTAGCTACTCAGGAGGCTGAGGCAGGAGAATTGCTTGAACCCAGGAGGCAGAGGTTGCAGTGAGCCGAGATCCCTCTGCACTCCAGCCCGGGCAACAGAGTGAGACACTGTCTCAAAAAAAAAAAAAAAAAAGTATGGACGTTGTGCATTCTGTGGCAGCTACCCTCTTCTCTCCTGCTCAAGAAATCCCACTGAGAGGGACACAAGTGAATGAGAGGGTTGGTAGTTACATTTGGAAAATCTTTGACTTTGGTGTATATATGAGGTCAAAAACCATTTGCAAATGCCAGTGCTTCTATGGAGAGCAGAGACTTGAGCCCTGCCTCCCTCTGGCTTGCCCCACTGTGCTGGAGAACCTTGGACCCGGTCCCTTCTCCCAGCCAGGGCAGAGCCTTGGCAGGTGGTCCTCCAGCCTGCTTTTAATTGCCCCCATGACAGGGGACTCACTGCTGCTGGAGCCAGCCCCATGGCATTGTTCAATTTTTCCCGACCAGCTAAGATCAGCTCCCTTTGTCTGTGGTGTGGTGGCTGTGAGGTCCACGCATCTCTCCTTCTTTTCTTCTTTCTAGAATATGTCACGTTTCTGACAGTTACCCCCAACCTGACCAGTGTCTACATTGCCAACCACAGGCCTCTCTTCACACACTTGGGTGAGTTGACTGGAGGACTCCCACCCAGTTAGCTAGACTGCAAAGGTGCAGAGCACTGTTGCCAAGATGCCCTCACTTCTGACATCACCCGCAAGTTCAGGGGGTTCCCCAAACCACCCTCAGGCTTGATAGTTGACTAGGAAGACTCCCAGAGCTCACTGAGAGCTGTGGCACATGGCTGCGGCTCCTTCCAGAAGAACACAGGTTAGAATTGTCCAAGGGAAGAGATGTAGGCAGAGTCTGGGAGGGTCCAACCAGGAGGCCTGATGTCTCAGGGATGTGACACCCTTCTAGCATTGGAGCGTGGCCATACGCATGGAGTATTGCCCACACAGAAAGCCCACTGAGTGGGAGTTGAGAGTTTTTCCTGGGGTTTGAGTGCAAAGACATGATTGACTAATTGGCCAGGTGGATACTCTCAGTCTCTTGGTGACCCAGCCCCTATCCTAAATCACATAGTTGGTCTTTCTGGTACAGCCAGCCCCTGCCCTAAAGGAGGACACTTCTGCCTGGTGTGACCCGTGTTTCCTCTTGGAAGCCAACAGCAAAAGCTGGACTTCTCTTTGGGCAAGGCCCGCTTCTTTGCTATTGAGGGCCACAGTGGGTCTTTCTGGAGTGTGTCTGCACCTAACCTTTGAAGCCTTGGTTGCCGGCACTTGCCATGGGGTCCCTGAGCCCTGAGCCTGTTGAGTTCTGTGCGTGAGTGCACTTGGTCATAGCACTCACCAGGTTGTGGAAAGAGGCCTAGAGCCTCCGCTGTGGGGAAGCCTCTAGCTCAGATGCCTGTGGCTCCTTAGAGGAGGGCTGGGGACCCCGGGAAGGAGAGTCACTGACATGTGCCTGTGAGGAGGATGGGTGCTCAGCTCCACACAGCTAACAGGGCTGGTTCCCCGACAGCGGTGAGGATCGGAGGGCGCTATGTCGTGGCTGGGAAGATGAGCATCTCCCCTAACACCACCTACCCCTCCCTCCTGGAGGATGGTCGTGTCGAGTACAGAGTGGCCCTCACCGAGGACCGGCTGCCCCGCCTGGAGGAGATCCGCATCTGGGGACCCCTCCAGGAAGATGCTGACATCCAGGTCAGCAGGAGAGCCTGGGGGAGGCCAGTGGGGGCTTCTTCTTGGGGGCTATGGCTGCTTGCTCGTTTGTCTATCCATCCATTCCCTGATTCGTTCATTTATTCATTCAGCGGTCACTTACAGGGGACCCACTATGTGTTGGGCCCTGTGCTAGGCAAAATGTAGCTAGCTCCTCCAGGGGCTTAGGGTCCCACAAATATCCAAATGTGCCTGTGCCCAGAGCCCGTGGGAGAAGGCCCTGCAGTTCTGGGATCAGGTAAGGTTGGAGGGCCCAATGCAGGGGTCCAGGGCTCCCTGGGAAAGAGTGATGGAGCTGAGGTGTCAGATGAGCAGATGTTGCTGGGCCAAGCAGGGAAGGAAGCGTATGGCTGAGGGAACAGTGTCAGTGTGGGAGGGATGAAGGAAGGTCCTACTGTGTGGGTTTGTGGGGAGATGAAGGCATGGACGCAGGTGCAGTGGCATCTGGGGAGTAGGCCTTGGTGCTGAGGAAGCTGAGAACAGATGCTGGCTCTCACTGCTTCTTTGGTGCAGTGTGTGTGGGAACCGGAAGGCCTTGTTCAGGCGTGTCCTCAGTGACGTGTGCTCGCCCATGTATGTCCCCATTGGTGCTTCGCTGAGGAAGGCACGTGGAGGGTGGAGAGACATAAGCGCAGGCTGAAACAGACCTGAGAACCTTGGGAGAGGGGCCCAGTCTCAGCGGCCGGAGCAGCGTCCTCTGCCCCTACAGCAGCCAGAGACAGGAGGGCCTCCCACAGATCAGGCCAGGCCGGGCCAAAGCAAGCCCCTGTGAGCGGCTTATCCCTTCTCTTCCCCTGATATGGTTCCCTTCCTCCCCTCCCCTTGCCTGGGACATTGTATCCAGATGCTAGCTGCCGAGTGGCTCTCCCATCATCCTCTGCAGTGTGTAAAAAAGCAGATTCCCGGGTCCTCTGCATATTCCCTGAATCAGGACTTCCCTGTGTTGGGCCTGAGAAACCGCACCGTAACCAACACAGGCTTGCGGCACTGGCCAGATGTGGGCATCGAGGGGGCAGGTGCGGAATGTCACCTCGCCCTGGGCTCTGGCCTCCAGGCTGGCCTCTTTCTTGGGCTGGTCTTGGGCACAGGACCCAGTTACCCTCCTGAAGAGCCTTAGGCCCAGGAACCTGCTGAAGTTCTTCCTAGTGCTCTCCGGGCCAGTCCCAAGCCAGTAGCTGGCCACAGGTCCCCAGGGATCCAGTTTCTTCCTGCCGACCCTACCACAGGTCCCCAGGGATCCAGTTTCTTCCTGCCGACCCTACGGGCCTCAGCTCTGGCTCCAGAAGCACTTTCTGTGCTGGCCCTGCCCTAGCCCTTCTTGGGCTCCTTAGCCCAGCCTAAGGTGGGCCTGCCTCCTCCACTGCACTTTATCCTCTACCCAGCCAGCTTAGGGAACCTTCTCTGTGCTGCCCAAATACCCTATCATGTAACCCACCAATGACTTGGTAATTACCTCCCCGAGCCCTCTATCCCAACCCACTGAGAGCTCCTTGCAGCTCAGCCAGTGTCCTGTGCACTGTGCTATCCCCAGAGCCTGGTACAGGTCAGTGTTGGTGATTGCTTCCCGTTATTTTTGTCTTTGTTGTTTTTTTAGAGAGGGTCTCACTGTTGGCCAGGCTGGAGTGCTATGTTGCCCAGGCTGCTCTGAAACTCCTGGGCTCAAGTGATCTGCCTGCCTCAGGCTCCCAAAGTTTTGGGTTTACAGGCATGAGCTACCGTGCCTGGCCAGTGATTGCTTGCTGAACGAAAGATTATAGGGATGCAAGAAGAAGTTGGAAGGCTTCCCAGGGGAGGTGGCCATGACAGTGACCCTCAGGGAACCCACTGGACAAGGCCTGAAGCTCTTTGTCTGCAGGTTTACAGGCGGTATGGCGAGGAGTATGGCAACCTCACCCGCCCAGACATCACCTTCACCTACTTCCAGCCTAAGCCACGGCAGGCCTGGGTGTGGGCCGCTGTGCGTGGGCCCTGCTCGGTGAGCTGTGGGGCAGGTGAGACCTGGGGAAGGCTCATCCACAGCACGGCTTGCCCCTGCAGGGAGGCGGCCTAGCCCTCCCTCTTCCCTCCCAGGGCTGCGCTGGGTAAACTACAGCTGCCTGGACCAGGCCAGGAAGGAGTTGGTGGAGACTGTCCAGTGCCAAGGGAGCCAGCAGCCACCAGCGTGGCCAGAGGCCTGCGTGCTCGAACCCTGCCCTCCCTAGTGAGTGTGGTGCTGTCTGCGCAGCTCCAAGGGGGAGAGAGGGTTCCGCTGGGGCTGCTGGGCTCTGTCCCTGGCCTATGGGGCCCATGTGGCAGGGCCGGGCTGAGCTGCTCCTGTGCAGGCTCTCATTACCCCTGCCCACAGCCCTGCAAGGGGGGCTCTGTGAGTGCCCCCATTCTGCAGGTGAGGACACTGAGGCTTGGGGCAGACATGGTGACAATGTCAGCCCAGTGGGACCCACACCTGCTGCCACCTTGTCTGGGCCACCGAGGCCTCTCTTGAGCTCAGGTACTCATGGTGAGATGGAGGTGATTGCCTACCTGGAGGGTTGTAGGGAGACTTGCGGAGCTCCTGGTGCAAAGCCCCTGGCTGTCACCACACCTGACGGGGCACACTGTTAGGGACGAGGCCATTCCTGCTGGGTGCAGGACAGGGCAGCTGCTCACCAGCCTGTGATTCGGTTGTCCTCAGGCTCAGCCGTCTGGCAGCCTGGGAACACCTGGAGAGGCTAGGCTGGCCGTAGTGCCCATTGCTTGTCCCAGACCGGGGGAGTACATCAGCACCTGCCACCCCATCACCCCAGGCCAGCCTGGGACCTGGCCAGGGTCCCGACGCTCTGTCTCCTTCCTCAGCTGGGCGGTGGGAGACTTCGGCCCATGCAGCGCCTCCTGTGGGGGTGGCCTGCGGGAGCGGCCAGTGCGCTGCGTGGAGGCCCAGGGCAGCCTCCTGAAGACATTGCCCCCAGCCCGGTGCAGAGCAGGGGCCCAGCAGCCAGCTGTGGCGCTGGAAACCTGCAACCCCCAGCCCTGCCCTGCCAGGTGAGCCCAGGGCTAGGTGGGGCTGGGAGAGGGCCTTCCTGGCAGAGCTCGTCCCTGCGCTGAGCCCCCATCCTTCTGAGAATCCCCTCCTCCTGAGGCCTCCGGCGGGGCCTCACCATCCAGGGTGATGGGCAGTGTCACCTGGCGGTTGTAAGTGCTGCTGTCAGAGTTCCTTACTACCCAGGAGAGCCTGGGCCCATTGTTTCCCTCTCTGAGCTTCCGAGCCCCTGCTCTGAAATGGGGATGCCGACCTGCCTGGGGAGGGGGGGCTTCGAGGATGAGGTCAAACTGAACGGAGTGGGAGATGTCACTTTCTCATCACCACCATCTCCCCCGTGCCCACGTGGCTGCATCTCATCCCCTCAGTGTCCAAGTTGACAGTGGCTTATCATCCTGCCCTGCCACTAACGAGCTGAGTGACAGGGCAAGTCCCCTCCTCTGTGGGCTTCAGTTTTGCGACCTGTCCGGTGGGAGGGGATTGGTCTGGATTGTTGGTGGCCCACTCATAGCTCTGGACTCCTTTCCCCGCCTCGTCATCCGTGGCAGACAAAACAGTCACCACTCTTCCCCGCTGAGGCCAGATAGGGCCTCAGAATCCTTCTCACACAGCTCTCCAGGCAGCCACTTTAGCGCAGGGCTGACTCACAGCTGAAACCCATTGGCCACCCTTGAACCTGGTGATCCAATTCCATGTGGCACCTGTTTCTCTGCACCTGCTATGGTGCATGGAGTCAGTGATTACCTGGCTGGAGGTCGGCCTCTGCCTCTGGAGAGTAGGAGGGATGGGTTCTCTTTTTTTTTTTTATTAAAAGACAGAGTCTTGTTCTCTCACCCAGGCTGGTATGCAGTGGCATGATCTTGGCTCACTGCAACCTCCTGCCTCAGCAAGTGTGCGCCACCAAGCCCAACTAATTTTTGTATTTTTTGTAGAAACAGGGTTTTGCCATGTTGCCCAGGCTGGTCTCCAACTCCCGGGCTCAAGCAGTCTGCTCACCTCAGCCTCCTAAAGTGCTGAGCTACCGTGCCTGGCCAGGGATAGGTTCTGTCTCTGCACCCTGGGTGCAGGTGGGGTGCCTGACTGTTGAGCAGCGAGTGCTTGTTGAATGGGAACCTGCTGGCTGATGAATGGGGAACCCGGTGCTTCAGGGAGAGACCCTGAGCTTCACTTCTCTGTGGGGCTCCTCTTTGGGCTCCTGGATGTTGGGGAGCAGGTCCCCTTCCTCCCTGCCCCTAGCAGCTGGGCTATACCTTCCCCTGGGTGGCAGAGGCAGGGCCTGATGACTGTCTCATGCCATCCTCAGGTGGGAGGTGTCAGAGCCCAGCTCATGCACATCAGCTGGTGGAGCAGGCCTGGCCTTGGAGAACGAGACCTGTGTGCCAGGGGCAGATGGCCTGGAGGCTCCAGTGACTGAGGGGCCTGGCTCCGTAGATGAGAAGCTGCCTGCCCCTGAGCCCTGTGTCGGGATGTCATGTCCTCCAGGCTGGGGCCATGTGAGTGCCCTGGGCATGAGGGTGGCTGGGGCTGTTGAGTCCTTTACCTGGCTGGGAGAACGAGGAGCACCCATTGCCACCGTCCTCCAGGCCAGAGCAAGAACACCATCCTTCTGTGGGAATGCTGTCTGAGGGCCACCCCTGCTCAGAAAAGAAGCTTAGAAAGAGGGCTCAGGGCCCCTGGGAAGGCTCCCATTCCCCTTGCAAGCCGGGCTGAGGGAAGCATCTGAGGAGAGTGTAATGCAGCTGCTGTGCAGAGAAATGCTGCCAGGCTCCCGCCTGGCGTCCAGGGGCTGGAGGCTGACTGGCCTTGCTCTCTGGCCTGGGTGCTGGCAACCCTCGCCCCTCATGGCTGGGGGGATTGCAGGGCCAGGCATGCTCCCATGTCCCACTCTTGGTCCCCAGCTCTCGGCCAGGCCCACAGTGAGCACTCATGCTGCTGAGGAGCCTGCAAAGGTGGGGTGTGCAGCAAGGATACCCGCTGCGAGACCGGGGAGCCGATCTCGCCAAGGGAGGAGGGGAGGGAGCCCCTGGTGCACACACGCCACTTCCTGGTCTCTCTGCTGCTGCCTGAGAAGATCGAGACGGGGATCGCTGGGTCCTCAGAGGAGGCCCAGACCCACCAGCTTGTTGCTATTCCCCACAGCTGGATGCCACCTCTGCAGGGGAGAAGGCTCCCTCCCCATGGGGCAGCATCAGGACGGGGGCTCAAGCTGCACACGTGTGGACCCCTGCGGCAGGGTCGTGCTCCGTCTCCTGCGGGCGAGGTGAGGGCCCCCGGGATGCTCCTGGGGACCAGCACTCATGGTAACTCTCCTGTCCACTTGCATCTTGCCTCGTTCTGAAAAGCATTTGAGGTGGATTGCAGAAAATCCAGACTATATGGGAACACGTGGTAATACACAAGGAGACTAAGCATAGTAGCTGACAGCCACTTCAAATGTGGGTGTTGATTGGCTGAAAGGTAGGAAAAGACAATAACGCCCGGCAGTGTGGCACGAGAGCCATTCCTTATGGTCCTAGCAGAGCGGCCGGGGGGTCCCCAATTGATGACCCGAGCAGAGAAACCTTAGCTTTAAGATACACAGCGTTCTTCTATTTTCCCAATCTTGTTTTATTGCAGTATAACACAGATATTATAAAATTTACCATCCAAACTGTTTCTCCCTGTGCAGGTCAGTGGCATAAAAGCACAGTCACATTGTTGTGCGGCCATCACCACCAACCTCTCCAGAACTTTTCCAGTTTCGCAAACTGGAGCTCTGTCCCTGTGAAACACGAACTCCCATTTCCCCCTCCGCAGCCCCTGGCAACCTCCATTCTCCTTTCTGTCTCCAGATTCCACAATTCTAGGGACCTTGTAGAAGTGGAATCATATAGCATTTGCCTTTTTGTTACTAGTTTTCACTCAGCATGATGTCCTCACAGTTCATCCATGTTGTAGCATGTGTGAGTGTTTCCTTCTTAAGGCTGAAAAAGATTCCATTGTGAGTGTATCCTTTACAGGTTTATCCATTTATTCATCAGTGGACACTTGGCTTCCTTCCACACTTTGGCTATTGTGAATAATGCTTCTGTGAACATGGGTGTGCAAATATCTGTTTGAGTTCCTGCTTTCAGTTCTTTTGGGTGTATATCTAGAAGTGTGGTAGCTGGGTAAGATGAGAATTCTATGTTTAATTTTTGTGGAACTGCTGGACTGTTTTCCCCAGTGGCTGCACCATTTTACATTTCCACTAATGGTGCATAAGAGTTCCAATGTCCTCCCATCCTTGCCAACACTTTTTATTTCTATGGTTTTTTTTGTTTTTGTTTTTGTTTTTGAGACAGAGTCTCATTCTGTTGCCGAGGCTGGAGTGCAGTGGCATGATCTTGGCTCATTGTAACCTTCGCCTCCGGGGCTCAAGTGATTCTCGTGCTTCAGCCTCCCGAGTAGCTAGGACTATAGGCGTCTGCCACCATGCCTGGCTAATTTTTTGTTTAGTAGAGATGGGGTTTCACCATGTTGGCCAGGCTGGTCCCAAACTCTTGACCTCAGGTGATCTGCCTGCCTTGGCCTCCCAACGTGCTGGGATTACAGGCGTGAGCCCCCACACCTGGCCTATTTCTGTGTTTTTTTTATAATGGCCATCCTAATGGGCTTGAGAAGACACACCATGTTCTTAAACGAAAACCCTGACCACTTGCTCAGTAAAATGTCAGCCTGTTTAAAACCGAGACCAAAAAGAGATTTCTTTTTCTCTCTTTTCTTTTTTGAGACAAAAAAGAAAACCTCTGTCACCAGGTTGGAGTGTAGTGGCACAATCTTAGCTCACTACAACCTCCACCACCTGGGCTGAAGCCATCCTCCCCCCTCAGCCTCCTGAATAGCTACTATACCCTGCTAATTTTTGTAGTTTTGGCAGAGATGGGATCTCCCTATGTTGCCCAGCCTGATCTCCTGAGCTCAAGCGATCCTTCTGCCTCGGCCTCTCAAAGTGCTGGGATTATAGGCATGAGCCACTGTGCCCAACCAAGAGATTTTTTTTCTTTTTCTTTTTTTTCTTTTTTTTGAGACTAAGAGTTTTCCTCTGTCGCCCAGGCTGAAGTGCAGTGGTGTGATCTTGGCTCACTGCAACCTCCGCCTCCCATGTTCAAACGATTCTCATGCCTCAGCCTCCTGAGCAGCTGGGACTCCAGCTATGTGCCACCACACCTGGCTAATTTTTTGTATTTTATTTTATTAGAGAGGGGGTTTCGCCATGATGGCCACGCTGGTCTCAAACTCCTGACCTCAGGTGATCCACCCGCCTTGGCCTCCCAAAGTGCTGGGATTACAGGCATGAGCCACTGAGCCTATTTCTTTTGAGGATATTCCTAAAAGAGAGACTTGAGAAAACTGGCCCTAATAACATCTTTATGATAGACACAATCAGAGATTTTCATATTGTGATTTTTTTTTCTTTTTTTTTTTTTTGAGATGGAGTCTCGCTCTGTCACCCAGGCTGGAGTCCAGTGGCGCAGTCTTGGCTCACTGCAACCTCTGCCTCCTGGGTTCAAGTGATTCTCCGTCTCAGCCTCCTGAGTAGCTGGGATTACAGGTGCGCACCACCACGCTCAGCTAATTTTTGTATTTTTAGTAGAGACGGGGTTTCACCATGTTGGTCAGGCTCGTCTCGAACTCCTGACCTTGTGATCCGCCGCCCAAAGTGCTGTGATTACAGGCGTGAGCCACTGTGCCTGGCCCATATTGCAATTCTTATAATGCCTCTCGGTCAACAATAACAGCTACCATTTGTCAAGTGTCTACTGTGTGCCAGGCACTTGTTATCTTCCCTTTTAAAAATCTTTATAAATGATTCTGCAAGGTAGATGCCATTATCTTTTTTTCTAAATCTAAGATTCAGAGGGTTAAGTCAGTTGTCTGAGGTCACACAGCTGGTAAGTGGCAGAGCCGGGATTGAAACCCATGCGGGCCTTATGTGCTAGAGGTGTCCAGTGAGCCTGGGCTGCAGTCCTTGCTGAGCCTGTCCCTTGGGGCTCTGGGTCTCTGCTTTGTCCACGCAGGTCTGATGGAGCTGCGTTTCCTGTGCATGGACTCTGCCCTCAGGGTGCCTGTCCAGGAAGAGCTGTGTGGCCTGGCAAGCAAGCCTGGGAGCCGGCGGGAGGTCTGCCAGGCTGTCCCGTGCCCTGCTCGGTGAGTGAGGGGAGCAAGACTGTGTGCTGGCCTTCTCCCTGTAAGTGGGAGACCCGAGCCTTGGCTCCATGCCCGGTGACCTGCGGAGGGGGGCAGGTGCTGCTGGCTGTGCACTGTGTGAGGCTGGACCATGGCCGCCCCATCCCCCTGCCTCACTCCAAGTGCAGGCCAGAGCCCCGGCCCAGCCCCTTTGAGGACTGCAACCCAGAGCCCTGCCCTGCCAGGTGGGCCCCTTCCCAAGGAGACAGGGGGTGCTAGGTCTGCATCCTGGCTCTTTCCTCACCTCCAAGCCAGACCTTTTGACCCTCAGTGTCCTCACCAGTGGGAGCAGGTCATTTTGTGCCCCCAGAAGACTGGGGGAGTTTAATGAAAGGATTAGATGCATGTAAAGTACATGCTAAATGCAATGAGTGTAAAATGCATGCTCGATGCAACGCGTGTAAAGTACATTGCACAGGATCTGGGATGCTGTGGGTGCACATGGTTGCTGGTGCGTTTCTTCATCGCCTGCTCTTTATGGAGCACCTAGGCCCCGGGGCCGTCCTGGAGCTAGGGGACACAGCAGAGAACAAGGCAGACAAATGTCCCTGACCTCCTGGAGCAAATGCAGGGGGAAAGGGGGACAGATAATAATAGGACAGGCGGGGAATGCAGTTTGATGGATGGTGTTCAGTGCGATGCAGCCAAACACAGCGGGAGGGGAGGAGGGGAGGGCTGGCGGGGTGGGCTCCAGGGCGGTGGTGCTGGGATCACTGTTGAAGACAGACATGCAGGGCCCTTGGGTGCCCGGACCCCTGCCCCCACTGTCTCTGGGATACGACATCTGTCGTTTGCCCTCACCTTTCTCTTCTGTAAAATGGGTTTGTCCAAATGTTCTGTCCACTCTGCCAAGCCTCTTGGTGAGGACACAAGGGGGCCTCCAGAAAGAGAACCTCTCCGGGCCCTTCCCAGCTTCCTGTCTCTTCCTAGTCTGGGGAAATGAAGGGGAGACCTGGCTCCCCTGGGTTCCCAGGCCCTGGGGCTGTTTGGGGTCCCTGACTCCAGTTTGCTCCAGGTGGCAGTACAAGCTGGCGGCCTGCAGCGTGAGCTGTGGGAGAGGGGTCGTGCGGAGGATCCTGTATTGTGCCCGGGCCCATGGGGAGGACGATGGTGAGGAGATCCTGTTGGACACCCAGTGCCAGGGGCTGCCTCGCCCGGAACCCCAGGAGGCCTGCAGCCTGGAGCCCTGCCCACCTAGGTGAGTCAGCCGGTGATGGGAGGGGCAGCTCCTGGTGTGTGCAGATGCCAGGCCAGGCGCTGTGGTGTGTGCCTGTAATCGCAGCTACTTGGAAAGCTGAATCAGGAGAACCACTTGAGTCCAGGAGTGCAAGTCCAACCTGGGCAACACAGTGAGACCTCATCTCTAAAAAAAAAACAAGACGGGGCCAGGTGTGGTGGCTCACGCCTGTAATCCCAGCGCTATGGAAGGCTGAAGCGGGTGGATTACCTGAGGTCAGGAGCTTGAGACCAGCCTGGCCAACATGGTGAAACCCCATCTTTACTAAAAATACAACAATTAGGCTGGGCGCGGTGGCTCACTCCTGTAATCCCAGCACTTTGGGAGGCTGAGGCGGGCAGATCACCTGAGGTTGGGAGTTCGAGACCAGCCTGTCCAACATACAGAAACCCTGTCTCTACTAAAAATACAAAATTAGCCGGGTGTGGTGGTACATGCCTGTAATCCCAGTTACTTGGGAGGCTGAGGCAGAATCGCTTGAACCGGGGAGGCCAAGGTTGTGGTGAGCCAAGATTACGCCACTGGACTCCAGCCTGGCTAACAGCAGCAAAACTCCATCTCAAAAAAAAAAAAAAAAAAAGAAAACCCACAAAAATTAGCCTGGCGTGGTGGTGTGCACCTGTCATCCCAGCTACTTCAGAGGCGGAGGCAGGAGAATCGCTTGAACCCGGGAGGCGGAGGTTGCAGTGAGCCGAGATGGCGCCGCTGGCACTCCAGCCTGGGCTACAGAGCGAGACTCCGTCTCAAAAACAAAACAACAAAACAAAACAAGACGGGGTGGGGGGCTCAGTGGCCCAAGAGCCAGTCTGTAAGGAATAGGGCTACCTGGCAGGCTGTGCTAGTTGTGGGAGGTGAAGTTTAAGCACCATGCAGGCAGGGTGCAGTGTGGGGAGGCCTGGGGGACAGAGGAGGCAGCATTTGAGCAGAACCTAAAGCTGTGAGCACCAGCATTCTGATGTGGAAGACGGGAGGGATGGAGGTCTCCACAGGGACACACACAGCCACACTAGGACACGGGACAGAATCATGTTCAAGTCCGTGGGGTCCGGAGCCCAGTGGTAAAGGGCGAACATTTGCCTACCTCATTTACAATTCTTTAATGGTTTCTTTTTGTAGGTTTGCATTTTTAGTAAAGAAATACTTTTCTATATCATACAGAAACGTCCAGAAAAGAATGTAACAGACATGTATGTTCCAGCACTCCAGTTTAATAGATAGCATCCTACTGCCATGTTTCCTTCCTGTCCACTTACTTTTATTTATTTAATTTATTTATTTTGAGACGGAGTCTCGCTTTGTTGCCCAGGCAGTGATGCAATCTTGGCTCACTGCAACCTCCGCCTCCCGGGTTCAAGCCATTCTCCTGTCTCAGCCTCCCAAGTAGCTGGGAATACAGGCACCCACAACCACACCCAGCTAACTTTTGTATTTTTAGTAGAGACAGGGTTTCACCATATTGGTCAGGCCGATCTTGAACTCCTGACCTCAGGAGATCTGCCTACCTCAGCATTCCAAAGTGCTGGGATTACAGATGTGAGCCATCACACCTGGCCAGCCTCCTTAGTTTTAAATAAATCCAGTTACAGATAAGATTTCACTTAAATTTAGGCTGGTCATGGCTCACGCCTGTAATCTCAGCACTTCAGGAGGCTGAGATGGGTGGATCATTTGAGCCCAGGAGTTTGAGACCAGCCTGGACAACATGCCAAAACCTTGTCTCTACTATAAATACAAAAATTAGCCGGGCATGGTGGTGCATGCCAGTATCCCCAGCTACTCGGGAGGCTGAGGCAGGAGAATCACCTGAACCTTGGGAAGTCAAGGCTGCAGTGAGCAGAGATCACACCACCACTGCATGCCAGCCTGGGCAACAGCATGAGACCCTGTCTCAAAAAAAAAAAAAAAAAAAAAAGATTTTACTTAAATTTAAACCCTGTACTAATCTGTGATTTATTTGGAGTATGTTGCAAAGTAGGGACCAAAGGATTTTTTTTTTTTTCTAAATTGTTAACTAGCATCTGTTGGACAAGCCCTGATGCCTCCAGGTGGCTCCTTGGTGGTATTGGTGTGTGTTAGAATCTATGTCTGGGCTTTCTACTGGGTTTTTTTCTTCTCCTTTTTTTTTTTTGAGACAGTTTTTCTCTGTCACCCAGGGTGGGGTGCAGTGGCGCGATCTCAGCTCACTGCAACCTCCGCCTCCTGGGTTCAAGTGATTTTCATGCCTCAGCTTCCCGAGTAGCTGGGATTACAGGTGCCCGCCACCACCCCCAACTGATTTTGTGTTTTTAATAGAGACAGGGTTTCACTATGTTGGCCAGGCTGGTCTTGAACTCCTGACCTCAAGTGATCTGCCAGGTTCTGTTTTTTGTGCTTTTTTTTTCTAGCTATTCTCTTGCCCATACAAAATTGTTTTAAATGTTGTAGCTTTATAACCATTTAACATCTGTGTCACTAGTGTGTCCTGATTTCTTTGCCTATGCTAAAGTCCCTTGGCTGTGTGTCCCATTTATTTTTCCACATCACATTTAGAGATGATCTGGGATTTTATGGGAATTGCAGGGTTTTTCACACTGCACGCTGCCTGCATGGTGCTTAAACTTCACCTCCCACACCTAGCACAGCCTACCAGGTAGCCCTGTTCTCTACAGACCACCTCTTGGGCCACTGAGCCTCCCCTCACTTTTTTTTAGAGATGGGGTCTCACTATGTTGCCCAGTCTGGACTTGAATTCCTGGGCTCAAGTGATCCTCCTGCTTCAGCCTCCCGAGTAGCTGGGATGCAGGCACACACTACATGAGCTCTGGCCATCCCTCTGACGTTGCTGTAGCCACGCTGGCCTCATTGTCCTGGAACATTCCAGGGATACTCCCCTGACTTAGGGCTTCTGTGCTAGCTCTCGCTGCCTGATGTCTTCTGTGGATATCCTCGAGGCCCTGGATATCCCTCCCCCAGGCTCGGCTCAGACACCACAACTCCAAAGTGGCCCAGTGCCCTCCCTGAGCGTCGGTCCAGAACGGCACTCTCGTCCCTCCTGTGACGCTCTGCTTGGCACTTTGGGAGGCTGAGGCGGGAGGATTGCTTGAGCCCAGGAGTTCTAGACCAGCCTGGGCAACATAGTGAGACCCCGTCTCTACAAAAAATACAAAAATTGGCTGTGCGCGGTGGCTTATGCCTGTAATCCCAGCACTTTGGGAGGCGAAGGCGGGCAGATCACGAGGTCAGGAGATCGAGACCATCCTGGCTAACACGGTGAAACCCTGTCTCTACTAAAAATACAAAAAATTAGCTGGGTGTAGTGGTGGGTGCCTGTAGTCCCAGCTACTTGGGAGGCTGAGGCAGGAGAATGACGTGAACCCAGGAGGCGGAGCTTGCAGTGAGCTGAGATTGTGCTACTGCACTCCAGCCTGGGTGGTTGCAGTGAGCTGAGATTGTGCCACTGCACTCCAGCCTGGGCGATGAGTGAGACTCCATCTCAAAAACAAAAACAAACAAACAAAAATTACAAAAATTAGCCAGGCATGATGGCACATGCCTGTAGTCTCAGCTACTTGGGAGGCTGAGGTGAGAGGATGGCTTGAACCCTGGAGGTTGAGGCTGCAGTGAGCCGTGATCACACCACTGCCCTCCAGCCTGGGTGACAGGGCGAGACCGTGTCTCAAAGAAAACCATTAAAATAAAATAAAAAATAAAATTTCTGCGATGCACACGACAGCCTCCACAGCAAATCAGCATCCAGTTGCTCATGCCAGTGATGCCCCAATGGAGAACAATCCACGCTCTGAGAGGAGGTGGGGTCTGGTTTGGTTCACTGCCACCTCCCAGTGTCATGTAGAACAGTGCCAAGCCGCGGAAGGCACGGGTCCAAGAGGCAGCGCTGCAGGGTCATGGGGGAGCACAGTATTGCGATGAAGATCCCAGCTCCCTTGCAGGCTGCCTGGGTTTGTGTCTGGGCTCTGAAGAATGCGGGCCATAATTAGTTATTGATTGATTACAGATCAACATGGGCAGCCTTCCCTTGCCCAAGGGAAGGGAACTCGGCCTTCCCTTGCAGAACGTGGGGTGTTGAGATCTGTCTCCTGTTACCCAGGGGCTCGCTTCCTGTTGCTGTTACTTGGGTCCATAGGCAACCCCTGGGGTGCTGACAGGTGTTCTGTGATAAAGGCGACTAGAGGGGGATGTGCAATTAGGGAAACAGGGGCCTCTTCCCCCTAGGGCCTTTTGGTAGCTCTCCTGTGGCCGTGAGCCCTGGCCCCAGACAGGAGGGGCTCAGTGGCTGCACTTTCCATCTTGCCTGGCCACGGAAGCTGTCTAGGCAACTGTCCGAGTACACGTGGGTGGAGAGGGGCCTGCGTGGGGCAGTACTGTCTCTGGGGAGACCTAGCCTCTCTCTGGGGTCTTCTCTTCCTGCAGGTGGAAAGTCATGTCCCTTGGCCCATGTTCGGCCAGCTGTGGCCTTGGCACTGCTAGACGCTCGGTGGCCTGTGTGCAGCTCGACCAAGGCCAGGACGTGGAGGTGGACGAGGCGGCCTGTGCGGCGCTGGTGCGGCCCGAGGCCAGTGTCCCCTGTCTCATTGCCGACTGCACCTACCGCTGGCATGTTGGCACCTGGATGGAGGTGAGCACAGCGGGCACTCGGAATCCCTATGGGGCTGGGGTGGGCATCAGCTGTGGCTCCTCATGTGTGAGGGAGTCTAGGAGGCATTGGCTCATCGTGTCCCCTGAAAGGAAGGAGAGAGCTGCGCCCGTTGGTGAGGGGGCACCTAGAGGCAGAGAGACAGAGGGCCTAGAGACCTGCGGGCAGCTAGGACTTAAGAGGCCCTTAGGTTTGGGGACGCTGGAAGATGAATGGCAGGCCACTCAGCTCTACACAGATGAGGGAATGCCAGCTGTGCCACGCACCTGGCAAGGCAGGACAGACAAGGGTAAATGGGGTTCAGGCTGCCCCCTGGAGGGGCTCGCTCATGGTGTGGAGGGGGCATAGGGGCACAGCAGACAGAGATGAGCCGCAGCCCCGCAGACCTGCTTGCTCTAAGGCTTGGAGGGACAGAGAGGCCGTGAGGGTGACAGGGACCCAGACTTGAATTATGGCTCCTCCCACCTATATGACCCATGCAAGGTGCCCTCTCTGAGCCTCAGTTTTCTCATCTGTGGAATGGAGACACTTAACTGCCTCCCAGCTTGTACAAGGATTATATTGGATCACTCCTGGCCTGTGGTTACCACTGTCCTTGTCACCTTCTGGCAGGGTCAGCTGTGACTCCTCCTCCCCTCTCTTGGCAGTGCTCTGTTTCCTGTGGGGATGGCATCCAGCGCCGGCGTGACACCTGCCTCGGACCCCAGGCCCAGGCGCCTGTGCCAGCTGATTTCTGCCAGCACTTGCCCAAGCCGGTGACTGTGCGTGGCTGCTGGGCTGGGCCCTGTGTGGGACAGGGTACGCCCAGCCTGGTGCCCCACGAAGAAGCCGCTGCTCCAGGACGGACCACAGCCACCCCTGCTGGTGCCTCCCTGGAGTGGTCCCAGGCCCGGGGCCTGCTCTTCTCCCCGGCTCCCCAGCCTCGGCGGCTCCTGCCCGGGCCCCAGGAAAACTCAGTGCAGTCCAGTTATGTCCTGTCCTCCTTCCTGTCAGGCAGCTGCTGCAGGAGGGGTGGGCAAAGGCATCTTCCTCTGGGAAGGACTGGCACAAGCACTTGGTCCCTGGGTTGTGTGCCTGGGAGGCCGGGATCAGGGCTGGCCCTCTTTCTCCCTGGCAAAGCAAAACCTCCCTTTTACTACTATCAAGGGGAAGTAACTTGAAGGTAGGAACCCAGCTTGTGAGCCCCCTAGCCTCTGGGCTGCTCTGCATGTGCCCCCTCTTGCTGGATCATCTGGTAGCAGCCCTGTGCCCTGAGGGTGATGCTCTGACCTATGCAGCCCCCCTCCCTGTCCTGAGAAGGCTTCCAGCTGGGCCTTGGAGGACAGGGTCCACCCCTACCTCCTGGTCTCCTTCCTCAGCTTGGAAGCCCCGGAGCCTGCCCTGCTGGGAATCGGGGAAGCACTGCTTACCTGTCTCCTGCTCCCTTTTCAGGTGCCTGTGGCAGGCAGCACCTTGAGCCAACAGGAACCATTGACATGCGAGGCCCAGGGCAGGCAGACTGTGCAGTGGCCATTGGGCGGCCCCTCGGGGAGGTGGTGACCCTCCGCGTCCTTGAGAGTTCTCTCAACTGCAGTGCGGGTATGTCTAGGGCCATGCAAGCGATGCTGCCAGTTATGGGCCCTGCCAGGAGCCAGCACGACGCTGCATGCCCCATTCCTGGCAGGAGCCCATGTGCATTCCCACCTGTAGTTTGCATCCCATCTCATGACTGGGGAGTGATGATCTGCATTTTACAGATGAGGAAACTGAGGCTAGGAGAGATTAAGTGATGTGCCCAGTTACTTAGAGTCACATAGCCAGCAGTGGGAGAGGTGGGACTTGAACTCGGCTCAGTCTACCCTGGAGCCACTCCTCTGCTGACCAGGCGTGGGAGTGCTGGACCCTCACTGCCCTGCCGCTTCCTAGGGGACATGTTGCTGCTTTGGGGCCGGCTCACCTGGAGGAAGATGTGCAGGAAGCTGTTGGACATGACTTTCAGCTCCAAGACCAACACGCTGGTGGTGAGGCAGCGCTGCGGGCGGCCAGGAGGTGGGGTGCTGCTGCGGTATGGGAGCCAGCTTGCTCCTGAAACCTTCTACAGAGGTATGGCCAGGCCTTCTCCACCTCCCTTGGGTGCTCCAGTCCTGGCAGGGAGGCTGGGTGGGTGCTGCTGGGGATGGGGCCAGTCCCAGTGGGGCAGTGGGAAGATACGGAGGGAACTGACTGAGATGGAAGGAACTGGGGTTGGCCAGTGTCAGTCTGCACGTGCCAGGGAGGGGTCACAGGATGAATGCTATATCCCTCCTTTTTGGGACCGTGCAGCAAGATGGACGGATGTGGGACATGGTCCACATCCTCAGTCAGTCCCTCAGGCCTCTGCCCCACACCCACCTGCCCCGCCCCCACCCCTCCAGCCTTTCAAGGGCTTTTAGGGTTTTGTGGAAGCCACTGTCCCTCAGCCCTGTTTCAGTGCACTGGTGTAAGCAGACATGCTTGTACATGCATGTGCACCCACAAGCACACCTCAGGCAGAGGATGCCACCTCAGGGACTCCAGCCTTGCCCGTGGCCCCCTCGATATCCTCTGATAGCCCTCTCGGTTGTCCTGGGGGGCTTGCCCTCTCCCAACAGCCCGAGCTGGCCGAAGTTGGCTTCCCTAGCTGGTTCCAGAGGTTCCTCGGCTCCCCCAGGTGTCTGGGGCTTAGTGGCAACAGGGGCTTAGCCTCTGCAGAGACCTAGTGCGCCGCCTCCTTGCCCCAGACCTGCCCGGGCAGAGAGCCGTGTATGTGTCCCAGTGCACAGGCGCTGCTGGGCCCTGCCAAAAGGCCACAAGCCCACTGTCACCGTTCACATTGCTTCTCGCTTCCCGGCCCAGCCCCGCCCACACAGGCATCTGCCTTGAAAGAGGTGCAGGAGGTACAGGCAGGTGGGGGCTCCAGTGAGCTCTGAGGAACAGCAGTGGCCGCCATGGGTGGAGCCTATCTTTGTTGCCAGTTTCAGTGTTAAACACTCTTGCACGTGTGACATCATTGAGTCCTAAAGACCACTCTGCTCAGTGCATGCCATTGTTTCCTTCAGTTACAGAGGAGGGAACCAGAGCCCAGAACATTTAGCCTTTGCCTAAAGTCACTGGGCCAGGAAGTGGTAGAGGTGGGGTTCAGCAGGATTTGCCTGGGAACCCCAATATTGACCACAGTGCCATGCTGCCCTGCACGGCTCCCTGGCTGTGAGTTGTCCTGGCCTCTGGCACCACCGGTCTGTCTGGGTTCCTATGTCCCTATGTCCCACCTGCAGAATGTGACATGCAGCTCTTTGGGCCCTGGGGTGAAATCGTGAGCCCCTCGCTGAGTCCAGCCACGAGTAATGCAGGGGGCTGCCGGCTCTTCATTAATGTGGCTCCGCACGCACGGATTGCCATCCATGCCCTGGCCACCAACATGGGCGCTGGGACCGAGGGAGCCAATGCCAGCTACATCTTGGTGAGGCCCAGCATGGGGACTTGTGCTGTGATTCTGGACAGCTTTCCCTAGGGCGTGCAGGGCTAGGGGACCCCCTTCAGTTTATTTCAGACTAAAACCCTCAAAATCATTAGTGAAAGAATGGGAGAAGATAGCTTCCTCCACATATTCACCAAGAAATGTTTTTTGAGCTACCTACAAGAGTGAAATAGTGGCTCACAACTGTAATCCCAGCACTTTGGGAGGCCCAGGAGGGCAGATCACTCAAGGTCAGGAGTTCGAGACCAGCCTGGCCAACATGATGAAACCTTGTCTCTACTAAAAATAGAAAAAGTAGCCAGGCATGGTGGCGTGTGCCTGTAATCCCAGCTACTTGGGAGGCTGAGGCACAAGAATCACTTGAACCCGGGAGGTGGAGGTTGCACTAAGCCCAGATCGCACCACTGCACTCCAGCCTGGGCAACAGAGTGAGACTCTGTCTCAAAAAAAAAAAAAAAAAAAAAGCGAAATGGTAAAGAATGGTAAAGACCTTTCTGATGTAGACTGACAGCTAACCCAAGACTGAAGCATAATTTTACAGTCTGATATAACTTGGACAGAATAGCACCCTGCACCCTCCCCGAGGTTTCAAGTGTCCTGGGAGAACTGTGTTCTGCAGGGTATCAGCTTCCCCAGAGGAGGCAGCCTGGCCCCGCTCTGGCACCCTGACTGTGTGTCCTTGGGGAAGTGATGTAACGTCCCTGGACCTCGGTTTTCTGGGTAGAGTAATGGCGTATTCCTAGTAGGGCTTTGTAAGCATTAAATGTGATCCGGAATCTGTGAGCCCTTGCACACGAAGGCTTCCGTGAGTGCTAATTATTACTTGTGGCCGGTCCTTCTGGGCTGCCCCTTTTCTCTCAGATCCGGGACACCCACAGCTTGAGGACCACAGCGTTCCATGGGCAGCAGGTGCTCTACTGGGAGTCAGAGAGCAGCCAGGCTGAGATGGAGTTCAGCGAGGGCTTCCTGAAGGCTCAGGCCAGCCTGCGGGGCCAGTACTGGACCCTCCAATCATGGGTACCGGAGATGCAGGACCCTCAGTCCTGGAAGGGAAAGGAAGGAACCTGAGGGTCATTGAACATTTGTTCCGTGTCTGGCCAGCCCTGGAGGGTTGACCCCTGGTCTCAGTGCTTTCCAATTCGAACTTTTTCCAATCTTAGGTATCTACTTTAGAGTCTTCTCCAATGTCCAAAAGGCTAGGGGGTTGGAGGTGGGGACTCTGGAAAAGCAGCCCCCATTTCCTCGGGTACCAATAAATAAAACATGCAGGCTGACCGGCGTTTTTTTCTTATAAGCTGTCCAGACCTGGCTTGAAAACCCATCCCATGGCAAGGCAGGGATTCGCTGGCCGCGGTTGGCTCTATCTTGATCTGAGCAAGCCGCTGGACGTCCCTAGTTATCTTCTTCCTATCCAGGAAGAAAATCCAATCAGGATTCCACTCCGAGGATGGCGCATTAGCCAGCTCCCTGCGAAGCCCCACCCGTGTGTCCTGGTGTGAGGCTCTGACCGCTAAGGTGTCTGCGCGCCTCCAGGCCCCGCCCCCTATGCTAATAAGCGCCCGCCTCCTTTGGGAGCAAGTCGCCGCAAACTGCGAGCCCCCGCCCCCTACGCTAATGACGCCCGCCCCCCTCGGGCACACCTCTCCGATGCCTGCGAGCCCCGCCCCGTATGCTAACGAGCTCCCCACCCCCAGCTCCTCGCCGCAGCCTGCGGGTCCCGCCCCCTACAATAATGAGCACCTACCTCCCCTCAAACGCCCCTAGTCGCGGCATGAGGGTCCCGCTCACTATGTTAATGAGCACCCGCCTCCCTTCGGGCGCGCCTCGCCGCAGCCTGAAAGCCCCGCCCCCTATGCTAATATGCTCCCTCTCCCACAAGGCAGCGCGCCGGCTCGGACGCGGCCGGCTACCGAGCCCTTTGTGAGGGCTGTGAGCTGCGCCTGACGGTGGCACCATGAGCAGCTCAGGTGGGGCGCCCGGGGCGTCCGCCAGCTCTGCGCCGCCCGCGCAGGAAGAGGGCATGACGTGGTGGTACCGCTGGCTGTGTCGCCTGTCTGGGGTGCTGGGGGCAGTCTGTGAGTATCCAGTCGGGGAGAGGGGCCGGCCCCGCCGCGCATGCGCTCCTCGCCCTGCCCTGCCCCGCCCCGCCCCGGCGGCCCCAGGGGAAAGGACCCGCTGGGGGTCGGGGGTCTGCCGGGCGCCTCCCGGGGCGGAGGAATGGCGGGGCCGCCGGGAGCCGGCGTCCTGGGGTTGCCATGGTTACCCGCTCGGGCCTGGGCGCCTTGGTACCCCGGGCTGGGCTGGGCTGGCGCTTCTGGGAACATTCCCGGAGGGACCAGAAACCCCAGGGCGGGGGGGCGGCGGGGGCGGGGGTGGGGCACCGGCCTGGGGCACGTGACTGAGCCCTCCCCCCGCTCCCCAGGGGCTTTTGTGAGACTTTCTCGGTGATGCTCACGGGGCGCATGCCCACCTGGCCCGTACTAAAGCGTCAACTGTTGACTTGGGCGTAGGTGACGGCAGCCACATTGCTAACCTTTGGGCAAGGATTGTTTGTAAGGGAGGCGGGTGCACGGCTGGCTAGATTTCTGGCAGGAAGCCACTGGGCGGAAGTTTGCTGAGGGTCAGGTGGTGTCAGGGCACAGGTGGCCCCTGGGGCCGCGGGGCAGTGAGCTGAGGGCCCGGCCTCTCCCTGGGTCCTCTGTCCGCTCTCATATCTCCCCCGTTGCTGCTGCCTTAGCCGCCTGTCACCGGCCTTCCTCCCCTTCTCCGCACGCATCCCAGTCACAGACCCTGACCTTAGGCTGCCAGGGAAGCTAGGCTCTTAAGCACAGCCAGAAAAGGACAAAGAGGGAGGCAGGTCAGCTCCAGGAGTGAATGGAAGCCGTACAGCTGGCCTTCCAGGGAAAGACAAGTCTGTCTGAGTGATACCCTTTCCTTTCCTGTCTGCCCTCAATCTTGTGGATTACTGGAGTGGGCAAGGTCTTAGAGAATGTCTGTCGAGGATGTCTGCAGGTTTTAAACAGTGCCTGCCTGGCAGAGAGGGCTAGCTCTGGGCCTGGGCAGGGCAGGCCCCATCAGCAATCCTGCCAGAAGGACCACCTTTTCAGGGTCACCTTGGGTTCCACAGCCTTTCCAGGTGGGTAGAGGGTGGAGGGAGGTTGAGGCAGGAGGGTGCTGGGCTAGGAGTGTGCTGCCCTCGCTAGGCATGCCCTTATCCAGAGGCAACGGATACGGTAGGGCAGGCCCTACCCCCAAATCACAAAAAGGCCCCGAGTTTGTGTCACTGCTCTTCAGGGCAAGTACGCTTTTGACTTTGTAGGAGAGACTGGTGGGTTTGAAGTTAGGCATTGGATCCAGTCCTGTCATGTCTGGTTAGCTGTTTTCCCTGCAGATTAGGGTGGGCAGTGCAGTGGGGTGACATGGTCAGTGGTGAGAAAGGAAAGGTCCTGACTATGGCCTGTAGGCCACACCTCCTTCCTTCTTGGTCAGTGGCCCTGCCGACTCCCAGATTTGCTGTGGAGTCTTACTCAGTTCTGTGCCTCTCAAAGTGAGGTACCTCTGCCTTTCCTGGGAGTTCCTGGGGCTCTGTTGGGTCTACAGATGAAGCTTCAGGAGAAACTTGTGGCATTGCCCTGAGTTGTCAGTTGCATCTGCAGATTTTTGGGGGCATGGTTATGTGAACATCAAAATGCTGTATTACAGGGTAGAATGCAAAAATGCAGGGTGTTTTAGAGATGCGGCAGGAGTTCAGACAAGGGTTGTGTGCCGGGCTGGTCCTTGGGTAAGGTTTTCCTCCTCCAGGGTGAGGGGATCAGAGAGAGTACCTGGAGAGGGTCTACCCTGGGTCCTAAGAGCATCTGGAGGTGATACCTTGGGAGGGGACAGGATTGCATGGTGACAGCCCCCTCACGTGGAAGATATCAGCATTGAGGCCCCCAAGTGGACATCCTCCAGCCCTTTATTGCTAAAGGATTCCTGGCTGGAGCCTGCTGGTCTGGCTTGACACCTGGTCCTCCCCCAAGGCTGGCTGTGGGTTGGACAGCTGGGGTAGGGTTGGAGCTGGAGGCCAAATGCTGACTGCAGCAGGAAGCACAGCCGAGCTGTCAGGTGAGGCCAGGCACAGCAGAGAGGCAGGGAGCCGTGTCACCCTTTGGGCACTCTGCTAGGACAGGCAGGCCCCTGTGTACCTGTGGTTCTGGAACACCTTGCTGTCTGAAGGCAGATGTCTAAGGCTGTGCTGAGGAGCAGTGCAACGCTTGAGTCCTTTGTTTTAGAAGGAGACCCTGGGGGCCCATGAAGCAGTCCCATTGCAGTTCGGCTCACTTTATCTGGCTTCTTTGCCTGCTGTCTGCATAAGGTTACCTGGGAAAATGGAAAACAGCAGAATTCCAGACCCAGGTGGAGGGATCAGGTGCAGAGGAGCTGCTGCAAGTTTAATGAGCTGGGTGCTAATTGCTGCCTCCAAGGCCCCCCTCAGTGATGGCCTGGGCTTGCTCCCTGCCCAGCAGCCACCTCCTTGGACCTGCCTTGAAGGCTCCTGGAGTTCCTGGTGAAGCCAGGCTGCAGGCTGTGGGTGGAGGAGGGAGTTGGGTGCAAGAGACCCTGCTGGTGAGGTGCAGCTGGGAGGCGGGGCGTCAAGGCTGCACATCTGAGCATCAGAGAAGCCACGTTCTGGGGTGGAAAACGATGCCCCCTCCCCTTCCTGGCCTTATGGCATTTCAGCGGTGGGTGGCTGGGCTGTGGGACTTGCTCATGTGCAAGAGGAGAAACGGGTCTAGGAAGATGAAGATAGCGTGCCAGTGGCACAGGGCTGGTGAGGAAGTTAGAGCTGGAACTGCTGCTCAGTCTTACCTGGTTCCCATCTCTGTTCTGAGAGAGGCACCCCTTGTCCCAACCAAAATCCAAGCCACATTTTCTGAGTCAGAGGACTTCTTGTGTGGCCGGCCCTGTGAATGGTGGCAAGTGACCCTTACCGAAGGCTGAGTCTTGGGGGAGCACTGGCCTGAATCCTTGAGGGACATTCACTCTTTAATCCTTCTTTAATCCTAACCTCCCTTTGAGGTGGATATTGATGTAGCTGGGGTCAGAGGGCCAGCTCCTCTGAGCCCTGAAACGGGGAGAGGATGCTGTGAGATCCACCTGCCACCTTGCTGCCACCTTGCTGTGGGGCCTGGGGCAAGCAAGGCACTGCACCTCTCTGCGTCTCCTCACCTGTCTCAGACGATAGAGGGCAGGCTTCTGGGTGCTGTGAGAACTGTGTGCTGAGCATCCGCAGAGACTCTCGTCCTTTCCAGTCATCTCCCAAGGCCGCCTTCCCAGCGGGCTCCGCCTGCCTCCCTGCTGACTCCTGCCCGTGTCTCTTGTTTCAAGCTTGCGCGATCTCTGGCCTCTTCAACTGCATCACCATCCACCCTCTGAACATTGCGGCCGGCGTGTGGATGATGTGAGTAATGCATGGCCGTCCCACCCCGGGGGTCTTGCTGGTCGGGAATCTGCTGGGCACCTCCCGGGACAGAGGAGTGGCAGGGGCCGTGGGAGTGGGCATCCTTGTGGTTGCCATGGCTACTGGCTCCAGCCTGGGTGCCTCGGGCATGTGAGTTTCTGGCCACAGCATGCGGCTTCTTCCCCTTCATACCCCCACCATGTTTAGTTTCCTAATGAGAGGTCAAGGCCCAGGGAATGCCCACCCCGGCCTTCATCCGGTGCAGGGGCAAGGCCATCAGTGCTCCAGACATTTCTGGAGCATCCACTGAGACTGCAGATGCCAAGTCCACTATACTGGGGCCCTCGCCCTCTGGGAGCTCCCAGGACTGGGGTGGGGAAGGCTGTTCATTGGGGCTGGCTGAGGACTGGGTTGAATGGTCTGCTGGGAGAGGGCACTCGAGCTCGGAGCTGTGCCAAAGATAGATGGGAGAGGCGGGTCGGAGTTGTCACGGGAACCCGTGGTCAGAACACCCTCATGTGCGTTCCATGCCCACCTCCTGCCAGGGTTTCGCCATCCCATCGGAAGGGAAGGCGGGGTGAGGGCAGGCCCGTGTGGCTTGGGGCACGTGAGAAGTGGCGGTGCACCAGGAATTGATGAGTGTCCTCATGGGGCTTGGTGCCTTGAGGGGTACAGAGCTAGACGAGATTCAGGTCCCGTCCCCAGTGACCTATGGCCAGTGGAGAGCCTCGGGGGCCTGCTGTGGTGGGGTCCTCAGTGCTTGTGCTGGCCAGTGGTGGATAGGGAAGGGGGATGGACAGAGAGGCGCCCAGCCCAGCTTCAGGGGGTGGAGTCGGAGCCTGGCCGAGTTTGAAGTGGAAGGGCTGGCCCAGCACAGAGTGAGCCCGTGCTTGGAGGCCTGGTGTGTGGGAGGCTCGGGGCGGGTGCAGTGGTTAAGAGTTGTGAAGAGAGTGCCTGCCCCGGGCTTGGGGTGGCTCTTAGGTGTCCTGAGCCTGCATTTCTGTTACACAGGCATAATGATGGCACTTTTCTCCCAGGCCTGGGGACAGAAGGGCCTGGCTCAGTGTCTGCTAACTGATTGTTATCCATGCATAGAGAATACCAAGACCACAGCAGACACCTTCCGTCACCAGTGGCTTAGCTGTTCCCACCCCAAACATAGGGCTGGATGCAAGGACTTGCTAAAGTTCTTCCTCCCCAGCGTGGGCTTCCCCTGGGTGTCCCCGGGCCTGGGGCCGGTGGCATCAGGTGTGTGGGCAGCTCTCCGTGACTGTTTTGGGACTGCGTGGCTCCAGCTCTCTGCCTCCCTGGTGGGGCAGCCTTCCTGGTGCTGGTGCCACTGACGGCTTTTGGTGGCCATGGCGATAATACTAACAGCAGACAGAGGACACAGCTGCCAGTGCTCCATCTGTGGATGAACCTGCCGCAGCGTTGTAGCAGTGCCATGATGTGGGGTCCCCTTTCCTCCATGTCACACAGGAGGAGGATAAAGGGAAGCAGAAGCCCAGGGGCTTCCCTCTAGGAGTGTTCAGTTCAGCTGGGGAGATGGGTGTGCAGGAGCAGCTGGGGAGTGCTGGAGTCTTCAGCAGAGGCTCTCCGAGGGGTACGAGCAGGTGCCCTGGAGCAGCCGGGCGGCTTCCCAGAGGAGGAGGGATGAGGGCAGGAGGGTGAGGGAGGTGGCATTCCTTATGGCACTGGCACTGGGGGCCGCCCTCATCCTCCTGGGATTGTCAGTCGCTGCTCTTCTCCTGCCCTGGTCCCTGCAGCATGAATGCCTTCATCTTGTTGCTGTGTGAGGCGCCCTTCTGCTGCCAGTTCATCGAGTTTGCAAACACAGTGGCGGAGAAGGTGGACCGGCTGCGCTCCTGGCAGAAGGCTGTCTTCTACTGCGGGTGAGGGGTTGCTGGGCAGGGTCCCGTGACACAGTTCCCCAAAACCCCACTGACAAAATAGGACCCAAAAGTCAGGTGAGGGTGGGCAGTGTATTCAGTTCCTCTCTGTGGAAGTGTAAACTGGGATTGCCTTTGTGCACAGTGATTTGCTCATAGCTGCCAAAACGTGCCCCAGTGGTTCTGCGCCCAGGAACTCAGCTGTCGCTGTGCCGTAGTCACTGGAAGGTTCAGAGGTATATGAGCATGTGTGGCAGCATCCGTGCAGTGGAGAGAAAGTGGGAAGCGTCTGGAATTTTGGTCCGTCCACTGGGAGTTGTTAACCAGATGATAGTAGGTCTGTAGGACATGTTTCTCTGCAGCCTTTCCGAAGAGTGGGTTCATCTAGATGTCCTGACGTGAAGGGGGAGAAGCAGGTTGCAGAGCAGAAAATGTGGTTGCCCTCTAAATACACTTGTTAAAAATTTTCCCATTTCTAACAATGAAATCAATATGTAATACTTCTCCTCTCAGTCATAAGAAGGAACTAATTTCAGGATAAGCTTAATACACGGAAACTCCTAGAATAATGCCTCTAGTGCATAGGAGGCTGGTGGCAGCTGTATTCATTATTGTCTAGGTTATCTTTAGAAAGAAGTCTAGATGCAAGCTTGCTTCCCCTTCAGAGAGGCCCGGTAGTTTTGATGGTAAGAGCACAAGCCACATGCTTAGTTCTGGAGCCATCTTGTGCCATATCTAAATCACGAAGAACACAGGATCACAAAGCTCTTATCTACACGCAGTGTCATGTCCTTAGGGGTTCAAAAAACTGTATTTTAAAAATGCTAGACATCATAGAAATTCATTCACAATAATTTGGAATATAGAACAATGTTACTCGAAGCCCGCTGCCTGCTAATCTTCTGATGTGTGTGCTTCCTGTCTGCAGGCATTTTTTAAAAGCCTGCTTTTAACACAGTTATAACCATTATGAATAAGTTTGTATCCTGCCTTTTTTCACTTAGAGTAATGATATAAGCATTTGAACATCACCACAGACTTTATAACATTCTTTCAATACAGGAATATTCATTCAGCTGGATGTATCATGCTGTTCTTAATTTCTTAACTGGTGTAAATCGAGGTGTGATAAACATGTGTCTGCTAAAACTTTTTCTGTGTTTATGATGATTTCCTTAATATCTATTTTCAGGTGTGGAATTACTGGGTCAAAGATTCTGATCATTAAAAATATTTTAAGATGCGTGGCTACGTTGCTTTCCAAAGAGGTCCCTTGAGTCTCTCCCCCGCCCCCACCCCAGCCCAGGGCTGCACACCACTTCACATTCGCATTTATCTATTTGTTATCTAAGAGGGAAAAATATTTTCCCACGTGTTTCCATTGCATTTTCTGATATGAAAATTTTCGAGTTTACTTTTTAACCTGTGGGAACCTCAGTGTTCTGCTTAGCAAGTTCAGTGTGTTTTCTGTATTAAAGATTTCATGATCCTTGGTTGTATTTCCTGCAACTATTTTTCCAGGCTCTTGTTTGCCTTTAATTTTGTTTTTGTCAGAAGGTTCCCCGCCGTGGTCTTTTTCTTTGTAATTTCTATTATTATTTTATCATTTTGAAATTTTTTAACGACAGAAAAATCTCACAACCACATGTCTACAAGAATGGAAACTGAGGTAGAATGCAATTGGCCACGAGTCTTGTCCTCCTGCACAGGCAGCCTCCTCTAGGGAGGCGACAGGACAGAGCGCTGGCCTCCAGGCTGCAGGTATCCTCCTGGCCCAGTTAGCCCAGGAATTGCTGCTGGCCTGGAAATTCCAGCCAGGATGGAGAATCAGCCCCGGGGACGCTTAAGCCCCAGTGGACCCTGCCACCAGGTGACGCCAAACTGCAGCAAGGTCTGGGCCGACCCCGCAGACCCCGCAGCCTGCAGCCCTCCCATGATGAGACCCTGTGTTCCATGTGGTTGAATTCCAGGGACCTTACTTGTGGCGATGTGGCTGGTGTTACTCTATAACTCAGAGCATTTATTTAGTGCCTGTGGTGGTCAGCATTGTGTAGGTAACATGACTGACCTCGGACAAGCTTTGATCCCCTCTCCGCGGTGGAGATTCCGAGTAACTTGCCCGCGAAGCTAGTAGGTCCTGGATGGGAAGCCAGATTCTCTGTCACAGGCTCTTTCTGGCCAGTTTTTCTCACAGTGAGGGCACTGGACCATCTCGTTACTGTTTAGCTCTTTTTGGGATCACAGACCCCTTCAAAAATCTGATGAAAGCTTTGGATCCTATTCCCAGAATGGAACAGTTTTACAGACAAGTTCAGGGCTGATGAAGGACTTTCTGAAGCTGTGTCTCAGTTGATTTTTGGGGATCCTTCCTGTGCCCTGGGTGTCTAGGAAGGATGCTGGGCCGAGTCTGGGAAGCGGGGAAGGATGTGGTGGCTGTGGGGCCGGAGTGCCCCCTTGACCTCTGCTTTCCCCCCAGGATGGCGGTCGTTCCCATCGTCATCAGCCTGACCCTGACCACGCTGCTGGGCAACGCCATCGCCTTTGCTACGGGGGTGCTGTACGGACTCTCTGCTCTGGGCAAAAAGTGCGTCTGCCAGGCCCAGCCCCTGGGCAGGGCCTTCCTCCCTCCGCCCCCCGAAGTCCTTCAGTGAGGAGGATCTGAGAGTGGCCCCTTTTAGCTAGTGGAGACCGAGGCAGAGGTCCCAGTAACTCATTGGTGCCTCCAGGGCTCAGCTCGAGTGGGTGAAGACAGAGGACTTACAACACTTCTGCGTGGCCCAGTCTTGCCCCGTCACGGCCTGCAGCAAGGATAGCAAAAACATGGCTGGTGGGAGCCCCTTCCCCTCCCAGGTCTGCACCGGGCATTGTACTCAGTTGCCACCCTCTCTCCTGCAGAGCCCAGACTGAGGCTGGTTCCTTCGCAGCCCAGCATCCCAGGGAGCCTGGGCCATTCTCAGAGGGGACAAGACAGGCCTTTGCCACCCCAGCAGTTGTCTCTGGGGAAATCAGAATGCCTGCAGGTCACACCTGGGTCACAGGGCAGGAACCGGGCAGTGGTCAGGAGGGCTGTGGGCATGGGGCTGGTGCTCCACGTGACGCTGCCTCTCTCTCTCCCCAGGGGCGATGCGATCTCCTATGCCAGGATCCAGCAGCAGAGGCAGCAGGCGGATGAGGAGAAGCTCGCGGAGACCCTGGAGGGGGAGCTGTGAAGGGCTGGGCGCCCCTCCCTCCCTGTCCCCTCTTCTGGCTCTGTGTGGGTCCAAGTGAGGCCTGGACTGTCCACGCTGAGGCACAGCCTGGAGAGGGGCCTTTGCACGTGTCCCTACACCTGGAGTCCTCTGCTCCTTTCTCCAGACTGGCTTAAGCCAGGAGCCACTGGCTGCTGGTGTGAGGGTCTGGGCTGCTGGACTTGAGGCAGAGCCTGCAGCAGCTGTGTGGACACTACCCAGCCCTACTCCTCTGCTGGGTGGGTCTGCAGATCTCACACCACAGACAGGGCTGCCTGTGACCTGCTGTGACCTGGGAGCAGCTTCCCCTGGAGATGCTGGTCCTGGCTTGAGGGGAGGGGCAAGTGGGACCCTGCCACCTGGGCACTGAGCAGAGGGACCTCCCCCAGCTCTCTTAGCAGGTGGAGCCCCAGGGCCTGGGACAGCCTGCCGCTGCCAGCAACCTCCCACTGCTGCCTAGGGTGCAGCGCCCACTGTCACCCTGCCTTCTGAAGAAGCCCACAGGGCTCCTAAGGTGCACCCCGGTACCTGGAACTGCAGCCTTGGCAGTGACTGGACAGCTGGGTGGGGGATGCTCCCTGCTGGCCCTGGGAACCTTGGACAGGCCACCTCAAGGCCCCTCGGCTGCCCCTCCTCCCTGGGCCTGCTGGGGCCCCTAGGTTCTGCCCATCACCCCCCGCCCCTGCTGGCCTTGGTGCTAAGGAAGTGGGGAGAGCAGGCTCTCCCTGGCACCGAGGGTGCCCACCCTCTCCCTGGTGTGGCCCCGTCAACATCAGCCACAGCCCAGCCCCATTAGTGGGTTAGTGGGTCTGACCTCAGCCCCACTCAGGTGCTCCTGCTGGCCTGCCCAAGCCCTGCCCTCAGGGAGCTTCTGCCTTTTAAGAACTGGGCAGAGGCCACAGTCACCTCCCCACACAGAGCTGTCCCCACTGCCCTGGGTGCCAGGCTGTCCGGAGCCAGGCCTACCCAGGGAGGATGCAGAGAGCTGGTGCCCAGGATGTGCACCCCCATATTCCCTCTGCCCTGTGGCCTCAGCCCGCTGGCCTCTCTGACCGTGAGGCTGGCTCTCAGCCATCGGGCAGGTGCCTGGTCGGGCCTGGCTTAGCCCAGGTGGGGTTTGGCAGAAGCGGGCGGGTGTGGAAGATATTCCATCTGGGGCCAACCCCAGGCTGGGCCTGCGCTGAGCTTCTGGAGCGCAGGTACTGGGTCTTGCTAAGTGAACTGTTTCCCAGGAACACCTCTCGGGCCCATCTGCGTCTGAGGCTGGGAGTGGCATCTGAGGCCGGGAGTGGCATCTGAGGCCAGGAGTGGCAGGCTGGTGGGCTGGGCGTGGGGTTTTCTGGGCCCTGCCCAGTACTGCCCTGGGGACTTGGTGGGCTCCTGGGTCAGCAGCATCCCACCCCTGGGAGTCTGGCCAGCTGAGCCCCAGGGTGGCAGGGGCATTATAGCCTGGTGGACATGTGCCTTCAGGGTTCCTCCGGGGCCACCTTCCTCAGGCCAGTGCTGGGTTCAAAGGGCTGTGTGTGTGTGTGTGTGTGTGTGTGTGTGTGTGTGTATGTATATGTGTGTGGGTGCACACATCTGTCCCATGTATGCAGTGAGACCTGTCTACCTCCCACAAGGAGCAAGGGCTCTGCCCGCCCTCTGCTCATTCCTACCCAGGTAGTGGGACCCCGGGCCCCCTTCTGCCTGGCTTGCCTGCTTCTGCCCTTTCCAGAGGGGTCTCACTGACAGCCAGAGACAGCAGGAGAAGGGTTGGCTGTGGATCAAGGAAGGCTGCCCCTGTACCCTGTGGGGAAATGGTGGGTGCATGGCTGGATGCAGAGGTGGAAGGCCCTGGGCCACAGGCGAGAGTGGGCGTGTCACCTGTCCCAGGTTCCCAGCAAGTCTGCAGCTGTGCAGTCCTGGGGTCCCTGACCCTGTCGCCCAGGGGGCGTGCTGTCCAGCAGGGGCCCTGCCTTGCAAGGAACGTCTCTTCCGGCGGCTGGGCCGCTCCTGCCTGGTCTGGGCTGTGTGTGGCGCCCTTTCCTCCTTGTTTGTTCCTCTGTGTTCTGTGTGCGTCTTAAGCAATAAAGCGTGGCCGTGGCTCGCGTGCCTGCCCTCTGCTCCCTTCTGCCTTGGTGCCTGTGTGTGAGTGTGGAAGCCAGGCAGGAGCCGCTGGCCCAGGAAATAACTACAGGTCCTGTCCCGAGGCTGCCCCCAGCATCCCAGACAAGGAAAGTGACCTGCCCAAGGTCACACAGCTAGAAAGAGCCTGTTAAGGGTGGGCCTCGCAGTGGGCTTCCCCTCACTGCAGCCTTTTCCCTGCCCTGCTTTTGCTATGGATCAGCAGTCAGTGGCCCTGGCAACCTTGGCTGGTTCGGGTCTAGCCTGGCTGCTGTGGGGGCTCCTGGAGTAGACCCCACTCTTTCCTCGCTAGGACTACAGGTCCAGTTCCTTTATTTTTACAAAAGGGTGAACACAGTTTGCAGATAGGAGCTGCCTGTTCCCAGAGGTTGGGCTGGGGCAGGAGGAAGTGGCCACGCCAGGTCCTTTGCCCTGGCTTTTTTTTTTTTTTTTTTGGCAGGGGGTGGGGACGGAGTTTCACTCTCGTTGCCCAGGCTGGAGTGCAATGGCATGATCTCAGCTCATTGCAGCCTCCACCTCCCGGGTTCAAGCAATGCTGCCTCAGCCTCCCAAGTAGCTGGAACTACGGGTGTGTGCCACCACACCCAGCTTTTTTGTATTTTTTAGTAGAGACGGGGTTTCACCATGTTGGCCAGGCTGGTCTTGAACTCCTGGCCTTGGGTAATCCACCTGCTTTGGCCTCCCAAAGTGCTGGGATTACAGGCGTGAGCCACTGTGCCCGGCCTGCCCTGGCTTTTTAAGTCCAGGATGTTCCCTGTGGTGCCCATAAGACTTGTGAGGGCAAAGCCGGGTCTTCCTTGCACAGCCAGATGCCACCAGATCAGAGCGCGATGATATGACTACGTTACTTGGCTGCCTCCAGCCCTGTCCTCTCAGTCCTCCCCGTAGCCTTCTGTGGGGCGTGTCCTTCACGCAAGGGAAAGGGACTAGGCCTGAGGTCACCCAGCAGGGCCGTGTCCCTGGATGCAGGGTTGTATGCACTCCTGCGGCCCATGGCTACGTGCAGCACTGTGGGCTGCCTGGGCTGGGGCTGTGGCTGGACAGCAGTGCTACCTGTCCCGAGCCAGGGGCACCCGCTGCTGAGGCCCCATCACACTGCTCTTCCTGTGCTCTGGCTGGTGGCAGGGATGACTGCTGCCTCTTGGTCCCAGGGTGCAGGTTTGTAGCCAACACAGAGGCCCAGCCACTGGGGGTTTGGCCCCCTCCAGGCGGGGACCTTGACCTAGCGCAAGAAGGACCTTCTCCCCGTGCGGAAGAAGGACTCGATCTGCTCCAGGGACCGTCCCTTGGTCTCGGGCACACAGCAGCCTGTGAACACCAGGCTCACCAAGCAGATGGCCGCGAAGAAGAAGAAAGGCACCTGGAGGCCGAAGGTGCTCTGCGGGTGAAGAGCGGGGCCGGGTCACAGGGAGAAGCTCCAGGGTCCTCCTGCCCCAGAGGAGCTCGTGGGCGCTGCTGGTAGTGACCAGCCCTGTGGGGCCTTCATCTGGTCCTTCCTGTGTTCAGAGACCGCCCCCCCACACCAGGGCTCCCCCACTGTCCCCAGGACAAATCCGAAGTAGCCCTTGAAGTCTGCATCCCGTCTGCCCCTCGGCCTTCCTCAGGGGCTGGGCCCTCTGGCGTCAGCTCAGGTACCCCCTCCACACCCCCTACCCAGCGCTGGCATCCCAGCTGTTCCATGCCGCGGCCTGCAGGAGGCCCGCCCTGCAGCCTGGTGGGCACGCAGGTTCTTCTTGGACCCTCTAGGCTGATGGACTCACTCTGGGTTGCCTGCCCTCCCCCAACCCCCCTGCCCTGACCACTGCAGGGACAGCTTAGGCGCTGGCCTAGGCTGCCCTAGCCAGCTTCTCCCTCATGGGAACTTACTCTGGGCCTCACAGATTCTGGCTGGTCACAGGGCCCGTAGTTTTGAACCAGGAGGCAGGGGGAGTGGGTGGGGTTGAGGGGGGAGTGTGGCTGCTGCTGAGACCCAGCGCCCAGGAGGGCGGGAGATGAGGCACGGTGGGGAGGTGGCTTCCGGGGCCCCTGGCAGGGTCCTGGGCCATGTCCTGCCCTGGCCCAGGAGGTAACCTGACTTCCCAGAACAGTTGCCTACGCCCGTTCCTGTTTCTTATAATGAAGAGCGTTTGCTAGGCTATCACGTGACCACTCTGGGGTCTCTGAGTTCAGGGGGTGTGTGCTCATCTCCTAGGGTCACTGAGAGTTAGGGTCCTGACAGCAGGCCTTGGCACAGCCCCTGGCACTGAGAAGGGTCCTGGCCAGTCAGAGAGGGCCTAGGGGCCTGGGGCCTGGGGCTGAACACTCACCACCACTGGCAGGAAGGACTTGGTGAGGACGAAGGCGGTGAGCCAGCTGGCCAGCACGCAGAGCCCTGAGGCCACGCCACGGGCACGCAGGGGCAGGACCTCAGACATGAGCAGCCAGGTGATGGGACCCCAGCCCACGGCGTAGCCTGCTCGGAGGAGGAGGCAGGTTCAGGCCCTGTGGGGTGACTGGAGGCGGCTGTGTCTGTCTCCGCTGAGCTGCTGGAGACCCCCCTCTCCAGCCACCCCAGACACATCACCCATCCCTTAACACCCAAGACAGCCTGCCCCTCTGAGCCACCACCACACCTACCCATGATGAAGAGCATGGTGGCCAGCAGGGGCACCAGGGTGAGGTAGCCAGCGGGTGCTGCCAGGGGCTGCGCCAAGTCCCCCCAGGACTCGCTTTCCAGGCCCGCAGTGCTGTTGGGGCTCAGAGGCCTGGGGCCAAAGTGGATGTACAGCCCCAGAGTCAGGTTGGCAGCAAACATGATGGCCGCTGTGGACAGACAGGTGGCCTCGTGGGGCCAGGACCCTCTGAGCCAGCTGTTTCTCTCAGAGCTCCTTCTGCAGAGCCCCTTGATACTTGCGTGGTCCAGCTCGTGTCTGGGACTAGAGACCCCCAGCAGGGCAGCAAGCTCTGTCTCCAGCCGCGTGTTAGGCTCCCACCGTGGAGTGTCACAGCCAGTGTGTCCACTCGGAGCCCCAGCGGACCTTTCTGGACCACTGGCCTGGGCCAGGGCCCTGCCGATGCTAGGGAGGCAGGTGCTCTGCAGTTCCCAGCCACACAGCCCCACCCCGAGGCAGGCCTGCACACCCAGCCCAGCCCTGACCCATGCGGAGGAGTGGGGCAGGAGGGCTGCCTGCAGGGTGCTTACCTGAGACGAAGAGCAGCACCTTGCGGCCTGCGAGGTCCATGGTGAGGGCGGCGATCAGCACGGACAGGAGCCGCACGGCCCCAACGATGGCTGCGTCGTCCTTGGGGGGCTATCGGGGGGAGACCACCAGGGCTGAGGGACCTGCCTGCTGTTCCCATCCCCCTCCAGGACCCAGCTTGTCCCGGCAGGCATTGCAGGGGCTCAGGCCAGCAGCTCAGTGCAGTACTGAGTGGCCTGGCACCTGCAGCGTGCTGGGCATCTATACTGTCCGAGCCTATGGGGCTCCTGGGCAGGGACACATCTGCTCTGCCCACCACTATGCCCAGCTGGCACAGAATCCAGGCGTGATGATGACTTGCTGAACCGTGCTGTTACTAATCTTCAAATCTCATCTCACTTTGAGCCTTGGGGCAGGCTGATGGAGATGTGCTGCTATCTTCATCTTGCAGAGGAGGAAGTTGAGGTTCAGAGGGGAAAGTGACTTCCCTCATTAAGTGGCAGATGCCACAGGGCTCTGAACCTGGGGTCTGTGGCCTCAAGGGGTCCACGTTTCTATAAAGCTGGTTTCCTTTGTAATCCCATGTATTTTATTTAATTTTTAAAATTTCTATATGTTTTTAGAGACAGGGTCCTGCTCTGTCACCAGGATGGAGTGCAGTGGTGAGATCGTGGCCACTGCAGTCTCACACTCCTGGGCTTAAGTGATCCTCCCGCCTTGGCCTCGTGTTGGGATTTTGCCAGTATTTTATTTTAAAACACTTAAGCTTATCTTAAAAACATTCTGAGAACAGGTGAAGGCACTGGAACTGTCTCCACAAGGCCCAGATCTCAGATCTTGCTGTGGCATCCCTGACACCTGGCACAGAGCAGGTGTGGGTAAGACCAGGGGTTGGGTAAGTGCAGGAGCAGGCCCTGCCTCCCCTGCCCTGCCAGCCTCCAGGGGACCCCGTGGGTGGGCGCCGGCCGGGGCTGGGCTCTCACCAGCAGGACAGCGGTGCTGTCGAAGATGGACTGCAGGTAGACCAGGATGGGCGTGATGCCCGTCAGCTGCTGCAGGAGGCGCATCAGCAAGGCCACGGTGATGGGCCGGCACACGTGTGGGGCCCGTGCCTCAGCCCACGATACTCGGCTGCTCTGAAACACAAGGCCGCCGCTGAGGGCGTTGGGCCAGCCTCTCCAGCAGGCGCCATCCTGCCCTGGACCGCCAGGGGTTGTGTGGGAGACCTCCTTTTTCCCTCCTCCAGGAAAGAACCAGCTTACCAGGCCACCCAGGCTCTGGGAACAGCCCCCCACCCCAACCCAGGCACTTGGATTAGTGGGAACTACTGTGGTCCTGTCTTCCAGGAAAAGCCTCCACGGCCACACACAGCTGAAGTGCTGGAGGTGGGCCTGCCCGGTTCGGGCGCACACCCTCCTGCACCTGTCTCCGGACGTTGTCCTGGATCTGCTCGAACTCCCAGTGGACATCGACGTCCGTCCCACGCAGCCAGGCCAGCGCCCGCAGGGCCTCTTCGTCCCTGCCCCGAGAGAGCAGGAAGCGCGGCGAGTTGGGCATGAAGCTGAGCAGCAGGATCATGATGAGCACAGGCGCCTCCCCGGCCACAGCCAGCCAGCGCCACGGCAGCAGGAGGCCTGGGGGCGAGGGGTGGGTGAGGGGCCAGGTCCAGGCCTGGTACAGCCCCTTCCCTCTGGAGCCTCTGAATAACCTCATCTGCCCTTCAAGGTCTAGTCCAAGGGCCATCTCCTACAGGAAGCCTACCCTGATTGCCCCAGGCAGGGTGGGGCTGCAGGGATTGCTCAGCCCCTGGCACATAGTGGGAAGTCCTTGGAAAGTCTTAGGGCCAGGGCAGGATGAGGAAGGGGTAGGTTGGGCAGGCAAGGCCCTAGGCCTCCACCCAAGACCTCCACGCCCCCTCAACTGAGCAGCTGCACGCACTGTGATTTCTTTTCTATCTGGACTTCCCATCTGAGATGGCATTTGATGGAAGCTTTCTGCCGTTAAAAGATAGTCTGGCGACTGTGGGTCCAGGAGAAGCCCTGGCTGCCCCAGCTAGAGACTGGGCCTGTGGCTAGAGGGGCAGGCCCTGCCTGGAGGTGCCCAGCAAGGTGCTGACTGAGTGGGGCCGGGATGCCAGATCTCTTGCCTCTCAGCCCAGGATCTGTTCTGGGACAAATCATTCCCTTTCCACCCACGTCTACCTTGGCGGCACCCACCCCTCCCACCAGCCTGCACACAGGAGTGCGGGGCCATACTTGCCAAGGGCGTAGAGGGACAGGGATCCGAACACTGCCATGAGCTGGGGTGTGGCCCCCAGAGCCCCACGAACGCCTGGGGGAGCAATCTCAGACACGTACACCTGCAAGACACAGCCGCCGCACCAGGTTTTGCTGAAAATACTGGTTCCTAGGCCCGGCCGAGATGGGAGAGTCAGCCCCTGTGAACCCCGGAAAGTGGGAAGTGGAGGCTTTCTGGTGGGGCTGAGTCCTGGTCATGACTCACTGCAAGACCTTGGGCGGCCTGCCTGATCTCTCTCTGTCCTCAGTTTCCCTAACTGTGACGTGGGTGGAAGTACGCAGCTCGGAAATGGGCAGCATGACGCTGGGAAGGAGGCCCGAGGGCTCCCAGGCTTCAGGGCTGAGCAGGTGAGTCCATGCCTCCCAGTGAGTTTTGTCTCCTCTGCTGGGCTCACCACCAGGCCCCGTGTGGAGTACCACATAAGATAAGAAGGTCCCGGGGAGGGTGTAGGGCAGGGACTTCCCTCTCCTACCCATTGCTCAATGCGGATTTTCTCCAATTGAGTAATACATCTGACCGGTCAAGAAACGGGGTAGAAGGCTTGGAAAGTCCAGAGTGGGGGCAGCTGGGGACCTGGAGACAATTTCCCCCAAATTAGCTGCCCTGCTGGGGGTGAGCTGAGGCGCCCTGGGCATCCGCAGGGAAGGCAAACAATTCTCATTGCCCAGAAGGCATGGAGGCTGGGAGGCCTTAGTCAGATGGAGGCTCAGCACCAATACAGAGGCATTGGGGCGCCTGGGTGGGAAGGCCTGGCCTTACCGGGATGCAGGCAGCTGTGAGCCCCCCGGCGAAGCCCGTCAGCGTCCTTCCGAGCAGCAGCATCCAGAGGCCGTGCGCACCCGCCATGAGCGCATAGCCGGCCGCCGACGGCACAGCTGAGAACATGATGCTCAGCTTCCGGCCCAGGAGGTCGTTGAGGATCATGGCACTCAGGCCTCCGGCCGCTGCTCCCAGGGTGAACACGGACTGCAGGGGAAGGGGGTGCAGGGCAGATATGTCTGGGCACTTGGCACCCCAATCTCATCAGAGTCCAGGGACAGCTTCTTCCCTAGGCCGACCCCAGGAGCTGGTCAAGCACTTGGCCAAGTCAAGCACTTGAAACAGGGAGCCTCCTGTCTTCAAGGAACAGCCATTTGTTAGGGATGCCCAAACGGGGAATTCTGCTCTAAGGAAGAGGTGCTGCGCCACATATCCACAGTGGTTCTGTCCAGCCTGATGTTTAAATGTCTAATATTTTAATACAGGAGAATTCTGTGACTTGAAGGTACTGGGCTTTAAGATTTGGAGGTTCTTAAGTTCCCTGTACAGCAGCAACTGGGACCCCCTCTGGACTCTGCTAACTGGTAGTGGGACCTGGGCACATTGCCCAGCCTGTCTGCACCTCAGTTTCTTCAGCTGTCTTATGGGGAGAGCGCAAGTTCTACCTCGTGGCGTTGGCCCTGAGAATCAATGAACGTTCAGTGCCCAACACATGCCTGGCACATAGGAAGTGCTCAGTAAACCTTGGGAATTTTTATCTTAACTACTATGTTAACAACTCTACATATGAGGCTATTAAGATTATAATTTTAGACTCTGGGACTCTGGGATCTTCCTCTCCATCAGCCCACAATCTGTCCTGCGGACTCTCCTTGCCCCAGCCAGTGCCTCTCCCCACTGACACCTGATACCCTTGCCCCCATCCAGCCAACTGTGGGTGTGGGGACCCGGGGAAGCCTCAGCCCCACCTAGTATAGACCCTGACAGCCACCTCCCCACCTGCTCCTTCCCTCACCCTCTCCACTGGCTTTCAGTTCCTCATTTCAGAGGAATCCTGTAGCTTTACCCCACCCACTAGTGGCCTGGATGGCTGGGGGAGGGGGGACCAGGGCCCTGGAGGGACCCCCAAGGTGGAGAATTTGGGAGGTTCCTAGCTGGAGATAAGGCTCAGCAGGTCCCTCCTTCCTGCACCCACCCTCCTCCAGAGGATGGTCCTTACCCCAAACCAGGATGCCTGGGATTTGGTCAGATGCAGGTCAGGATCCAAGGAGCGCTCCAGGGCTGGGATGACAGGGGATGTGTAGACCAGGGCATACCCAAAGCTGAAATTGCCGAGCACTGCGGCGAAGGTGGCCAGGAACACCCTTTTGTTCTGCAGGGTCCTGGTGATGGTGGCGGACAAAAAGACCAGGGTCTCTGAGTCCCTCCTCCAGGGACCATTGCCTTTTCTGAACCCAGTGGCTGCCCGGCTCAGCGGGCAGTGCTAGGGAGGCCTGGGTCCAAGGCCATTCACGTTCCCAGGGCCTGAGCCCCAGCTCCCCTGGGAAATTCCCAGGCCATTGTTAGCTCATCCGCAGTGGCTGAGCCTCTGGTGCTGGGGCCTTTTCTCCGGAAGAGGAGGCTCTGGTTCTGCCCCCAGGGCGGCGGCTGGAGGCTTGCTGTGTGACCTCAGGCAGAACCCCTGCTCGCTGGGGCCTCAGTCTCACTGTCTGTGGCAGTGGGGGGCTGGGCCCGGTACTCTCGTGGATCGTTCCTTCCCTTAGGGGGACCAGTTCCTTAAATAGGAGTAGCGTGTCTGGGACAGGAGGGAGCCAGATGGCCCCTCGGTGGCGACTAGGTCAGGGGAGGCCCAGGGCGGGAGCCTGCCGCCGGCTGGAGGGAACCAGGGCCACCCCCAGGCCCCACCCGCAGCCCCCAACCTAGCGACTCTCACCCGACCCGCGCCCTGTCCCCTGGCGACGGGGGCGGCTTCTCGGGGAAGGTGTCGTAGTCCGGGCCCTCGGCTCCCAGCAGCGGCTCCTGCATGGCCGGGTCTCTCTCGGGGCGAGCGGAGGGCGCTCAGACTGGAGCAGCCGCCCGGGGCCAGCAGCTCCGAGGGCACCGGCCAGGCTCCGCCCCTTGGCCGCTATTGGCTGTGGGACGGCCCTGCAGAGACACGCCGGCCAATGGGGCGGCCGCAGGCTGTCCTGATGCTCGGATGCGGACCCGGCTTCCCCGGGCGCGGCCGGCACCGCGTGCGCCCCCGAAGGTCACGCCCCAAGACAGGATGGGGGTCCCAGGGCGGAGCCCCTGCTGGATCGTCCGGGGCCCCCGCGGAGCGCCGGAAGCGGCTCACCCGGCCCGGCTCTTGCAGGCGTGACTGCGGCAATGCGCGCAGCCCCTGTCGTACTCGCTCCCGCGGGGTGGAAACCGAGGCCCAGAGAGGCGAAGCCGAGCGCCAGGGTCACAGCGAATGCGCACCTCGCTCCTCCTTACGCTCTAGCCCTCCCCGTCGCGTGGCGTCTCAGGGCCACCTCTGCCCTGGCTCTCCCTGGCACCAGGGAATCGGGGTGTGTCAGGGCAGCAGCGGATGTGCGGGACGAAGGAGGCAGGAGGGGCCGGCGAGGCGCTGTGGGCAGCTCCAGTGGGCGAGGTCTGTATCCTCCACCCCAGGCTCTGGTGGTAGAAATAACCTGAGCTCGTGACACGTAACCCAGGTAGTAAGATAACATTGAAAAATAAGAAAAGCAGAAATGGAAAATTCCCGGGAAGACCGTCCTCAAAAAATCCCACAGCAGTTCCACCTCTCCCTTTGGGCCTTTTCGGGAAGAGGACGGAATCACGCCCTGCTCTGTTGGATGGACGTGCCACACACGCTTTTAAACGGAGCCTTTGTTGCTGAGTATTTGGGTCATTTCCCATTTTAGCTATTAACATGGTAAAGCATTTTTAAAAGTTAGAATTCCCTTTTATTATGATTGAAATACAACCATAATAGAACAATAAAATCACATCCATCTCCCGTCAGCCTGACCTTGATGGCGTTTTAGCCTCTTCCAGTCTTTTCCTCATGTGCCTATTTTGCATATTTGCTATTGGGGCCCCCATTAAACTGTGCAGCCCCTTTACGTCACCGTTTTCTTGCCATCAAGATCATAGGCTTTGGACTCAGGCACACCCTGGTATGGTGATCAGGCTGCACAGTCCTCGTGGCCATATATATACGTATATACATATATATGTGTATGTATTTTTACATATCTATATGTGTATTTTTTTTTTTTTTTTTGAGACGGAGTCTCGCTCTGTTGGCCAGGCTGGAGTGCAGTGGCACGATCTCAGCTTACTGCAACTTCCACCTCCCGAGTTCAAGCGATTCTCCTGCCTCAGCCTCCCAAGTAGCTGGGATTACAGGCATGTGCCACCACGCCCGGCTAATTTTTGTATTTTTAGTGGAGACGGGGTTTCACCATGTTGGCCAGCTTGGTCTTGAACTCCTGACCTTGTGATCCTTCCGCTTCAGCCTCACAAAGTGCTGGGATTACAGGCGTGAGTCACCGCACCCGGCCTTCTCTTTTTTTAAAATGTATTTTTTTTCTTTTAAAATCAACTTTAGGCCAGGTGCAGTGGTGTGTGCCTGTAATCCCAGCATTTAGGAGGCCAAGGTAGGAGAATTGCTTGATGCCAGGAGTCTGACACCAGCCTGGGCAACAAAGTGACCCTGTCTCTACAAAAAGCTAAAAAAGTTGTCCAGGTGTGATGGCAAGTGCCTGTGGCCCCAGCTACTCGGAAGGCAGAGGTGGGAAGATTGCTTGAGCCCAGGAGTTTGAGGCTGCGGTGAGCTGTGATCACACCACAGCACTCCAGCCTGGGTGACAGAGGGAGAGCCTTCTTGAAAAAATAAAATACAAGAAAAATCAACTTTGTTAAGCTATAATTTATATACAGTAAAATGAATCCATTTTAAATATAGGTTGATGAGTTTTGACAATTGTATAACCCCAAACACCCCCAATCAAGATATAAAACATTTCCACCTTTTCTTTCTTTCTTTTATCTTTTTTTGAGACAGAGTCTCTCTCTGTTGCCCAGGCTGGAGTGCAGTAGTGCGATCTCGGCTCACTGCAACCTCCGACCACTGGGTTCAAGCGATTCTCCTGCCTCAGCCTCCCGAGTAGCTGGGATTACAGGCGCCCGCCACCACACCTGGGTAGTTTTTGCATTTTTGGTAGAGATGGGGTTTCACCATGTTGGCCAGGCTGGTCTCAAACTCCCAACATCAGGTGATCCTCCCGCCTTGGCCTCCCAAAGTGCTGGGATTACAGGCGTGAGTCATCACGCCCAGCCCATTTCCACCCTTCTAGAAGGTTTCTTTGTGCCTTTCTGAGGTCAACCTCCTTTCCCTGCTCCCCAGTAAACTATTTTTTTTTTTGAGAGGGAGTTTCACTCTGTCCCCCAGGCTGGAGTGCAGTGGTGCGATCTCGGCTCACTGCAAGCTCCGCCTCCCAGGTTCATGCCATTCTCCTGCCTCAGCCTCCTGAGTAGCTGGGACCACAGGTGCCCGCCACCATGCCCGGCTAATATTTTTTTGTATTTTTAGTAGAGATGGGGTTTCACCATGTTAGCCAGGATGGTCTTGATCTCCTGACCTCGTGATCTGCCGGCCTCGGCCTCCCAAAGGGCTGGGATTACAGGCATGAGCCACCGCGCCCGGCCTCCCCAGTAAACTATTAATCTGCTTCCTGTGACGATAGATTACAGTGGTCTTATAAAGAGAACCTATGTGAAGCACTGTTTTTTTGTCTGCCTTCTTTTTTCAGCATGTTTATGAAATTTATCAGTGGTTTGCTGATGTTCAGTGGTTTGTTCTTATTTGCAGCCGCGTAGTGTAGTGTTTTACGGATGTAGCACAGTTTTTGGCTAAAAGAATGAGCCGGTGTGAGCCTTCTTGCACAGAACCCTGCTTAACAGCCTTTTTTTTTTTTTTTTGAGATGAGTCTCGCCCTTTCCCCCAGGCTGGAGTGCAGTGGTGCCATCTCAGCTTACTGCAAGCTCCACCTCCTGGGTTCACGCCATTCTCCTGCCTCAGCCTCCTGAGTAGCTGGGACTACAGGCGCCTGCCACCACGCCCAGCTAATTTTTTGTATTTTTAGTAGAGACGGGGTTTCACCGTGTTAGCCAGGGTGGTCTCCATCTCCTGACCTCGTGATCCGCCCGCCTCGGCCTCCCAAAGTGCTGGGATTACAGGCATGAGCCACTGCACCCGGCCCTGTTTCACAGCCTTTTAATGTTAAAGGCTGGGTGGATGAGCTTGAATTTGTAATGAATCTTCTGTCATGGGCATCAAAGCTGTTTCAAACTGTAAGGGTAGAAAAGGTGGAATCCGTTTCCTCACCCATTGTTACAAGACCAGCAGATCCACATGCCTGCTCCACCGTGACACCACGACACACCAGTACACCGTGCAGCAGGGTTCGCAGCAGGGAAGAGTTTAATGATTGCAGGGCTCTGAGCAAGGAGATGGGAGGAGATCCTCAAATCCATCTCCCCTAGGAGCTTTGGGCTGGGGCTTTTAAGGGGATCATGGAGGGCGATGGGCTTTAGAAGTGGGTTGTTGATAGGTCTGGGGATGGGAGGTAAAATCATCAGGAGGTGGAAAATGTATTCTTTGGTGAATCAGGTCCTCCTGGGGTCCTTGAGACCAGCTGTCATCAGTAGTTTCTTTCTTTTTTTTTTTTTGAGACAGAGTCTCACTCTGTCACCCAGGCTGGAGTGCAGTGGTATGGTCTCCACTCACTGCAACCTTCACCTTCTGGGTTCAAGCGATTCTCCCACCTCAGCCTCCAGAGTAGCTGGGAGTACAGATGCATGTCACCACACCTGGCTGATTTTTGTATTTTTAGTAGAGATGGGTTTTCACTATGTTGGCCAGGCTGGTCTCGAACTTCTGACCTCGTGATCTGCATGCCTCAGCCTCCCAAAGTGCTGGGATTACAGGCGTGAGCCACCGCGCCCGGCCGGTGTCAGTAGTTTCATTGGTACACAGGACCCAAAAGAACATCTCAAATGGAAACTTTTGACTGGGCGCCTGGCCAACATGGTGAAACCCTGCCTCTACTAAAAATACAAAGAATTAGCCAGGCATGGTGGCGTGAGCCTGTAATCCCAGCTGCTTGGGAGGCTGAGGCGAGAGAATCACATGAATCTAGGAGTGGAGGTTGCAGTGAGCCGAGATCGTGCGGTTGCACTTCAGCCTGGGCAATCAGAGCAAAACTCTGTCTCAAAAAAAAAAAAGGAAAAGGACATCTTTGCAATGTTAAAGTTGTTATCTATATCTACAGGGCAGTGAGGGAGAGCTACAATCTTGTAACAGAGTCTCTGTGATTCTAAGGCAACAGGCACCAAAAAACTTTGAGGTCAGAGAGCAAGTTGACCTAGCGATGGATGCTGAATGTGCTACAAGCCTGGTTTATTCTCATTTCTCCTCCTCTCTTCTTCCTTGATTAATTTTATAAAGTTTATAGGGATGGTCTCATCATCATCAGGGCCATGGGTGACAGTTCTATAACAAAAGACAGGTTCACAAGAGAAAAGCACACCAGATTTATTTAATCAAAGCTTTATGTGACAGGGAGGTGTCAGAAGTGGAGACTCAGAGACCCAGGGAAGATGGTCCCTGTGCTTAGAGTTGGTGGAGAACAGGCAGCCGTGTGGACAGGTGTCGGACGGCAGGGGATGCCTGTGGGGATGGACTGCGAGGCTGGCGAGGCCAGCTGTGCAGATCCCCCTTGGCCTCTCTGTGCAGTGCTTCTCCCCCCAGGGATGGGGTAGAACCCCCGGAGGGAGGGTCTTTTACGACCCACAGTCAGACAAGGTGGGCATGGCCAGCTCTTCCCCAGAAAGGCAGGTAGCGTTCGAGTCATGTTTCTAGGTCTCATGGCTGGCTTTGGGGGAGAGGGACTCTAGTGTCCATGGCCCACCTAGGGAAAGAGGAATTCTGGCTTCTGCAACTTGCTGCTGGGGAGAAAGAGGGCGGGAGAAAGGAGGGGAGGAGAAGGTTGGAAGAAGACTTCGGATGCACCAGAGGCCTTCTGGTTTCCTTTAGTTCTGAATCCTCATGCCAGGCACCCTGCTTGTGGGGATCATGGTCTGAACCCCAACAAACCATTTTTGCTGTTAAAATTAACATGATGGGGCCGGCCAGGTGCAATGGCTCACGCCTGTAATCCCAGCACTTTGAGAGGCTGAGGCAGGCGGATCACCTGAGGTTGGGAGTTTGAGACCAGCCTGACCAACATGGAGAAATCCTGTCTCTACTAAAAATACAAAAAAAAAAAAAAAAAAAAAATTAACATGATGAACATCTTTGTTTTTAAAGAATAATTTCCTTCTGCAGGGACTGCTTTTGTGACCTCTAAAGCCTGTTTTAACCTTCTCATGGGGAAGCTCACCTTCCTCTCTCCTGTCCTTCTCTCCTGGATCTGTGACAGACAGGCTGCTTGGGGACCTGGCCTCTGAGGGGGTGTGAAGGCACCCCCCAATCCATAGTGCTGGGCACACAAAGGGTGTCTGGAAGCCCCTTGCTGACTTGAACTCAGAGTCCTCTCCCCTTCCGTGGCCTCCCGCCCCAGGCAGGAATCTCAGTTCAGAGCAGCAGAAAGAGAGCTGGTCTGGGGGGACCCTGGGTCTGCTCTGGTGCCTGGGACGGCCACCACCCCTCTCTCAGTGCTGGCCACACCCACAGCGAGTTCTCCCTCCTTTCCTGTCATTCCTGCTGGGCGCCTCCCCGAGGAAGGCCCCAGGGGGGTGGGTCCTGCAGAGGGAAGCTCGAGGGGGTGCACTCAGCTGCCACTGTCCGCCGCCTGTCCCTGGGGAGCATGGCAGCTGAGGGCAGGCCCCTCCCAGGACATGGGACCCCCCATGGCTGGAAGGTGACTGGGCCTTGCACACCCAGCTGGGGTAAGAGGGAGGGGCCTGGAGTCCAGCTTGGGGGCAGGATCTGGAGGGGGCTGGGTGGAGCATCCCTGGCGGTGGTTTGCTGGTCCAGGGCGCTGGGGCTTAAATGATCTGGTCCAGACTCTGCCCTGTTGCGGGGGAGGGCTGGGGCCTGGCACTTGGAAGCTGTTTCCCAGGTCTCCACGGGGGCTGCCATAGGGGCCTCTGCCAATCTCCGGGGCTTCTCAGGAGCCACTGGTCCGCTAAGCCTCACTTTTCTCATCTGTAGGATGGATGCCACCTGTGCCCACCTCACCGCTGCCGTGCAGGGGGAGGGCAGCTGGCCGCGTTGATGCAGTTTGACAAAGGTCCCTCCAGACCAGTCTGACAGCTTCCCAGTTCCCCGGAAACGGGCCAAGCTGCATTCCAGGCCTGGCACCAGGGCCGAGGTCTCCGAGGGGACAGTAGGGCTGCCGTGTCTTGGGAAGGTGGGAGGCGGGGAGCAGATGCCGGGAATACTCATCCCACTCTGGGGGTCTTCTTCACCCCTGTTTTATGGAGGAGAAGACTGAAGCTCAGAGCTGCTGCCCAGGGTCACTTCTAGGTCACCTCATGCCCCCTGCTTTGGCCTATGCAACCCACATCAGGCCTTCCTGAGGGAGCAGACCAGAGGGACAGCAGAGGGTGGGCAGGTGGGGCCTTCCCCGAGGAGGTCCTGCCCCTTGCCTCCTCCTTCCCACAGATGGGCTGCCCAGGGCCCCCAGGGGAGAAGGTCTCTGGCACCCAGCTGTCCGGTGTCCCCAACGTCCCCAGAGATGTCCCTGGTGATGACCCTGAAGACTCGGACCTGGTGCCTTCCGTGACCCTGGCGCCTTCCGTGACCCTGGCTGCAGCCCTTGTCCTGCTGTTCCTCCTGCTCTCGGCCTGGCTGGTGTGGGACGGACCTTGCCAAAGCTGCTGCTAATGTGGGCTCCAGGAAAGTGTTGGGGGCCTGGGCCTGGCACGGAGTTAGGGGAGGCACAGCGGGGCCTCCCAGCGACACCCTGGGCTGCACTCCATTCCACCCTTTCCCAAAGCAGCCCCAACGGGACCCCAAGACTCCCCAGCGGGGCCCCTGGGTGGCACCGGACTCTGCCATTGCAGGCAGGGGGCGTGCTCCTGGGGACGGCCCCGGATGTTGGGCTGAGAGCCTCGCGCAGCCCCGGCGCTCAGGCAGATCGGGCTCAAATCCACTTCCTCTCCAGGCTGGCTGCAGGACCTTGGCCCCGTCTGAATCTTTGCAAGGCCCTTTTGGGTATCGCAGTTAAAGCCAAGTGACCCCTAGGTACTGGTGAAATGAGCGGGTGAGTTGGAAGATGGGGGTTCTAGTCCAGGCTCTGCCCGTGCTGGGCTGTGACATGGGCAGGTGCCTTTTCCCACCTGGATCCTGGTTTCCCTGGTCATCCAATGGGGCTCACAATACCCCACTTCTGGGCCCTGTTGGGAAGGCAGGTGCCGTGGGAGGCTGGGGCTGGGCCAGGCGGGTGCCCTGGTCTTTGCTGCCACCTGGTGGCTACAGATAGAATCGCATCGTCTGCTGCATGGTGCCCTCTGGGTAGTCCAGGCCAGGGCTGAGGAGCTGAAGGCTTTTTATGTTTTGGTGCAGAACATTTTGAGATTGTGGATGTGGATAAGCACAAATCCTGTTACCCAGAGAGAACAGATTTTTAACATTTTCTATTTATCTTCTTTCCCCATCTCCATATCTATAATCTCCTTAACAAAATCATAGGGCGGAGGTAAGTTGTGAGCCGGGCTCTAGAGTCAGAGAATGCTGCCTGTGGCCCTGGCCCAGGGCCCTGATGCTCTTTTGTGCCGCAACAGCTCCCTCCCTGACCTCGACATAGGAAGCAGGGAAGCATTTTTAGGGCTGGGAGGAGTGTGGGAGACCTTCGGGCTGGAAGGTCTCCTGGAGGCTCCAAGACCCCCCACCGCCGTCTCTCACGGAACAAGTACTTGTCAAGATTTCTACTGTGGGCCGGGTGCGGTGGCTCAAGCCTGTAATCCCAGCACTTTGGGAGGCCGAGGCAGGTGGATCATCTGAGGTCAGGAGTTCGAGACCAGCCTGACCAACATGGAGAAACCCCGTCTCTACTAAAAATACAAAATTAGTTGGGCATGGTGGCGGCCACCTGAAGTCCCAGCTACTCAGGAGGCTGAAGCAGGAGAATTGCTTGAACCCAGGAGGCAGAAGTTGCGGTGAGCCGAGATTGAGCCATTGCACTCCAGCCTGAGCAAAAGAGTGAAACTCCGTCTCAAAAAAAAAAAGAAAAAAAAAATTTCTACTGTGAGCCAGCCCCTGCGGGGAAACAGGGTAAACAGGATCCCTGACGGAGCTGGGGTATGACCAGGAATGGGAAGGCTGGACTCACTGCAGCATGCTGGGGCTGGGCTGGGTAAGTAGGGCCTGCAGGAAGGGGCAGATGAGCTCTAGGGTGTAGGAGGAGTAGGCCAGGGCCGGGGTCCCCAGGGAGGCTGTTCCAGGCAGAGGAACAGACTATGGGGAGTTCAGAAGTCACTCTGTGTTCTTCTGCACCAGCTACTGCTCCCCTCAGGGAACTGGAGGCCTCTGGAGCCTCCGAGAAGCAGCCACCGAGAAGGGGCAAGTGAGCGGCAAGGCCGTGGTTCCACATTCCCAAACCACGCTTTGTCCTTCCTGGGGTCCCCGTAGGTGGGGCTCTTCTCCCTCCTCCAGCTTTCTGAAGCCAAAGTACACACCTCGGTGTCCATGATGGGGCAGCCGGGGGGCTGTACGCTTCCTCTGTCTCTGTCTCTGGGCAGACCATAGTCCAGCGTGCTGCCCCTACTGCCCTGGAAAAGCCGAGCCGGGAAGCGAGCGGTGGCTTTAGAGGCGTCGTGCAGAGGGGGAGACGGAGGTAGAGCCTGGAGGTTTGGGGCACCTCCTGAAGCAGTGGGGTGGCCTTTCAGGTGGGGGGACTGAGAGAGCAAAGGCCTACAGGCTAGACCGGGGCCTCCCTGAGCTGTCATAAGCAGGACAGGACGTGGGGGCGCGCCACGGAGCCGCCTCCCTCCCCTGCCCATCCTGCCTGCTACAGGAAGGGCACACCCGGAGAAAGGAGGGAGGCCGGTTCCTGGCAGAGCAATGTTGAGGCTGATCCTCCCTGCTTCCCCCCACAAGCCTCTCTGTGAGCCTCCTCCCTGTCCCGCACACCCACCTGGGGGATGCCGCAGATTCTCAGAATCAGGCTCTACATGGCCCCAAGCAGCACATGGCCTGGCGGAGGCAGCAAGCATGGCCGCCGGAGCCTCTGGCCTTCTGCCCAGGGAGCAGGGGCCCCTTGGGGGCTGTTCTCTCTGCTCCCTCTGTCATGTCCCCTCTCTGTTGGTGGAGGAGAGTGGCTGCAGGCAGGCGCCTGACTCCCCCAGCTCCACACGGCTCCAGCTTTCTCTGCCTCTCCGTGTTCACCCCTCAACGCATCTTGTCAAATGGAGACCTCGAAGGCTGGGTGCAGTGGCTCAGGCCTGTAATCCCAGCACTTTGGGAGGCCGAGGCAGGTGGATTGCTTGAGGACAGGAGTTCGAGACCAGCCTGGGCAACATGGCTAAACCCCGTCTCTACAAACAATTTAAAAATTAGCTCGGTGTGGTGGCACACGCCTGTAATCCCAGCTACTCAGGAGGCTAAGGCAGGAGAATCGCTTGAACTCAGGAGGTGGAGGTTGCAGTGAGCTGAGATCACGCCACTGCACTCCAGCCTGGGTGACAGAGCAAGACTTTGTCTCAAAAAAAAAAAAAAAGAAGAAGAAGTAAAAATGGAGACCCTGAGACCCAGCTTCTGAGGTCGGGGGGTGGAGTTAGTAACTCACAGTACGGGCTGGTAGAGTCTGCCAGGGTGGTCTGGGCTGGGCTGTTGGGGATTTCAAACCCACGTCCCTCTTCGCATCCCGTCAGAGGCTGCCCGAGGCAGAGGCAGAACCTGCGGCTTCTTCCTCCCAAGTGCTGAGATCAGGTCCGAAAGTTCCAGTCATTCGCACTCCTAGAAGTGGCTTCCAGCCTTGGCCCAGGAGCCATCAGGACCAGGGACGAGGGCTGCAGGGAAGCCCAGGTACGCAGGCCGAGGAGCCCATGTCTGCCCCAGAGCAGGGCAGCAGGAGGATGGCCTCTGGCCCTTGCCACCCTGGGCCTCAGCCCTGCCTGCAGGCCCAGTGCTAACGAGAAACGCAGGCCGACCAGGGCAGTGTATGCCTGCTCTGTGCGTTTGTATTTCTGACCAGCGCCCATGAGAAGGCTGTGTGGTTTCCAATGCATTTCCAGGGGCCAACTCATTCCACCCGCCTAGCTCTGGTGGCTCCTGCAGGCCAAGCCCTCGCAGAGAGGGCCTGGGGTGAGAGCAGGCATCTCCGTGCAGCTTGGCCAGGAAGGAATCGCATCCGCAAGGAAAATATTGTTCTGTATAATTCAGTGGCCCGTTTTATAAACATTGTGGTTCTACCTTGGGGTTTTTCCCGCCTTGTCTCCTACCTCCCCTCCCCACCTTCCAGGGGCTGCTGGGCAGCCAGATGCCTGAGGTTAGGAAAGTATGTGCTTTTGCCGGGCTAGACAGTGCAAAGGGTGACAGGGTGGGCCTGGGGACGGGGCTCAGCCAGCCAGAGAGAGTTCTGGGGTGGGGTTGGCAGGACTGCAGCTCAAGCTGGTTTGCAAAGAGGTGTGAGAGCAGGCAGCCCGCCAGAGCGTGTGTGCGTGTGTGTGTGTCTCTGTGTAGGGATGTGCCTATGTGTGTTTGCCTGTGTGTGTGCCCGTGTGTGTGCATGTGTATATATGTGTGTTTATGTGTACATGGGTTCTGTGTGTTTGGATGTGTGTCTTTAACCAGGAAGCTGGGTATGGAGTGACACTGGCATCCTTTCTACCAGCCTGGATGTGGGCTGGTGGGTGTCTGCAAGGCCAGGTTAAAGTGGCCCATAGAGGGGCAAGGCAAGCTCCCCCCTCGGGGAAGAGGCTGCTCTGTGCCATTGTTGAGAGAGCGGGCATGGGGACAGATGGACTCCAATCCAGCCTGTATTTCCAGCACTCCCTAGTTGAGTGGCTTTGGGAAAGTCACTCTTCCTCCAGGTCAGTCACCGGGGGCTGTGGGGCTATACTGCCACCTCCATTCCTTTCTGCTTCCTTCTGAAAGGACCCTAATTTTGCTTGGGGATGGCAATGAGCCTTCCCTGCGGCCAGGTGGCCACGTGTCGGTGCAGAGGCCACGAGGGCTAGACAGGAGGGTCTGGGGCAGCTCTTCCTGATTAGAGAGGTAAAGTCTCACTGGAAAACGTTTTGGGTCCTGCCCTCTTTTTCCTGCCTGGAATCCCGTCGCGTGGCCGGGGGAGGCAGCTGCTCACTGGCAACCATGAGGGTGAGACCCAGTCTTGAGGCTGAGACCGAGGCAGGAGGGTGGGACCCACGCTACGCTGCTGGGGAAGGAAGCAGGCAGGGGCTCTCAGGCAGTGTCTGGAGGCTGGATGTCCATGTGGAGTGATGGGGTTGGCTTCTGTTTGCTGCAGCCTCATGCACTCCTGCTGGACACCCGGTGTCACTCTCTCTTCATCTGGGGATTGAGGGACCTGGAGGCTGGAAGGGGCTGGCTCATGGGTGTGCTCTGGATCTAGGCACCCTCCTCACTGCCACACCCTGAGGGGCACTGGGGAATCGTCCTCAGAGGCGTGCAGGGGTGCTGTCGGGACAGTCGGGCCCTACTGCTTCAAGGCTGCAGGAGGAGGATGGGGAGGATCTGGAGGGGGAGGAGGAGCTGGAGAAGGAGAAGCAGGGAGAAGAAGGAGGAGGAGGAGAGGGAGGAGGGGGGGAAGGTGAGGAAGAGGAGCTGGAGGAGGAAGAGGGGAAGGAGGTGCTGGAGGAGGAGGGGAGGGGGAGAAGGAGGAGTTGGAGGAGGATGGAAAGGAGGAGAGGGAGGAGGAAAAGGTGGAGGAGGGAGGAGGAGGAGTTGGGGGAGGAGGATGGAAAGTAGGAGAGGGAGGAGCAAAAGGTGGAGGAGGGAGGAGGAGGAGTTGGGGGAGGAGGAAAGGGAGGAGGACAGTGAGAAGGAGAAGCTGGAGGGGGAGGAGGAAAAGCTGGAGGATGAGGGGGAGGAGGAGTTGGAGGAGGAGGGGGAAGGAGGAGCTAGAGGGAGAGGAGGGGGAGGAGGAGGGGAGGAGGAACTGGAGGAGGACTTGGAGGAGGAGGGAGGGAGGAGGACAGCCTGGGTGGGAAGTTGCACTTGGCCCAGCTCCCAGAGAGGTGGGTGGCTTTAGGTCATGCGTTCATCTGAGACCTAGTACAACCTAGGACCCTGGGGCCCTGTGCCGGTCACTGTGCCTCTTCCAGCCTCGGTATCCTCTGGAAGGTGAGAATGAAAAACACCCAATGACACTCAGACTGGACAGGAGCAGGTACGCAGACAGCAGATGGCCAGGTGCACAGAGGTGTCGCCTGACTTCCTCACCGGGACGGCATGGGGTGGGGCTCCTCCTGCAGGCGAAGCCCGCCCGGGACTGGGCTCTGGTGGGTTCTCTCTCTTTTCCTTCAACCAAAGACCTGGCTGGACACCCCCCATCTGACACTCCGGGGGCTTTCAAGGGGCTTCAGGCAACCCACATGCATTCTGGGCATCCCATTTAGGGGGATGAAGAAGGAATTGGATAAGGCAAGGGTGGGGCTGGCCCGTCTCCTCTGCTGGTGCATCAGCCCCTCCTAGGGACACCACTGTCCTTGACCCCTCTGCAGGCCAATCAGCCCTCCTTGGGAAGCCGCCGTCCTTGCCCGCTCTGCTCCTGGGGTCCCACCCAAGCTTCAATCCTCGCTGTGTGGTCTTCCCTCCGTGAGCCTTCATTTCCTCATCGGTAAAATGGGGGAGAGGAGAGCGCGGGGGTCAGCCCTGAGCCTGGCTGGTTGGCTACTTAATGGGCTTCTGGTACCTTGACCACCATCTTTGACAGCCTCAGTTTACAGATGAGGCCCTGAGGCCTGGAGGAAAGGATTAGGCTGCCTGGGATGTGGGTGAGAGGTCTGATTCTGACCCGGTGAAGTGAGCTCCTGTCCCCTCTGGGGTTCCCCAGCAGGCATTAAGGGAGGGGTCAGACGAGGTCCCCCTACCGTGGCCAGATGTGCAGCGACCTTGGGCTGTAACCTCAGGGGGTTCGCGCCCCCCACAGCCTGCTGGGGACTGACCAGGCCTGGGGGAGACTGGGGGAGCGAGGGGCTGGGAGGGAATACCACCTGGCCGGACGAGGCCCACACCGCCCTGCCAGCCTGGCATCTCTGCTCTCCCAGGCTCAGCCAACACCCGCTCTAGGACTCAGCCAACTATTTGTGGGCTGCTAAGTAGCATGACAGCTGCTTTTCTTGCTAAAGTATGACATTACATTTTTCCGGATGGCCGGGCACTTCCTGGCCTGAAGTGTGCTAAGTGACAGCCTCACTCTGTCCCGCTGCCCCCCGAGTCCCTGCCCGCCTCCCTGCTTTGTCCAGGCTGGCTTGCAGGGCCAGGCCGAGACCCGTCCTGGCCTGTGTTCAGACAGAGCCTAGTACGGGCCCCCAGGGCTGCAGGTGGCCCAGGAAACTTCCCCGGGGTTATTTTTGGCCTCTGTGCTGGCCCATGGACTCCCTGCCAAAAGCAATTACTGAATTTTCATCTTGTTTTGCTGATGGTTTAGACTATGTCAAAAATGTTCCACTGGAAGGCCTGAGGGCACCTCGGGCTGGGGGATGTGGGGCTCGGGAGCCCAGCTGTGGCCGGGTCCCCGGAATAGATCTCTGGGGTTGCTGGCGAGAAGAAGGAGGACAGGGGAGCCGGGGCCTGTTTGTTTGTAGCTGCCACTGGGTGCTTCCCACACGCACAGCGTGCTCGGCTGGTGGTCATGCTCCCTGCGCCCTCTGCCAGCTGTGCGTGTCCTTCTCTCCCACTTTACAGAAGAAGAAACAGGTTCAGGGAAAGGGCCGAGGGCATGCCCAGGCTGCACTCTGTTCTGTGGGCTGCCGCACTTCCAGCGCAGAAGGATTTCCCTGGCTCAGGGGTGGCAGGGACTGGGGGCTGGGGAGGCCACGGGGAACAAGGCAGGGTCTGCCCAGGCCCTCTTCTCACTGCCCGGGGCGAGGGGTGTCCGAACCAATCAGATCTTTCCTAAGTTAAATGTCTGTGTTGCGGGCTTCGGCTACTCTGTTCATCCTCCTGGGAATTGCCCAAATGGCAGCCAGGTGGATGCAGGAGAAGGTTGGAGGGAAGGCTGGAAATCAGAGGGGGCCGCCCTCAGGCTTCTGTCCATCTGCAGGGGCCCCACTGGCAAGCAGCACCTCTCCAGAACTCTGTGTCCCTTCCTCTCCCCTCCGCAGCAGCCCTGGGAGGCAGATGCTGCCATGAAACCACGGTGCCCTCAAGAAACCTGGCCATGAGGGGGCTTCCTGCCTGCCCACGGCCCTGCAGGTCATGGTAAGGGGTGGTCCTGGAGTTTGTGCCCTGGCACTTCCATTCCAGAGTCACTGCCAGGACCTTAAGCCTGGAGCTCCCCAGGCTGCATGGCAGTGGCTTGCTATGCAGGCCATGGCTGGGGTGAAGGGTGCCTGGGGCGAGGGGACATGTCACTTGGGGCCCTGGGTTGCCTGGCCTGCTGGGGGCCCCCTTGTTGCTCAGCTGCTGTCCTGGGGTCACGGCTCTCGGCCACTCTGCTCACTTGCAGTTCCTGGGAGCCTGTGGACATCGTGTTCTCGAGCCTGAAGGACCAGCAGGGCCCTGGGTGAACGGGGCGGTCCAGGGCCAGGGCCTGTGCTCACACTCCTGCGTGCATTCCCACGCTTCAGCAAAGCAATGCCGCCTCCTATCTGACAGGCTCAGGGTGGCCCTTCGTGGGTATTGTCACCACATTCGCTTGTGCATCAGACGCTTTTTGAGGAAGCTCAGGCCCAGCTTCATACCAGGCACTGGGATGGGGGTCAGCCCTGCCTTGAGGGCTGACCAGTTCCAGAGGGGAGACACACTGAAAACCATCACACCCTCGGCAGGCTGGGGCAGGGCAGAGGGGCACAGGCACCAAGACACAGGAGAGCCAGGTCAGGGCAGAGGGGCACAGGTCCCCGGACACAGGAGAGCCGGGGCAGGGCAGAGGGGCACAGGACTCGGGACATAGGAGAGCCGGGGCAGGGCAGAGGGGCACAGGCCCCCAGACACAGGAGAGCCGGGGCAGGTCAGAGGGGCACAGGACCCGGGACATGGGAGAGCGGGGACAGGCTGCTTCCTGGAGGAGGTGATGCCTGAGCTCAGTGAAAAAACACATGTGTGGGGCCAGCCAGGGGATCGGGTTATGCAGGGCGAGGCTGCCCCAGGTACTTGGGAGGGAGGTGGCCCTGGGTGGGTGTTGGGGCCGTTGGCGGCAGGTGCATCTGCCCTGGTGTCTGCCAAGGCAGAGCCCAGACTGGACGGCTCAGCGCTGGCCTGGGTGTGGGCGACGCTTGCAGGGGCCGTGTGGGTGTCTGCGTGTGAGTGCCCATTGTGAGTCTCGTGTACCTGTGTTCACATGGCTAGGGTCCGGCTTCCAGCTGGTCCTGTCGCCCTGGGATGCCACACGTATTGTAATTACATCTGGGATTTCAGGGGGAGGAGGAGATGGGGTGCCTGCATGCCTCCTAAAATGTTTGAAGGCCTTATATTGGAAGAATGGGAATGTCTGCCTGAGGGGCTTGCCCATATCGACAGAGAAGCCCGCCTCCTCCTGCAGATAAGGAGTGGGGTTTGCTTCTTGCGCATGGAGGATGGGTACAGGGCTCTGCTGTCCTGAAACGGACAGGCCTGCCAGCTCAGTTGATAGAGAGGGGGCTGGAAAGCTTGCCCGGGTGTCCCGCCCCCATGGCTGGGACACGAACTGGCCTTGAACCCACCCAGCCCCGGCCTCCCCTGCGTCCCCCAGGCTGGCGGCCTCACTCTGTGGCTGTGGGGCCTTTTCCCTTCCAGCTCCTGGCCCTGTTTTCCTGGGTCTTGTATGGGCGGGGGCCTTATGAATGTACCATCCAAGTAGAAAAGATGGGCTCACCACATGAACGCAGCTTCCAGACACCTCCAGCTGTGTCTCCCCAGGACCCTTCCATGGAGGTCTGACAGCCCTGGCCCAGGCAGAACACGGCCTCAGCGTGCTCCTGTGGACCCTGGTGGGAGCCCCAGGAGCCGCGGTGATGGGGTGAGTCGGGCCAACTTCTTGGCTGTTGCCTGTGGCCCATCAACGCCTGCGGGTGGACGCCCTTCAGGGCCAGAGCAGGCGCCTCAGCGTGCAGACACTGTCTGGCTCTCTTTCTGCGTTTTCTTCATCTGGATTCTGTTGGGACAACAATCAAGGCTGTCTCGTTCTGTCTGTGGAATGGGCCTCACCTAGCAAGAAGCCCCAGGGGCCCCCAGGGCTGGTGAGTCTGTGTGTACACGTGTGTGTGTGCTCGTGTGAGCTCGTGTGTGTGCGCGTGTGTGTGTGCATGAGCTTATGTGTTGTGTGTGTGCGCTTATGTGTGTGTGTATGTGAGCTTATGTGTCATGTGTGCTCATGTGAGCTCTGTGTGTGTGTGCATGAGCTTCTGTGTCATTTGTGTGTGCGTGAGCTTATGTGTGTGTGTGCGTGAGCTTGTGTGTGAGCTTATGTGTGTGCATCAACTTATATGTGTGTGCACGTTAGCTTATGTGCCGTGTGTGTGCGTGAGCTTATGTGTGTGTGTGCGTGCTTGTGTGTGTGCATGAGCTTATGTGTCATGTGTGTGCTTATGTGTTGTGTGTTGTGGGTGTGTGCGTGAGCTTGTATGTGTGTGTGCATGTGCTTATGTGTGTGTGCTTGTGTGTGTGTGCATGAGCTTTGTGTGTGTGTGTTTATGTGTGTGAGCTTGTGTTGTGTCGTGTGTGTGCACATGAGTTTGTGTGTGTGTGCTTGTGTCATGTGTGTGCGTGAGCTTATGTGTGTGTGTGCATGAGCTTATGGGTCATGTGTGTGCTTATGTGTCATGTGTTGTGTGTGTGCGTGAGCTTGTGTGTGTGTGCTTGTGTGTGTGAGCTTATGTGTCGTGTATGTGCTTATGTGTTGTGTGTCGGGGTGTGTGCGTGAGCTTATGTGTGGGTGTGCGTGAGATTTGTGTGTGTGTGTGCATGAGCTTGTGTGTGTGTGCGCATGAGCTTGTGTGTGCATGAGCTGTGTGTGCATGAGCTTTGTGTGTGTGTGAGCTTTGTGTGTGTGAGAGCTTGTGTGTGAGCTTGTGTGTGAGAGCTTGTGTGTGTGAGCTTTGTGTGTGTGTGAGCTCATGTGTGTGTGCGTGAGCTCGTGTGTGTGTGCGCTTGTGTGTGTGCATACATGTGTGTGCGTGAGCTTGTGTGTGTGAGCTTTGTGTGTGTGTGTGAGCTCGTGTGTGTGTGCATGAGCTTGTGTGTGTGTGTGTGCATACACGCATGTGTGCATATGCACAACCCCAGAGCCCCACTGCAGGGCACCGTTCCCAGCGAGTACCCCAGCGAGCCGGGTTCCATGTTCCGTCTGTGGGTGAGGATAGAGCCATGGATGCTTGTGTCTCACGTGGCCCATCAGGGATGCTGTCGCCTCCACCACTGAGCTGAGCTTTGAAGCCCCCAGAGCTCAACTCTCCTGTTTCCTCTTCCGTTTCTGCAAGACTCTTTCCTATCAGAACAGAAGGCGAGTGCCCGTTGGGCCCTTCTGCTCTTCCTGAGAAATGGAACTCGTCCCCAGACTGCCTCCCTCCTTCTTTTTGAAAGTCCAGACACAATGTGTCTCGGTCAGGCATGACACGCCTGGGGGTCTGGCCCCGAAATGGCCAGGTGGGTGGTCTTTGGGTCAGTGACACTCTGGCTTTGAAATCTCCCCCAGATGCACTTGGAACAAGGGACTCCATGGGAAGACCCCCCAGATCGGGGTGGAGTCAGCCCCACACCTCTCTCTGGGTGGCTGATATTTCAAAACTTGTAGCTCTCCAGACAGTGGCCGGGGAGCCTCTCCGTGGCGGGGGTGCGCACCCTCCCTTGGCAGCCTTGCCTGAGCTCGGGAGGCTCTCTGGTGTCTGAGGCTGAGAGCCCGGTCTGCTGTTCAAGCCATGCTTTCTCCCGTCTGTCCCGTGTCCATGCACATGTCCATGCACTTACGATGGCCCTTAGGGTGAGGCAGGAGGAGGCTTCGTGGGATTAGACATTGCCACAGCGTCTGCATAAGTTGAGGGTGGCGCTGTCACTGTTCAGGGCCCCCCGACCCTGCCCCTGAAGCCGGTTGGCCTGAAATGCAGAGTCGATGACCTGGAGCCGGCCCCTGGCCTCTGAGAAGCTGAGCTGCGGCTGACTTGGCCTTTCCTCCATCGGAGGCTGAAATCCACGACTCTCACCAGCCGGCTGGGGGCTGGGGGTGGAGCGGCGTCCAGGCATCCGGGAAGGACTCTAGGGGTCTGACTGATGGACTGAGGGTACGGCCCTCCCAGGAGTTCCTGTCCACCCTGTCTCAGTGTGGACTGACCTGGAGGTCTGGGATGTGACAGGCTTGGAAAATGATGCGGTGATCCTGCCTGGAGGGTGTTCACGACAGACTGCATGCTAAGATGGCGCTGGGGGGCGGGTTACAGAAGACAGTGTTGTATGATCCTAATTATGCACAGGACAGGGCACAGCGGTCAAGACCATGGGCATTGGAGCCTGCTGTCAGAGCTCAAGTCCAGCCCTGTCGCTTTCCAGATGACCTTGACCTTGGACATGCTGCCAAACGGCCCTGCACTTCAGTGCCTTCAGCTGCAAAATGGGGTGATGCCCACACCTGTCACTCAGGGGTATTGCGCAGGTTAAATGAGTCAATACGTGGAGCAGACTTAGAACAGCAGCCCTACGTAAGTGACCACAGAGACAAACGTCTACAGTTTCCGATGATTTTAATGGTCTTCATTTTGTTTATCTACATGTTTGAATTTTTCTACAACACACACGAATGACTGGAGTAATTTGAAAAAGGTAGATGGTTGCTTTGAACAAACTTAGAATCATCATTGACCCACGCGTTGCTTGTGGGGTAAAAAAAAAAGTAAAAATAAAAATTAATAAGAAACATCTGAAAGCTCTCAACCCACCACACACTGGTGGGGTAGCAGCTGATTGCAGTGCTGAGGTGCTAGAGGGGAGACCGAGTCAGTGGGGCTGGTCCTGGCTTCCTGGGGCTCTGTCAGGTGAGAGAGACACACCTGTGGAGGTGGGACGCTCCCCAAGGTGAGGGCTGAGTAGAGGGACGGCTCAGAAGAGGGCAGCTTGGAGGGGCTAGTGAGGGGCTGTGGAGGAGGTGGACTTTGAGACAGGTCTTGGAGGACGGGTAAGATTTTGGCGGGCAGGGAGCAGAGGCTCACACAAAGGTGTCCAGGTGCAGGGAACAGTGCGTGTGTGTGTGTGTGTGTGTGTGTGCATGCATTCATGTATGTGCGTGCATTCATGTGTGCAGTGCATATGGGTGTGCATGCCTTTGAATATGCATGTGCATTCATGTGTGTGCTTGCATACATGTGTGTGTATTTGTGTGTGCTTGCATACATATGTGAGTGCATTCGTGTGTGTGTGTGCATACATACGCGTGTGCATGCATCCTTGCATGTGTGGGCATTTGTGTGTGTACATGCATGCATTTGTGTGTTTGCATTCATATGTGTGCTTGCATTCGCATGTGTGTGCATTCATGTGTGTGCTTGCATTCGTGTGTGCTTGCATACATGTGTGTGCTCGCATTTGTGTGTGTGGATTCATGTCTGTGCTTGCATACAAGTATGTGAGTGGATTCATGTGTGTGCATGCATACGTGTGTGTTTTTGTGTGTGTGTGCGCACACAGAAGGAAGATGTGCATGCTGGGGCTGGAGTTGAGACCTGATGAAAGACAAGGTGGGAGGGCAGGGAGGCCAGCCTGCTGGGAGGTGCCCAGGCTCGGCACAGTGGTGGCAGGAGGGGATGCCTGGTGCTGCAAGAGGTTCTGGAGCTGGGGCTGCAGGTTGAGGCGAATGGGGTCCTGCTGTGTGTGGGGCAGGAGAGCAGCCTCCCTGAATAGCTCTCCTTAACCAGAGGGGAGCCTCAGCTCATGGTGGCACGTGTGGGTCCCGGGACAGCCCTCATTGGGTCCCCAGATTCCCCAAAGTGGCTCCGAAGCAGGTTGGTGAGAGCCACAGCGCAGGTTCCAGAAGCTTCAAAGCTCTATCCAGCTGGACCCCTGCCACTCTGGGAGAACACCAGCACCCTGCCCCTGCTGGACAGATAGCACCCAGCTTGGGAAGACCTAAGAGAAAAAGCTTACATATTCCTCTGGCTTGGGCTGGAGTCGGGGGAGGCTGCTTTGTCAGGCTGGGACGGGGCCGACCGAGCCCCAGGACACGCTGTCCCCTGGTCTGGCCTCTGGTGTGGGGCCCATGCTGGGAATGGTGTCTGACCCTGTGTTCCCAGCGGGGCTGGGGCAGTGTCTTCAGGACACAGCTGTGCCCAGCTGTTCCCCAAATGACACAGTGCAGAAAACCCGCCCCCTCCTCTGCAGCTCTGCCGACCATCCGTCACCGTGTGGGGGCCTTTTTGGGGACCCATGACCCTTAGGGTAACAGGACAGAGGCCAAGACCTGCTTGGCTTGCAGAGTCTGGGGAAATGTGTTGACTTCTTAAAGGCCTCGGGGGACATCAGGAGCTAAGAAGGTTTGTCTACAGCCCAGCTCCACGAGATGCCCTACGTTCAGGCTCGTGAAGTTAGGGAAGGGCCTGGCTTCCAATGAAACATTGTGACTTCCTCATGATCGCTTCCAGGGTTACCGGCAGAGAGAAGCCACTGCGACCTTTGCCCTCCCTAAATCCAGAGGTATTTGGCCCAGAAGCTCCTCCCTGAGTCCTTGCTGGAGCATTTGTCTTCAAACGGAGGAGGAGAACCAGTGAGTTTGTGTTCAAATGTCGGCCAGGCCACAGACTTTGGGAAAGTTGCAAACCTTCTTTGTGCCTCCGGGTTCCCGTGGGTTCCATGAGCTCATTCCTGTGGCTGTGTCCCAGGGGCATGGGATCTGTCTTGGGGACTTAGTGGAGTGGTCGTGACCTGGAGACCCAGCCTAAATGGTGGGTGTGTGTCCCCTTGGCTGCTGCTGCCGGCGCTGACTGCGGGTTCTTCCTGGTGCCTCTGCACACTCCGAGGGGCTCCGAGGCATCCTCCATGCACTCCTGTGCCGCCTCTCCCTGAAATGTACGCAGTATGAAGGCAGGAATGCAGCCCATCTCATTTGGTGCTGTCTGTGTGATATGGTTTCGATCTGTGTCCCCAGCCAAATCTCATCTTGAATTGTAATCCCTGTGTGTCCAGGGAGGGAAAAGATTGGATTGTGGGGGTGATTTCCCCCACACTGTTCTCCTGATAGTGGGTGAGTCTCATGAGATCTGATGGTTTTAAAAGTGGCAGTGTTTCCTTTGCTCATGCTCACTCTTTCTCCTGCTGCCTTGTGAAGAAGGTGTCTGTTTTACCTTGCACCATGATTGTAAGTTTCTTGAGGACTTCCCAGCCCTGTGGAACTGTGAGTCAATGAAACTTTCTTTGTTTATAAATTACCCAGTCTCAGTTAGTATTTTTTTTTTTTTTTTTTTTTTTTTTTTTAGATGGAGTCTCATTCTGCGGCTCACTGCAACCTCCACCTCCCGGATTCAAGCGATTCTCCTGCCTCAGCCTCCCAAGTAGCTGAGATTACAGGCATGCGCCACCATGCCTGGCAAATTTTTGTGTTTTTAGTAGAGACGGGGTTTCACCATGTTGGCCAGGATGGTCTCAATCTCTTGACCTCGTGATCCGCCCGCTTTGGCCTCCCAAAGTGCTGGGATTACAGGTGTGAGCCACTGTACCCGGCCTCAGGTAGTATCTTTATAGCAGTGTGAGAATGGGTTAATACAATGTGCAGGGCCTTAAGCTGTGGCTGACTGGTAGAAGCAGCTCAATAAATGGTGGATGGATGGATGGATGGATGGATGGATGGATGGATTCACTAATTACTGACTCACTTGTTGGGTGTGGTAGAGCATCAGATCACAGACCTTAGAGCCTGGCTTCCAAGGTTTGAATCTGTGATATACTGACTCCATAATATTAAGTGATTTATGTAATGTTCCCATGCCTCAGTTTCCTCATCTGTAAAATAAAGTCCAAAGATTTCTGTTCTTTTTCAATATGGCCAGTTAAGAACCTGCACAAACCCTCCCACTAACAGCAGCTAGAAATTCTGGGTAGAATGAAAAATGCCTGTCTTGTTGATTATTGTCTTGAGCTGACTAGGAAGTGTGGAGTACTCAGGCCAGGATAGAGAAAAGATGGGACCCAGAGAGGAAGGTGGACACTGAATCTGGCTTTCCTGGGAGGTATGGAAAGATGTGGCCACTGCTCCATCTCTGAAACAAAAAGCTGAACTTATTGCTTGTTCAGCATGGGAGAGCTATAATTGTAAGGCTCAGACTGCCCGAACAAAGCAAACTGCTGGCCTTCATAGTGTTTCAGGAAGAGTGGAGTTCAGGCATAGGAGGCTTTCAGAAGTGGGAGAGCTTGGGGAATGATTGATCTCTAACTGAGGGAGACTAGTTATTGGAGAGGGGCTACTGCTGGTTGGTTGACCAAAGAAAGTGGTCACTACTAGATTGAGACGGACTTAATGCTGGTGTTTGCTTGTTGCTGTGGCCAGACAACAGCCTATCTTTTCATTTTGAAGTTGGAGAATTGAAATTTTTTATTCTCATAGGCAAACCTGAGCATCATTTTTTGACTACTTTTGTGGCTAGAGGTCAGAAGACAAAGCACAGAGCCTGGCCATGCAGGAGAGTCTAGTGGAAGACCATTCCTTCAATGTGGGACTCCATGGGCTACACCTCACTGTCATGGGAAACTAGAAAATCTATTTCCCCTTTGGATACTACATCGGCACTGCCTGTAGCAAACTTTGGTGCCAAGTGGAGCAGGAAAAGCATTCTCTAAGAATTAATAACTATAACCTGAACTACGTGTGTGTGTATGTAGCCTGAATCCACATTTCCTCAACTATCCAAAACAAGGGATTTTAGTTTAAAGGAGTGTCAGATTGGAAGTGCCTCAATTGTTTGACAGAAGTAAATACAATTACTTTCTAAAGGACTCTGCCTTTACCTCAGGCCTCAGAAAATTTCCATAAAGTTCCACAGCAAATGAGCAGTTCAGAGTAAAAAAAAAATCACTAAATATACAAGGAAACAAGACACCATGAGGGAAAGTCAACAGAAACAACAGGCAGTAGAATCAGATCAGCCAAACATTTAGATACTAAAAATAGCAGGACTGGAAAATAAATGTGTTTTATGGAAGAAATAAGAGGCTTGGATGTATTAATGAAGAACAAGCATACTTGAAAAAGAACCAAACATACTCTTAGAAATAAAAACATGACAATCAAAATGAAAAACTCAAAAGATAGCTTAACCACAGTTTAGACATGACCGAAGAAGGAATTGATGAACTGAAGGATAAGGCAAAAGACATTAGGAGAGTTGCACTCCTGAAAGATAAAGAACTGGGAAATATAAAGAACATGAGGACTTGCGTGCAAATGTAAGCATATTGCTAATTGGATTTCCAGAAAATGAAGAGAGATAGAATAGGAGTAGGGGCAATATTTGAAGAGGATTATGGCTGAAACTATTTCAGATATAATGAAAGATAGCAACCCACAAATTTAAGAAGCCCAGTGACTCTCAAGCAAGCCAAAGAAAAAGGATTCCACACGAGTCACATAAGAATAAAAATACAGAACATTGAAGACCAAGAGAAGTCTTATAAAAGAGCCCAAGAGAAAATATAGATTATCTTCAAAGATAGTTACGCTGAGAACTTACTATTCAGGAGCAACAATGGGAATTAGGAAACAGAGAAATGATGTCTTCAAAATGCTCAGAGCAAATGATTACCAACCTAGAATTCAATATCCGGTGAAAAAAATTAAAGATGCAAATGATTGTCAACCTAGAATTCAATATCCAGTGGAAAAAATAAAGACACAAAGGATTACCCACCTATACAATTCAATATTCAGTGAAAAAAATAAAGACAATCATAGGCAAATAAAAATCAAGAAGGTGTCCCACAAACAACCCTTGCTTAAGGAAATTTTTTGTAAAATTAATTTTATTTTTTAAGACAGGGTCTCACTCTGTTGCCCAGATGGGAGTGCAGTGGTGCAATCATGGCTCACTGCAGCCTTGAACTCTCAGACTTGGGTGATCCTCCCACGTCAGCCTCCTGAGTAGCTGGGACTGCAGGTGTGCACCACCATGCCCAGCTAATTCTTGTTTTTTTTTTTGTAGAGATGGGGGTCTCCATATGTTGCCAGGGCTGGTCTGGAACCCCTAGGCTCAAGCAATCCATCCACCTCAGCCTCCCAAAGTGCTGGAATTACAGGTGTGAGCCCACCATGCCCGGCCACTTGAGGAAGTTTTAAAAGATATGTTTGAGCCAGAAGGAAAATAACCCCAGATGAAAAAATTGGGGTATAAGAAGAGATGAAAGTCGAAGAGATTGTCATATGTGGGCAAATCTAAACAATTATTGGTGGTAAAAATGTCATGTGTTGTTTAAATGAAGATAAAAGAAAAATACAAGGTAATAATCGTCTTAAAGTTAGGAGGGAAATAATTGGAATTAAAAGGTTCTATGGTCCTGCGATGTTCAAGGGGAGGGTAAAGATATGAATTTACTAGAAACTTTGATGAACTACCACTAAAGGAATGGAATTAGCATATACATTCTAACTCTTTAAAGGGTTATGTATGTTTCCTCCCAGTCTGCTTCTTCGTGATGTCTTTTGAAGGGTAAATATTTACAATTTTGATGGTCTAGTTGATCAGTTTTTTTCTTTGATGGATCACACCTTTGGTGTCATATTTAAGAAATCTTTGCCTAATCCAAGGTCACAAAGATTTTCTCTGATGTTTTCTGCTAGAGGTTTTCTAGTTTTTGGAGTTAATTTTGGGGTGGGATGTGAAAAAAAGGTTGAGGTTCACTTTGATGCCTCGGGACATTGATTTGTTCCAGCATTATTTGTGTTAAAGACTGTCCTTTGCAGAGTGGGGGAATTC